>NC_000006.12:31575151-31878181 GCF_000001405.40 Homo sapiens
CTAGTTCTATCTTTTTCCTGCATCCTGTCTGGAAGTTAGAAGGAAACAGACCACAGACCTGGTCCCCAAAAGAAATGGAGGCAATAGGTTTTGAGGGGCATGGGGACGGGGTTCAGCCTCCAGGGTCCTACACACAAATCAGTCAGTGGCCCAGAAGACCCCCCTCGGAATCGGAGCAGGGAGGATGGGGAGTGTGAGGGGTATCCTTGATGCTTGTGTGTCCCCAACTTTCCAAATCCCCGCCCCCGCGATGGAGAAGAAACCGAGACAGAAGGTGCAGGGCCCACTACCGCTTCCTCCAGATGAGCTCATGGGTTTCTCCACCAAGGAAGTTTTCCGCTGGTTGAATGATTCTTTCCCCGCCCTCCTCTCGCCCCAGGGACATATAAAGGCAGTTGTTGGCACACCCAGCCAGCAGACGCTCCCTCAGCAAGGACAGCAGAGGACCAGCTAAGAGGGAGAGAAGCAACTACAGACCCCCCCTGAAAACAACCCTCAGACGCCACATCCCCTGACAAGCTGCCAGGCAGGTTCTCTTCCTCTCACATACTGACCCACGGCTCCACCCTCTCTCCCCTGGAAAGGACACCATGAGCACTGAAAGCATGATCCGGGACGTGGAGCTGGCCGAGGAGGCGCTCCCCAAGAAGACAGGGGGGCCCCAGGGCTCCAGGCGGTGCTTGTTCCTCAGCCTCTTCTCCTTCCTGATCGTGGCAGGCGCCACCACGCTCTTCTGCCTGCTGCACTTTGGAGTGATCGGCCCCCAGAGGGAAGAGGTGAGTGCCTGGCCAGCCTTCATCCACTCTCCCACCCAAGGGGAAATGGAGACGCAAGAGAGGGAGAGAGATGGGATGGGTGAAAGATGTGCGCTGATAGGGAGGGATGGAGAGAAAAAAACGTGGAGAAAGACGGGGATGCAGAAAGAGATGTGGCAAGAGATGGGGAAGAGAGAGAGAGAAAGATGGAGAGACAGGATGTCTGGCACATGGAAGGTGCTCACTAAGTGTGTATGGAGTGAATGAATGAATGAATGAATGAACAAGCAGATATATAAATAAGATATGGAGACAGATGTGGGGTGTGAGAAGAGAGATGGGGGAAGAAACAAGTGATATGAATAAAGATGGTGAGACAGAAAGAGCGGGAAATATGACAGCTAAGGAGAGAGATGGGGGAGATAAGGAGAGAAGAAGATAGGGTGTCTGGCACACAGAAGACACTCAGGGAAAGAGCTGTTGAATGCCTGGAAGGTGAATACACAGATGAATGGAGAGAGAAAACCAGACACCTCAGGGCTAAGAGCGCAGGCCAGACAGGCAGCCAGCTGTTCCTCCTTTAAGGGTGACTCCCTCGATGTTAACCATTCTCCTTCTCCCCAACAGTTCCCCAGGGACCTCTCTCTAATCAGCCCTCTGGCCCAGGCAGTCAGTAAGTGTCTCCAAACCTCTTTCCTAATTCTGGGTTTGGGTTTGGGGGTAGGGTTAGTACCGGTATGGAAGCAGTGGGGGAAATTTAAAGTTTTGGTCTTGGGGGAGGATGGATGGAGGTGAAAGTAGGGGGGTATTTTCTAGGAAGTTTAAGGGTCTCAGCTTTTTCTTTTCTCTCTCCTCTTCAGGATCATCTTCTCGAACCCCGAGTGACAAGCCTGTAGCCCATGTTGTAGGTAAGAGCTCTGAGGATGTGTCTTGGAACTTGGAGGGCTAGGATTTGGGGATTGAAGCCCGGCTGATGGTAGGCAGAACTTGGAGACAATGTGAGAAGGACTCGCTGAGCTCAAGGGAAGGGTGGAGGAACAGCACAGGCCTTAGTGGGATACTCAGAACGTCATGGCCAGGTGGGATGTGGGATGACAGACAGAGAGGACAGGAACCGGATGTGGGGTGGGCAGAGCTCGAGGGCCAGGATGTGGAGAGTGAACCGACATGGCCACACTGACTCTCCTCTCCCTCTCTCCCTCCCTCCAGCAAACCCTCAAGCTGAGGGGCAGCTCCAGTGGCTGAACCGCCGGGCCAATGCCCTCCTGGCCAATGGCGTGGAGCTGAGAGATAACCAGCTGGTGGTGCCATCAGAGGGCCTGTACCTCATCTACTCCCAGGTCCTCTTCAAGGGCCAAGGCTGCCCCTCCACCCATGTGCTCCTCACCCACACCATCAGCCGCATCGCCGTCTCCTACCAGACCAAGGTCAACCTCCTCTCTGCCATCAAGAGCCCCTGCCAGAGGGAGACCCCAGAGGGGGCTGAGGCCAAGCCCTGGTATGAGCCCATCTATCTGGGAGGGGTCTTCCAGCTGGAGAAGGGTGACCGACTCAGCGCTGAGATCAATCGGCCCGACTATCTCGACTTTGCCGAGTCTGGGCAGGTCTACTTTGGGATCATTGCCCTGTGAGGAGGACGAACATCCAACCTTCCCAAACGCCTCCCCTGCCCCAATCCCTTTATTACCCCCTCCTTCAGACACCCTCAACCTCTTCTGGCTCAAAAAGAGAATTGGGGGCTTAGGGTCGGAACCCAAGCTTAGAACTTTAAGCAACAAGACCACCACTTCGAAACCTGGGATTCAGGAATGTGTGGCCTGCACAGTGAAGTGCTGGCAACCACTAAGAATTCAAACTGGGGCCTCCAGAACTCACTGGGGCCTACAGCTTTGATCCCTGACATCTGGAATCTGGAGACCAGGGAGCCTTTGGTTCTGGCCAGAATGCTGCAGGACTTGAGAAGACCTCACCTAGAAATTGACACAAGTGGACCTTAGGCCTTCCTCTCTCCAGATGTTTCCAGACTTCCTTGAGACACGGAGCCCAGCCCTCCCCATGGAGCCAGCTCCCTCTATTTATGTTTGCACTTGTGATTATTTATTATTTATTTATTATTTATTTATTTACAGATGAATGTATTTATTTGGGAGACCGGGGTATCCTGGGGGACCCAATGTAGGAGCTGCCTTGGCTCAGACATGTTTTCCGTGAAAACGGAGCTGAACAATAGGCTGTTCCCATGTAGCCCCCTGGCCTCTGTGCCTTCTTTTGATTATGTTTTTTAAAATATTTATCTGATTAAGTTGTCTAAACAATGCTGATTTGGTGACCAACTGTCACTCATTGCTGAGCCTCTGCTCCCCAGGGGAGTTGTGTCTGTAATCGCCCTACTATTCAGTGGCGAGAAATAAAGTTTGCTTAGAAAAGAAACATGGTCTCCTTCTTGGAATTAATTCTGCATCTGCCTCTTCTTGTGGGTGGGAAGAAGCTCCCTAAGTCCTCTCTCCACAGGCTTTAAGATCCCTCGGACCCAGTCCCATCCTTAGACTCCTAGGGCCCTGGAGACCCTACATAAACAAAGCCCAACAGAATATTCCCCATCCCCCAGGAAACAAGAGCCTGAACCTAATTACCTCTCCCTCAGGGCATGGGAATTTCCAACTCTGGGAATTCCAATCCTTGCTGGGAAAATCCTGCAGCTCAGGTGAGATTTCCGGCTGTTGCAGCTGGCCAGCAGTCCGGAGAGAGCTGGAGAGGAGCCGCATTCTCAGGTACCTGAATCACACAGCCAAGGGACTTCCAGAGATTCGGGTGTCTAGGCTTCAAATCACCCTGTCCTAACTCTGCAACCTGAACCAGCCACTTAACCTATCTATCCAATGGGGATAGGAATGTCCACCACACATAGGGCATGTGAGAGAAGGCCTGACCTCCATCAGAGGACCTCACTCAGCCCTTGGCACAGTGGGCACTTAGTGAATTCTGGCTTCCTTCAACCAGTTTCCAGCTGTTCTATCCCCTTCCATTCTCTCAGTGGGTGAAATCGAAGAGACTGAGGACAATAAAGAACAAGGAACCGAACTGCCGGACGTGGTGGCATGCACCTGTAATCCTACCACTTTGCAAGGCCAAGGTGAGAGGATCGCTTGAACCCAGGAGTTCCAGAGCAACCTGGGCAACATAGTGAGATCCTGTCTCTATTTTTTAAAAAAGAATGAAACATAGGAATAAGATGTGGGTGAAGGACTCACATGCCGGCTTGGTCCCACTGGTCTTTGTGGTGAAGGAGGGGAGAGGTGAGAGGTGGGTAATCCGGAAAGAGAAAAGCACCCCCTCCCTGGATGAAGGCTCTTCTGGAGAGAGTCAAAGACAAATAAGGGTGGGGCGCAGTGGCTCATGCCTGTTATCCCAACACTTTGGGAGGCTGAGGTGGGAGGACCACTTGAGCCCACTAGTTCAAGACCAGCCTGTGCAACATAGCAAGACCTTGTTTCTAGAAAAAAAATTAAAGATTAGTCAGGTGTAGTGGTGCATGCCTGTAATCCTAGCTCCTCAGGAGGCTGAGGCAGGAGGATCACTCAAGCCCAGGAGTTTGAGGTTACAGTAAGCTATGATCATGCCACTGTACCCCCGTCTGGGTGACAGAACGAGACCCTGTCTCAAAAAAATAATAATTCCAAAAACAAATATGGAGACGGAAATTGAGCCCCCCTAGACTGGGAGCCCCCACTGAGTTCGGAAATTAGGCTTTACCTCCAGCCCTGGGGTGCCAGGCAGGAGAAAACCATGTGGTAGGCTGAGGGGGTAGGGTGACCCATTGGGGTGACCTAGATAGGGCCTTGGGTCACCCTCTGCCTCCTCCAGCCTGTGGCTGAAAGTCAGCCATGAAGTAATGGGGGACACTGTTACTCATCCCAGAAGCACCCACACTTACTCACTTTTGGGAAGGGGGACCTAAAGTGTGAAAAAAAGGTGAGGATTTTCCGTCTCACCCTAAATGGGACACCCTAAGTGGGGCATCGGTTTTTCCTCCTCCCCAGAACTTCCTGGTGTTTTCAGGCACCACAGGCTCCTTCCTGCCATCCCCATCTCTCTCTAATATTCTCCCCTTCTTTCTCCTTCAGCCTCCTCCCTTCAGACCCCATGAGCCTTGAATTAAGCTCCTTGGAGGAGAAGAGTTGACTGTCGGGTAGGAGACAGAGAGGCCTTCAGGCAGCTCTAGGGGGAGAAGTGCGGGGCCCCTCCAGGCTTCATTCCTCTGTCATGATAGGGGCTTACTCTGCTGCTGGGCCTTTCTGAGTGGTGCTTGCTGGGCTCTGTAATGACCCCTCTCACTGTTGGGGGGTACCCAAGAGAAAAGAGTATGGTGCAGAGTCTGGTTGGGACCATGTGGCCCTGAAAATCAGGATGCCTAGAGAAGCTTCGGAGTTTGAGAAGTCCCCCTTCCTCCCACCCTCCAACTGGGCTAATGGTGGGGCCTGGCCATTCAGAGGCAGGGAGGGGGTGGGACAGGCAGACCATCATCCCTAGGAGCAAAGGCCATACACTGTGTTGTGATGAATTGTTTCAAGCAACCAGAAGAGTACTGAGAATATTTAACCCGCACCCGTGCACCCACCCTGAATTAAGACGTGTGTCGCAACTCAGCATCTTTATCGGCAGCACTGAAGCTTTCCATTCTTTATTTTCATCAGGTTCAAAATCAATTTCCAAACAGTCTCCTACATTTTTCCCACTGCCATGGGGTCCTGGGCGTCCGGGCCCCCAATATTCACGCACTCGCACCACGCACTCATATTCCCTCACCCCACCATCACGGCCCCAAAGAAGGTCTTCCCTCTCGCGAAGTCCACCATATCGGGGTGACTGATGTTGACGTACACCCTCTCGCCCCTCCGGAGCTGCACCAGGCCGCCGAACCCCACGCTCGTGTACCAGAGAGGCCCGTACCCTTGTCTCCTGGCCGGGTCCAGCACTGGAGTCACCGTCTCGGCGCCCTCGAGCAGCAGCTCGGGAGTGCCCGGCCCGTAGGCGCCCCCCGCCCGGTACAGAGAGCTGCGCAGCGTGACCGAGCGGCCCTGGGGGTCCCCGCCGCCAGGGGGCGCCCGGCCCCGGTAGCCGACGAGACAGTAGAGGTAATAGAGGCCGTCCTGCGGGAGCGCCAGCCCCTCGGCGTCCGAGAACTGCGTCCCGCTCGTCAGAAACGCCTGTTCCTTCGTCGTCTCCCAGCCTAGCCCCTGCCCCTTCAGCGGAGCGCCTGCGGAGACACGGGCCGACGCGCTCTTGGGAATGCGATCCTAAAGGCTTGGGACTTCTGGGGAAGTGGCGGCTTTTAGCCCCTGCGGGAGCCGAGCCGGGCCGGGGGAGGAGGGATGGTGCTGTTTCTGGGATGAGTGCGAGTTGGGGGCCGAGGGAACACGGATGTGGGGTGCAGAACGCTGTAGTGGGGACCTCCAGGCCGGCTTTTGCTTGCACCGGAGGGAAGAAGAAACTACACTGCGGGGACGAGCGTAAGAGTGGGCACGAGCGACAAAAGGTCGTGAAGCGGGTGGGAAACCGAGCACTGGAATCATGGAGCCGAAGGACTCTGGGCGAGCAGAACTGGAACCTTCGGATTATTTACACTCTTATTCAGGTCTTGGAGGTCCTTACCTATGAGGTGGGCAGCTGGGAGCCCGGGGCTGAGATCTGTTTCTGGCTCCTCCTCTGGCAGCTTCTGAAACCCTGGAAGGGGCAAAGAGTCCACGATTGGGGGCAGGGCAGCCACCCATGCAGGCTACCCTTGAGAGAACAGGGCGCAGGGATGGGGAGCCTGGATTCCTAGAGGAAGAGGTATCTGGGGACGCAGCAGGGAGCTGGGAGCCCCTGAGGGTCTGAAGCGGGGAAGGAGAGACAGTCTGCTCTTACCCAGTCCTTGCTGGGCCTGTGCCCCGGGGTCGGCCGTCTCCGTTACCTGGTTGGGTGGGGTCACAGTGCCCAGAGTTCAGATTCAGCTCATGTCACCCCTACCCCTCTGAAAGTGGACCCAAGCTGCAGGCCTGGGGTTTCTCCTACCAGCACCATCCCCAACACACACCTCCTTAGAAGGGAGAACAAGCAAGGCATAGGTACTTGGGCGGAGAAACAGATGTACCTCGGGAAGAGGAGAGGAGACACAAGGGGCTTATGTCGGGACACAAGCACAACATCACAGGAACATGGAAAGAGAGTCAGCAAAGAGACAAGACATCCCCACCAGGGACAGCCGAGCCAGCTGAGCCAGAGGGGGCAAAAGACCACAGGCACAACCAGAGGGAGCCAAGCATCCGCAAGATACAACTCTCCACCAGGGCCTGTTGCAGCCACTCACCAGTCCTCCCTGATCCTGGGGCACTAAGGCCAGCACAGCCAGGACAGTGATAGGCACCGCCAGCAACAAGGTCACCAGAGAAGTGGCTCCTGCCACAGCTAGCAGGAGGGAACCCCTCCCCTGGAGCCTCCCACCCCTGCCCTCCAGCCCCAGTGCCCCCATTGAGACTGAACCAGAGCCAGAGCAGGGGGCTTTCATACCTCAGGGACGGGCCCACCCCCTCCCTGTAGACCTGCACACCTGGCTGGGACTTTCCGCACACCCCTGCTCCCCTCACCCAGCTTCCTGTTTACCCAGAGCTGGGGTGGGGCAGCTGGATGCCTGGGTTCTCTGAACTGGGGAAGAAGTTGAGGTTAGGGAGACAGGCTCTCAGGGTGGAACCAAAGGGGTCTTTAGACATCTTCTGGCTCAGCAGAGAGAGAAACTGAGGCCCAGGGAGGGAAGGTAGCTTGCAGGAAGCCAGTCAGCAGAGCTGAAATGAGAACACAGATCTCCAGGTTTCCAATGTGGTTTGCATTCTTCTATACCCTCAAGGTAGGTGCTGGAGGAAGAGCTGATCCCGTCTCTGAGGTCAAGGGCCGGACTAGGACAAGGACTGGAATCTTGAGGGATGGATGTCTGGGTTCCCTGAGAAGAACTGATTCCCATACTGGGCTGACCTCCTCCCGTTCCCTTGCTCATCTCCAGCCCCCTGTGCTGAGTGAGAAAGGGAGAGGTAAGCCTTAGCCTCACCACTGACTACTGACTCACTAAGGAGGGATGGAAATGGAGCTTTACCTCCCTTGCTACAAAAAGTAAAGACAGATGGACGAGGCATACTCCCACCCTCAGAGAGCTTCCAAGTCTACAATGAGCCCTATCCATTAGTAGGTGCTTACTAAATGTTTATACATAAATGAATAAAAGGACAAATAAATGCAGGAATAACCAAAACAAAGCAGCAAGGACCACATGAATGGTAGATGTAGGCAGCATGAGTGGTTAAGAGTCAAGGGAGTAGCCGGGGTAGTGGCTTACACCTGTAATCCCAACACTTTGGGAGGCTGAGGCAGGTGGATCACTTGAGGTCAGGAGTTCGAGACCAGCCTGGCCAACATGGTGAAACCCTGTCTCTACTAAAGATACAAAAAGTTAGCCGGGCGTGGTGGCACGCGCCTGTAATTCCAGCTACACAGGAGGCTGAGGCAGGAGAATCACTTAAACCTGGGAGGCAGAGGTTGCAGTGAGCCAAGATTGCACCATTGCACTCCAGCCTGGGCAACAGGCTGAGACTCTCTCTCTCAAAAAAAAAAAAAAAAAAAAAAAAAGAGTCAAGGGAAGAAAGACCAGGTCCAAGGAAGCTGGAAGTGGCTCCAATCATCTCCCCTTCTTGGTAACATCTCTATGTGTTTCCGTAATACTAATAATAATATAGCTGACCCACAAAATGCACTTAACATGTTTATGCCACTGATTTACACACTTTAATAATTTTTTTTTTTGAGACAGGGTCTCGCTATGTCACCCAGACTGGAATGCAATGGCAGGATCATGGCTCACTGCAGCCTTGACCTCCCAGGATCTATGGATTCACCTACCTCAGCCTCCTGAATAGCTGGGACTATAGGCACATGCCACCATGCCCAGCTAATTTTTGCATTTTTTGTAGAGATGGATTTTTGCCACATTGCCCAGGCTGGGCTCAAACTCCTGGACTCACGTGATCTGCCCGTGTTGGCCTCCTAAAGTGCTGGGATTACAAGCATGAGCCATCATGCCCAGCCAATAATTATAATCCTGACAAAAACCCTAAGAGGAAACTGAGGTACAGAGAGGTTAAGAAACTTATGGAGCTCACAGAGTCAGTGGCAGAACCAGAATTTGAACCCAGGCATCTGGCTCCAGAGCCTTGATAACAAGACAGTTTAAAAACTGAATACTGGGGCTGGGCGCAGTGGCTCTTGCCTATAATACCAGCACTTTGGGAGGCCAAGGAAGGTGGATCATCTGAGGTAAGGAGCTCGAGAGCAGCCTGATCAACATGGTGAAACCCCATCTCTACTAAAAATATAAAAATTAGCGGGGCGTGGTGGTAGGCACCTTTAATTCCAGCTACTTGGGAGGCTGAGGCAGGAGAATCACTTGAACCCAGGAGGCGGAAGTTGCAGTGAGCCGAAATCATGCCATTGCACTCCAGCCTGGGTGACAAGAACAAGACTCTGTCTTAAAAACAAAAACAAACAAACAAAACAGTATTAGGCCAGGCGAGATGGCTCACACCTATAATCCCAGCACTTTAGGAGACCAAGGCAGGTGGATCACTTGAGGTCAAGAGTTTGAGACCAGCCTGGCCAACATGGTGAAACCCCTTCTCCATTAAAAATACAAAAATTAGCTGGATATGGTGGCACAAACCTGTAGTCCCAGCTACTTGGGAGGCTGAGACAGGAGAATCGCTTGTACCCAGAAGGCAGAGGTTGCAGTGAGCCAAGATCACACCACTGGACTCCAGCCTGGGCAACAGAGCAAGACTCCGTCTCAAAAAAAAAAAAGAGTACTGACTTGAGATTTGTATGTAAAATTTGCCTTCCTCAGGCCAGAAAAGAAATGGGGAAATAAATACTGAACTCCAGTCAATGTTAAGCTTCTGAAGGGTTTAGATGTAAAATGTACTGATATTTGTAATTTTAAAAGATATTTAAAAGTGAGATGGATTGATAAATATGTGATAAAGCAAATAAAAAATGTTAATAGAGCCAGGTGCAGTGGCCCACTCCTGTAATTCCAGCACTTTGGAAGGCTAAGGTGGAAAGATTGCTTGAGACCAGGAGTTCAAAATCAGCCTGGGCAACATAGTAAGACCCCATTTCTACAAAGCCTCATGTGGTAGCTGGTGTCTGTAGTCCTAGCTACTCAGAAGGCTAAGGTGGGAGGACCTCTGAGCCCAGGAATTCAAGGCTGCAGTGAGCTATGATTTCACCACTGCACTTCAGGCTGAGTGACAGAGTGAGACCCCATCTCAAAAACAAAACAAAACAAAAAATGTTAATAGTAGCATCTAGGTGGTAAGAATATGTTCACTGTACAATTATTCTCATTTCACCCTATGTTTGCACTTTTTAATAATAAAATGTAAAAAAAACAAAACAAACAAACAAAAAACCCTGAATATTATTCAGCATGGGGAACATGGAGGATGGGGAGAAGGGTGGGGGAGGAAGTAGAAGGTTCTTGAATTTGGAAGGGGAAACGCAAATTAATATGGACCCACCCAGGCACCACATCTCCTCCTCACCCCTTGCCTTACAGGCGCTCCCCAGTCTTCACCCTCCTCAAGGAGTGGGTGTGCAATCCTCCAGCACCCATCTCCTTCTCCATCACAGTGCCACTAAGAAGCCTTCACCCAGGTCTCTCCAGAGAGCCTCAGGCCGCTGCCTTTACTTAGTTCTGTGTTCAATGCCAGAATGCTGCCTCCTACAGGAAGTCCACCTGTATTGCCCACACCTCCTTTCCTGTCACCAACTTGTCACCAACTTTCTGTCCTTGATCTATCCACAGGGCTCATGTAGATCTAGTATGGCTGCCTTTAACTCTCATGTTTGTTAATCAGACAGCCAAGCAGCCTGCTGCATAGAGCTGCAGAACACCAAGTGGGTCACCAGAACACCAAATATGCCAGAGCTCCCAGTCTGAACTGGAGCAGGGTACATGTGTCCACAGACATATGCCAAGATCAAGAGGTCTCAACAGATGCAGTGTAAGAGGTAATAGAGAAGAGTTAATCAAGGAAGACACCTGAAGGTGGTGGGTGTTTGCTGACTAGTGGCAGGATCAGTGAAATGACTGGAGCTGAGGCAGATTATGGCCCTAGCTACAGGCCCAGAAGTTTGAAAAGAAAGATGTTGTAACCCTAACCCTGGAGCCGAACTTCCTCTCCTAACAATGCTGGGGAGGAACCCAGGCTGGGGGAGAAGTTAAAGCCAGAGGAGGGGCAGGAATGTCTGAGGTGGCAACACTTCTCTTCAGCCAGACAGCACTGGCCAGTTTGGAGTCTGTCCATCCTGCAGGCCACAAGCTCTGGGTAAGCTGGGAATGGGCAGGGACCTTGGTGGAAGGATGGTCACACCCCAGAGTGGGGTGAAGCTAAGATGAGGGGAGGGAGAGTATGGGTTTGAGTTTCCCTGGGCCGTCGAGGAATCCTCTGAGTCTCTGCTCCCCAAAGAAATTAAAGACAATTCATTTCTGTGCCCACGGCCCTTATGGCCTCCACCTGCACTTCTGCTCCCCACCCCCCAGAATTCCTCTTAAACCCAGAAGGGTCCCAGTTTCCAGACCCTAGTCAGTATATCTGGCTCTGGGGTGAAGAGAACGGCCCCCTCTTCACCCTCAAACAGGAACCAGTGGTTGGAGGGGAGGAAGTGCCTGAGGGGAAGTTATGGGGCCCCAGATACTCCTCCATGCCCCACTTCAGCCCTAGCAGCATCTGCCTGTGGGAAGCAGCTCTCCACACCAGCCAAGGGGGCCCCCACACTCCCGCGCTGCTCTGCGGCTCAGGGAGCAGCCCACCTGCTGGGTGTGCTGATATCACCCTCCCTTCTTCCCCCCAGTGCCCACACCCACCCAGGCCCAGGCTCCTTCCCCTCCATCATCCCCTTACCAGCACCTAGAACCATCCAGGGCTGAAAAGTCCCCTCCAAACCACGTGGTCAGCCCAGGGCAGAGGAAAGGGCTGGGCTCTGGAGTTGGGCAGAGCTGGCCTTAAACCCCAGCTCCACCTTTCTGGGATGGGTGACCTAGTAAAGTCCAGGCTTGAATCTCGGGTCTTTACTTGGGCAACGGGCACCATGATACCCTATGTTCTGGGGATTAGCAGTGAGGAATGGAAAGTGCCCAGCTCAGGGTTGGCACATAAGGGAGGCTCCCCAGCCTGGGAACGATTATAACAGAGGGCCCCTCACTTCACAGATGAGGAACTTGAGGCAAGTCACCAGCCCCTGATCATTTCGCCTAAAAGAGCAAGGACTAGAGTTCCTGACCTCCAGGCCAGTCCCTGATCCCTGACCTAATGTTATCGCGGAATGATGGTAAGTAAAGTGTCTCTTGCATCTGCATAGAGAGAGTCCTGGGAGCTTAGGAAGTGATGGGGAACAGTGATGTATGCAGCTCATGACTAGGTGGACAGGCCTCTGGGGACAGCTGGTACAGGAGGGAAAGGGACCTCACGGGAGGCCCAGAAACCTGGTAAGAGGTGAGGTATTAAGGTCTGGGATGGAGAAGCTCTGAGGGTATATTTTTCTGCCTCTAAAACTGTTGGAGAGGGAATCTGAGAAAGCTGCAACCAACCAGGAGGCTGGGGTACGCTGGAGAAGGAATGGGCTTCCTAACCTTGAGCCCTCTTCCCTGAAGATATATGTATCTACGGGGGCCTGGGGCTGGGCGGGCTCCTGCTTCTGGCAGTGGTCCTTCTGTCCGCCTGCCTGTGTTGGCTGCATCGAAGAGGTGAGCGCTGCACTCCCTCCCTCCCCCTGCAGCAGTGCCCCCTGTGCCCCCACCCCCACACGCTTTCCCACTGCTTTCCCAGAACACTGCCTGGCCCTGGAGCCACTGGGAAGCCAACAGGGGAGTCCACGCCTGCTGGTGGGGGGAGCCCGGGAGGGCCCGGGAGAAGCACAAAGGGTGGGCTGTGTTGAGCTTCTTCTTTTCTTCCAGTAAAGAGGCTGGAGAGGAGCTGGGTGAGTCTGGGGACAGGGAAGGGGGAGGGCAAGAGAGATCCTGAGTGGGTGAGTGGGGAGAAGCATGGCTGAGCGCTGAGAGGAGGGTTGGGGACGGGAGACAAGGAGAGAGAAAGTAGGAGCATGAGAGAGGCAGAGAAAATCGAGGCAAAAGAGAAAGAGAAAATGAGACAGAAACCAAGAGAAAAAGTGAGACAGAGGATAGGAGAGACAGGGAGAAAATGAGAGTGAGAGAGACACAAAGAGAAGAGCAATGAAAGAGAGAGAGAGAGAGAGGCTCCAGAACCAGGCACAGTGGCTCACGTCTGTCATTCCAGCTATCGCAAGGCTGAGGCAGGAAGATAGCTTGAGCTCAGGGGTTGAAGACAATCCTGGACAACATAGTGGGACTCTGTCTCCAAAGAAAAAAGAGAGAGAGAGAGAGAGAGAGAGAGAGGGAGAGAGAGAGAGAGAGAGGGAGAGAAGTAAGAAAGGCTGGAGGTGGGAGCAGAACTCACAGGGAAGGATCTGACGGCATCGCCTCCCATCAGCACCTTCTGTCCTGGTCCCAGGCCCAGGGCTCCTCAGAGCAGGAACTCCACTATGCATCTCTGCAGAGGCTGCCAGTGCCCAGCAGTGAGGGACCTGACCTCAGGGGCAGAGACAAGAGAGGCACCAAGGAGGATCCAAGAGCTGACTATGCCTGCATTGCTGAGAACAAACCCACCTGAGCACCCCAGACACCTTCCTCAACCCAGGCGGGTGGACAGGGTCCCCCTGTGGTCCAGCCAGTAAAAACCATGGTCCCCCCACTTCTGTGTCTCAGTCCTCTCAGTCCATCTCGAGCCTCCGTTCAAATTGATCATCATCAAAACTTATGTGGCTTTTTGACCTTTGAATAGGGAATTTTTTAAATTTTTTAAAAATTAAAATAAAAAAAACACATGGCTCACCCTTCCACCCACTCTGGGGTCAAATAGTAATTTATTGGGTGAATGACAGTGTTCAGGGACCCAAGCTCCCCTAACAGCCAGAAGAGGGTATGTGTGGGCCTGGCAGGAAAGGGCAGTTGCCAAGGAGGAGTCATATCTGATCCTTCCCATTTCTCAGGACAATCAGGCTCAGCCTCCTGGGACTGGGGGAAGCAGATGTGCTGAGCTCCCACATGGTGGTGGGAGGGGCGCTGGGACCACAGCCGGCAGCTGCCTTCTTGGACCTTTCCAGGTCAGACCTGGTGGAAGGGAAAGTTCAGAGTTGGGGGAATCCGGAGAGAGTAGATTTGGCATCTGGAGAATGGAGAAGAAAACACTTGAGACTCATGAGGAGTTAGTGGTGGGGCAGATTTATTGGGGTCTTTTGAAGAGGACTAGGGACATCTGGGCTCTGGAATCACTCCTCGGGGCCCATCTGAGGAGTGGCAGTGTGTTCCCATGTGACAGTGGCCTGGTCAGAGAGAGGACAGGAGCTGCTCAGTGTTGCAGTCCCGAGGCTCTCCTCTTCCTGGTCTCTGTCCTCCCTCCTCCCACTCTCTTACTGCCCCTCCCATCCCGTCCACTATTGCCCCTGGCTCCATTACTCACATTTGCCCTGGTAATAGACGGTGCTGCCCACGGCCACAGAGAGAAAGCTGACAGCATAGAATCCAGCCCGAAGGAGGAGGACTGTACCAGCCCCTAGCTGAGGATGTTCTGCATGGGGCAATGGAGACGGGGGTTGGGGAAGAAGTGCACACAGGCTCAGGGAGGGAAGGGGCCTCAGAGGAGCATCCCTGCCTCCCAAGGACATTGCCTCTTGGGGCCTCCAGCCAGGAGGAGACACCACCTCCCAGCATCTCACCTTTCTCCACCACCAGCCGAGTCCCATTCCCTGTCCCGACACCAAGGCCCAGCACCTCCACTCTGCACACGTAGATGCTGGCGTCATGGCCTCGCACGTCCCGGATGTGCAGCTCAGCCTGGTGGTCATGGAGGAAACGGGAAGAAGCAAGTGGGGCCAGGCGGCCCCTGAACTCTGGGGTTCCATTCCTCACCTCCTTCCCTGGAACCACCTCATCTCGGAACCACGTGACGGAGCCAATGGCCAGTCTCCCTTGGCTGGCATTGAAGGAGCAGGGCAGGAAGGCAGAGGATCCTTCCAGGGTACGAATCTCAGGGGGCTGGGACACCCAGAGAGCACAGGATCCTGGGGGCAGAAGGAAGACCCAGAGAAACACCTCCCCAGTTATTCCAAAGAGAAAAGACAACAGAGCTTGGAGTAGAACATCCCAGCTTTCTCCAGGCATAGGGTGCATGGGAATAGATACTTTGGGTGCCTCATTAAACCCTTCCCTCTTAACCAATCTGATTTCTTAACATTGCTTATTAAATCATTTTTCGGCTGGGTGCAGTGGCTCACGCCTGTAATCCCAGCACTTTGGGAGGCCGAGGTGGGCGGATCACCAGGTCAGGAGATCGAGACCATCCTGGCCAACATGGTGAAACCCCGTCTCTACTAAAAAAATACAAAAATTAGCCGGGCATGGTGGTGTGCACCTGTAATCCCAGCTACTCGGGAGGCTGAGGCAGGAGAATCGCTTGAACCCGGGAGGCAGAGGTTGCAGTGAGCCAAGATTGCGCCATTGCACTCCAGCCTGGGCGACAAAGCAAGACTCCATCTCAAAAAATAAAAAATAAAAATCATTTTTCAAATTCTTCCTATACCAACTCTCACTCTCACCCTCTGCCATCATTCTCCAGCCAGTTCAGTAGTAACTTGTCTAGCTGAAATGTAAACCATCATGGTGAAATTAAGCTCATTAATGAATGCAGCTGCCTAGTTAACTAATATCACTCATTATATTATCCAGGTATTATTTTAGTACAAATGGCATTGTACAGTAAGCCATCCTTCCTCTTTTTCTTTTTTCTTTTTTTGAGATGGGGTCTTGCTCTGTTGCCCAGGCTGGAATGCAGTGGTGCAATCTTGGCTCACTGCAAACTCCGTCCCCTGGGTTCAAGCGATCCTGGTGCCTCAGCCTCCCAAGTAGCTGGGACTACAGGCACCCACCACCACGACTGGCTAATTTTTGTATTTTCAGTCGAGACAGGGTTTCACCATCTGGTCTCAAACTCCTGACCTCAAGTGATCCACCCACCTCGGACCAGGCTGGTCTCAAACTCCTGATCTCAAGTGATCCACCTGCCTCGGCCTCCCAAAGTGCACCCAGCCACTCTTGGTTTTCGTTAAAGAAAGTAACTAATTAAATCTCCAGGTGAAGACGTGGCCTTAATTGGTTGAGATTCCTATTTAACCCGTCCATGTTGATGAATTAAACCAAATATTAAAATCCCTGATTAAATTATCTACTTAGGGAAATTTACAAGTCATTCTATTTCAGTGGTTCTCAAACTTGAGTGTGTATGGAAATTACCTGGAGCATCTGCTAGAACAGATTCCTGGGCCTACCCCCCGAGTTTTTGACTCAGTAGGTCTGGAGTGGGGCCTAAGAATTTGTTCTAGGTTCCCAGAAATCCACATTTTGAGAACTCCTGCATTTAGTTAATAATATGCCTGATAGTTAAGGTCTCTCAGTTCATTAAAAACAGTTTCGGCCGGGTGCAGTGGCTCACGCCTATAATCCCAACACTTTGGAAGGCCAAGGCGAGTGGATCACCTGAGGTCAGGAGTTTGAGACCAGCCTGGCCAACATGGTGAAACCTCGTCTCTACTAAAAATACACAAGTTAGCCAGCAGTAATGGCATGCACCTGTAATCCTAGCTACTTGGGAGGCTGAGACAGGAGAATCATTTTTACCCAGGAGGTGGAGGCTGCAGTGAGCTGAGATACCGCCACTGTACTCTAGACTGGACAACAGAATGAAACTGTCTCAAAAAAAAAGTTTCACCACCAGGCGGGCGCAGTGGCTCATGCCTATAATTCCAGTAATTTGGGAGACCGAGGCAGGCAGATCACTTGAGATCAGGAGTTTGAGACCAACCTGGCCAACATAGCAAAACCCCATCTCTACTAAAAATACAAAAATGGCTGGGCGCAGTGGCTCAGGCCTGTAATCCCCGCACTTTAGGAGGCCGAGGCAGGCAGATCACCTGAGGTCAGGAGTTCAAGACCAGCCCGGCCAACATGGTAAAACCCTGTCTCTACTAAAAATACAAAAATTAGTTGGGTGTGGTGGTGCGCGCTTGTAATCCCAGCTACCTAGGAGGCTGAGGCAGGAGAATTGCTTGAATCTAGGAGGCAGAGGTTGCAGTGAGCCAAGATCATGCCACTGCACTCCAGCCTAGGTGACAGAGCAAGACTCCGTCTCAAAAAAAAAAAAAATTAGCCAGGTGTGGTCGTGCGTGCGTGTAGTCCCAGCTACTCAGGAGGCTGAGGCAGGAGAATCACCTGAACATGGGAGGCAGAGGTTGCAGTGAGCCAAAATCGCACCACGGCACTCCAGCCAGGCGACAGAGCGAGACTCAGTCTCAAAAAAAAAAAAAAAAAAGTTTCACCAAGAAATTTATCATAGATTTACTTGGATCTCTCAAACTAAAAAGCCTCACAGTGGGTGACACAGAGAGACTGTGAATTGGGGGAGTCCACTGAGTGTCACCTTTGGAGCAGTCCCACTCCTCCCTCAGAGCCGTGTGTTTCAGCCCCCACCAAGCCCGTTCCCTATAGCATCTAGTCCAGCCTCCTGGATCTCCCTCCTCCCACCCACACTCCTTGGGGTCCTGAGCGCACGCCCTGTCACCTGGATGGACCATGATCAAGATGAGCAACAGCATCCAGGCCATGTCGGAAGATGTCCCAGTTGGCGAAGGGGATCTGAGCAGTGAGGTCTGGGTGGAGGAGGAAGGACTCACTACTTGTAGCCAGGCCTTTGGTCACCAGATGGGGATGGGGAGCTTCCTATGACACACGGGACTCACACATCACTTGCCAAGGACCACAACTGCCAGGGACCTCGAGCATCAAATGCTTGCCTCCCTGAGGAGAGAGGACAGATGCTGCTGGAGGAGATGTCAGGGTCTCTAGGAGGCCAAGGGGCCAGCTTGTGGCAGGCTAGCTAAGCGTGTGAGGGGGAGGGTGGGGCTTAGATGGCTGCTAACCCAAGGGTGAGTGGGCGGTTGGGCGGGTGAGACCAGGATGTGGGTTCCCCCACCTTCCGAGGTTCAAGGAGACCAGCTTTTACCCAGAACAAGCCTCCAGGAGCCCTCCTTGGCCCAGAAGCTAACCTACTTACCCTCCCTGCTGCTCACCAGTACCCAGACCCATCCCACCCATTCCCTTCCTGGAATCTGGCCTCACTGCACCCCAGGGCTACTCCAAGATTTCTATGAGGGATTAGGAGAAGCAAGCTGATTGGTGAAGCTATATTTAATTTGCATAGCAATCACCTTGTGTGTGTGTGTGTGTGTGTGTGTGTGTGTGTGTGTGTGTGTGTGTGTGTGTTTGGTTGGGTTTTTTTGTTTTTTGTTTTTTTTTTGAGCTGGAGTCTCACTCTGTTGCCCAGGCTGGAATGCAGTGGCACAATCTCGGCTCACTGCAACCTCTGCCTCCTGGGTTCAAGCAATTCTCTTGCCTCAGCCTCCCAAGTAGCTGGGATTACAGGCGCACATCACCAAGCCCAGCTAAATTTTGTATTTTTTGTAGAGACAGGGTTTTACCATGTTGGCCAGGCTGGTCTCCAACTCCTGATCTCAAGTGATCCACCAGCCTCGCCCTCCCAAAGTGCTGGGATTCCTGTTTTGGTTTTTTGAGACAGGGTCTGGCTCTGTCTCACCCAGGCTGGAGTTCAGTGGCGCCATCACGGCTCACTGCAGCCTCAACCTCCAGGGCTCAGTTGATCCTCCCACTTCAGTCTCCTGAGTAGCTGGGACTGCAGGCGCACACCACCACACCAGGCTAATTTTTGTATTTTTTGTAGAGATGGGGTCTCCCTGTGTTGCCCAGGCCGGTATCCAACTCCTGGGCTCAAACAATCCATCCACTTAGGCCTCCCAAAGTGCATGAGTCACCATGCCTGGCGAAATGTATTTCTTAAATAATGAGACTTGAAAGTCTAAATTACTCCTTAAACCATGGACTACAGGATGGATGTTATGTTAGCAGGCAGGAAAACAACATTCAGCTGGGCGTGGTGGCTCATGCCTGTAATCCCAGCACTTTGGGAGGCTGAGGTGGGAGGATCACCTGAGGTCAGGAGTCCGAGACCAGTCTGATCAACATAGAGAAACCCCGTCTCTACTAAAAATACAAAATTAGCCGGGTGTGGTGGGGCGCACCTGTAATCCCAGCTACTCGGGAGGCTGAGGCAGGAGAATCACTTGAACCCAGGAGGCGGAAGTTGCAGTGAGCTGATATCGCACCATTGCACTCCAGCCTGGGCAACAAGAGCGAAACTCCGTCTCAAAAAAAAAAAAAAAGAAAAAGAAAACAACATTCGTCTCTTTGGACATCTCCATCAGAGCTCTTGGATAACTATGTACATTGTCAATGAGCAGTAATCATTTTAAAGAAATCTTGTTTTTCGGAGCAGTAGACCTCAACAGTAGGCTTAAAATATTCAGTAAACCAGCGGGGCATAGTGGCTTACACTTGTAATCCCAGCACTTTGGGAGGCCAAGGTGAGAGGACGGCTTGAGGCCAGGGGTTTGAGACCAGCCTGGGCAACATGGCAAGACCCTGTCTCTACAAAAAAATTTAAACTTAGCTGGACATAGTGGCACACACCTATAGTACCAGCTACTCAGGAAGTTGAGGAAGGAGGATTCCTTGAGCCCAGGAGTTTCAAGGATGCAGTGAGCTATGATTTTGCCACTGCATTTCAGCCTGAGCAATGGAGGGAGACCTTGTCTCTAAATAAAATACAATTTAAATTGGGAATAGTAGTAAATGGAGTTTAAAAAAAAATAATTTTGGCTAGGTATGGTGGGTCACACCTGTAATCCCAGTACTTTGGGAAGCCCAGGAGGGCAGATCACTTGAGTTAAAGAGTTGGAGGCCAGGCCAGGCATGGTGGCTCATGCCTGTAATCCCAGCACTTTGGGAGGCTGAGGCGGGCGGATCACGAGTTCAGGAGATCGAGACCATCCTGGCTAACACGGTGAAACCCCATCTCTACTAAAAATACAAAAAATTAGCTGGGTGTGGTGGCATCTGCCTGTAGTCCCAGCTACTCAGGAGGCTGAGGCAGGAGAATCACTTGAACCTTGGAGGCAGAGGTTGCAGTTAGCCGAGATTGCGCCACTGCACTCCAGCCTGGGTGACAGAGCAAGACTTTGTCTCAAAAAAAAAAAAAAAAAAAAAAGAGTTGGAGATCAGCCTGGACAACCTGACGAAACCCTATCTCTACAAAAAATACAAAAATTAGCTGAGCATAGTGGCTCATGTCTGTGGTCCCAACTACTCAGGAGGCTGAGGTAGGAGGATCATTTGACTCTGGAAGGCAGAGGTTTCAATGAGTTGAGATCATGCTGCTGTACTACAGCCTGGGCAACATATTGAGACCGTGTCTCAAAAAAAAACAAACAAACAAAAAAAAGAAAAATTTTAAAATCAGTAAACCACGTTGTAAACAGATGTACTATCATCTAGGCTTTTATTTATTTATTTATTTATTTATATATTTTTTTGAGATGGAGTCTTGCTCTGTCACCCAGGCTGGAGTGCAGTGGTGCAATTTTAGCTCACTGCAACCTCCGCCCTCTGGGTTCAAGTGATTTTCCTGCCTCAGCCTCCCTAGTATCTGGGATTACAGGTGACTGCCACCACACCCGGCTAATTTTTGTATTTTTAGTAGAGACAGGGTTTGACCATCTTGGCCAGGCTGGTCTTGAACTCCTGACCTCAGGTGATCCGCCCACCTCAGCTTCCCAAAGTGCTGGGATTATAGGCATGAGCCACCACATCCAGCCATCTAGGCTTTATTGTTCCATTTACACAGCGTGGCAGAGTAAATTTAGCTAATTCTTGCCAAGTGCAGTGGTATGTGCCTATGTCTCTGCTACTCAGAAGGCTGAGGTGGAAGGATCACTTGAGGACAGAAGTTCAAGACTGCAGTATGCTACGATTTTGCTTGTGAAAGCCATGGCTCCATGGCACTCCAGCCTGGGCAACAGAGCAAGACCTTCTCTCTCTCTCTCTCTTTTTGAGACAAGGTCTCACTCTGTTGCCTAGGCTAGAGTGCAGTGGCACAATCACGGCTCACTGCAGCTTCAACCTCATGGGCTCACACCATCTTCCCACCTCAGCCTCCTGAGTAGCTGCCACACACCACCATGCCTAGATAATTTTTGTATTTTTTGTAGAGACAGGGTCTTACCATGTTGTCCAGGCTGGTCTCAAACTCCTGGGCTCAAGTGATTTGCCCACTCGACCTCTCAAAGTACTGGGATTACAAGCATGAGCCACTGCGCTTGGCCAACCTCAGCTCTACAAAAAAGAAAAAAAAAGTCCAGGCACAGTGGCTGACTCCTGTCATCCCAGCACTTTGGGAGGCCAAGGAGGGCAGATCACTTGAGGTCGTTAGTTCAAGACCAACCTGACCAACATGGAGAAACCCCGTCTCTACTAAAAATACAAAATTAGTCGGGCGTGGTGGCGCATGCCGGTAATCCCAGCTACTCGGGAGGCGGAGGCAGGAGAATCACTGGGAGACGGAGGTAGTGGTGAACTGGGATCGTGCCATTGTACTCCAGCTTGGGCAACAAGAACAAAACTCTGCCTAAATAAATAAATAGATAAAATTAGCCAGGTGTGCTGGTGTGTTCCAGTAGTCTTAGCTACTTGGGAGGCTGAAGCAGGAGAATCACTTGAGCCCAGGATTTCGAGGCTGCAGTGAGCTATGATCTTGCCACTGCACTCCAGCCTGAATGACAGGGTGAGACCCTGTCTCAAAAAAAAAAAATCACTACTGACAGATCATAACAGATAAAATAATCAAGAAAAAGTTTGAAATATTGCAAGAATTACCAAAATGTGCCACTGAGACACAAAGTGAGCACAGGCTATTGGAAAAGTGGCACCTACAGACTTGCTCAACACAGGGTTGCCACAAACTTCAATATATAAAAAAATGCACATCTGTGGAACACAATAAAACAAGGTAATACCTCTACAGGGATTGGTACAAGAGTATGCCAGACACTCTTGTATGTGTATCACACAGCTACAGGAGATAATACAGCACATAGAAGTGAAGGATGACATGTAATATGCCATGTGTCCACCCCTTACCGCATGCCCCCTTCTGGCTCCTTTTACTATTACATTTTTTAGAGACAAGGGTCTCACTCTATCACTCAAGCAGGAATACAGTGGTGTGATCATTGCTCACTGCAGCCTCGATCTCCTGGACTCAAGCAATCCTCCTGCCTCAGCCTCCCAAGTAGCTTGGAATACTGGTATGTGCCATCACACCTGACTTTTTACTTTTATTTATTTTTGAAAGACAGCATCTTGCTATGTTGTCCAGGTCTCAAACTCCTGGTCTGGCTCCTTTTATTTATTTTATTTATTTATTTATTTTGAGATGGAGTCTTGTTCTTGTTGCCCAGGCTGGAGTGCAATGGCTCAATCTCAGCTCACTGCAACCTCTGCCTCCCGGGTTCAAGCGATTCTCCTGCCTCCGCCTCCCGAGTAGCTGGGAGTACAGACGTGCGCCACCACACCCAGCTAATTTTTGTATTTTTAGTAGAGACTGAGTTTCACCATGTTGGCCAGGCTGGTCTCAAACTCCTGACCTTGTGATCCGCCCGCCTTGGCCTCCCAAAGTGCTGGGATTACAGGCGTGAGCCACCGCGCCCAGCCTGGCTCATTTTATATGAATACATGTTGTTGTTGTTGCTGTTGTTGTTGTGAGACAGTCTCGTTCAGTCGCCCAGGCTGGAGTGCAGTGGCACAATCTTGGCTCATTGCAACCTCTGCTTCCCAGGCTCAAGCGATTCACGTGCCTCAGCCTCCCGAGTATCTGGGTTCACAGGCGTGTGCCACCACACTCGGCTAATTTTTGTGTTTTTAGTACTGACGGAGTTTTGCCATGTTGGCCAGGCTGGTCTTAAACACCTGGCCTTAAGTGATCCACCCGCCTTGGCCTCCCAAAGTGCTGGGATTACAGGTGTGAGCCACCACACCTGACCTAATATATGTTTTTTCCTTTGTATCTGTGTTTCTAGCTCTGTGTCACAGTACTTTTGTAGACTGTCCAGTTCCCACCCATCACTGAAGTAATTCAGAGCTTTCTTTTGGAGAAGCAGTCATCTCATGGTTAAGAATGCTGGTTTGGAATGAGTCTAGGTTCAAATGTCAGCTCCCCCGCAATCCCCACAATTATGTTATACAACCTTTTTTTTTTTGAGACAGGGTCTCACTCTGTCAACCATTCTGGAGTGCAGCGGTGTGATCATATGATCATAGCTCCCCGTGGCCTTGAACTTTGAACTCCTGAGCTCAAGTGACCCTCCCACGTCAGCCTCCAGAGTATTTGGGACTACAGACACACATCATCACGTTTGGCTCACTTATTTTTATTTTTTGTACAGACAGAGTCTCACCGTGTTGCCCAGGCTGATCTAAAACTCCTGGCCTAAAGCAATCCTCCCACTTCGGCCTCCCAAAGTGCTGGGATTACAGGTGTGAGCCACTGTGCCCAGTCTAATCTTGAACAAATTATTTTACCTCCCTAAGCTACCGGAACAACCACACATGCCACACAACCTGGGAAGGACCAACTCAGCCATTCTCCAGCAGCGAAGTGGCTGCCACCCCAGGGATATCTAACTAGAGGATGTGGGATGGAGGCGTCATGGCAAGGCAAGGCCTGCCCCCTGGTGGTCAGAGAGCATGGGAGGCCCGAGCTACCAATGGTGGCTTTTCTCAACTGGGCCTTGATTCCAGCTTCTGCCCGATCCCCTACCTTGCTTGCCTCCTTCTATCAACACCCCATTCACACCCCAAAGGATCAATATAGGAAAAATTGTCTCTACTATCTCAGCTGTAAGAAGCCCACGGTTTGGGGAGGGAGAAGAGGTCACCACCAGTGGGGACGTGGAATAAGTAACTGGCTGGGGATAAAACTCCACTCTTCCGGCCGGGAGCAGTGGCCCACGCCTGTAATCCCAGCACTTTGGGTGGCCGAGGTGGGCAGATCACCTGAGGTCGGGAGTTCGAGACCAGTCTGGCCAACATGGTGAATCCCCATCTCTACTAAAAATACAAAACTTAGCCAGACGTGGTGGTGCGTGCCTGTAATCCCAGCTACTTGGGTGGCTGAGGCACGAGAATCACTTGAATCCAGGAGGCGGAGGTTGCAGTGAGCCAACATTGTGCCACTGCACTCCAGCCTGGGCAACGAGCAAAACTCCGTCTCAAAAAAAAAAAAAAACAAACTCCACTCTTCCACAGTGTACACTCAATCACATGGTTCTACTCCACGTCCCAAGGCAATGTGGCTTAGAAGACAAATCAGCCTAGGTTGGAGTCCTGGTGCCACTACTGTAAACTGGGGGTACCACCTGTAAACTTCCAGACCCCATTGCCCTAGGTGTTCAATGTGTGGTTCTTCTCCAGTGCTTCCCCCGTCCTGTGCAAGGGTGGCAGTGCCATTGCTACACCTGGACTCAAGGGCATCCTGCTCTCCCAGCTCTTTTCTATATCTAAGACTTCTAAACATTTGTCATAGCTAAAAATGTTCCAGATTCCAAAGACAGTATGTGGGGTTTTTTTTTCAGTCCATCTAGAATAAATCCTGATATGTGTGTACATTCAAGGGACCCCTTTTAATAACTCTGAGAACCTCTAGGGAAGGCTAACCTGCAAGACAGGAACTGCTGCGCTAATCAGCACAGTGGGCACAAGAATGGAACTTTTTTTTTCTTTTTTTTTTCTTGAGACAGAGTCTTGTTCTGTTACCCAGGCTAGAGTGCAGTGGTGCGATCTCGGCTCACTGCAACCTCCGCCTCCCGGGTTCAAGAGATTCTCCTGCCTCAGCCTCCTGAGTAGCCAGGATTACAGGCACCCACTACCATGCCCAGCTAATTTTCATATTTTTAGTAGAGACGGGGTTTCACTATCTTGGCCAGGCTGGTCTTGAACTCCTGACCTCGTGATCCACCCACGTCGGCCTCCCAAAGTGCTGGGATTACAGGCGTGAGCCACTGCATCCATCCTGGCCAAGGATGGAACTTTTCTAAAGAAATTATTCCCAGGCACTCAAGAGGAAAGGCAACAAATAAAACAGTGTTGAAGTGGATGTGCACTGGTCTCTGTTTTTGTGTGTGTTTTTTTTGTTTTTTTTTTTTTGAGAGGGAGTCTCGCTCTGTCGCCCAGGCTGGAGTGCAGTGGTGTGATTTCCGCTCACTGCAACCTCTGCCTCCCGGGTTCAAGCGATTCTCCTGCCTCAGCCTCCCAAGTAGCTGGGACTACAGCGCCTGTCACCATGCCTGGCTAACTTTTTTGTATTTTTACTAGAGACAGGGTTTCACCATGTTGGCCAGGCTGGTTTTGAACTCCTGACCTCAAGTGATCCACCTGCTTCAGCCTCCCAAAGTGCTAGGATTACAGGCGTGAGCCGCCGCACCCAGTCTCTGGTCTGACTTCTTTAACAACAAGCTGTGGGCTGGCTGGATGTAGTTGAGGCCAATAAACTCCCAACTCAGACCATGAAAACAGGTGAAAACACAAAAGTCCACAATCCAGCACAGGTGATCTCATCTTTCCCCCACCCCCACCAGGGTTCCTCTACGTGCTGGCAGGGGTGAGATTGGGTGACTTCTCTGGCCAAGTCTTATCAATATTTTTCAACTAATGAATGGCTCCCAGGTGATGATACTTTCAGCTTCTGAGAACAGCTTCTCCTCTGAGGCTCATAGCATCTGACCTCACGACCTTCAATCTCTCCTTGGTGTCGTCCACTCGCCCTCACATTCATCAAGAGCCCATCCCTGACTCTGCAGCCTCTTCTCTATTTATTTTTTCTTTCTTTTTTCTTTTTTCTTTTTTTTTTTTTTTGAGACAGAGTTTTGCTGTTGTTGCTGGAGTGCAATGGCGTGATCTTGGTTCACCGCAACCTCTGCCTCCCAGGTTCAAGCGATTCTCCTGCCCCAGCCTCCAGAGTAGCTGGGATTACAGGCACCTGCCACCATGCCAGGCTAATTTTTGTATTTTTAGTAGAGAAAAGGTTTCACCATGTTAGCCAGGCTGGTCTCGAACTCCAGACCTTGTGATCCGCCCACCTCGGCCTCCCAAAGTGCTGGGATTATAGGCGTGAGCCACCATGCCCAGCCCACTTCCTCTCTATTTCAACCTCTGCCAACTCCTTAATGGACTTAATGTCCATATGAATGACTTTTTTTTTTTTTTTTTTTGAGAGAGAGTCTTGCTCTGTCACCCAGGCTGGAGTGCAGTGGCGTGATCTCGGCTCCCTGCAAGCTCCACCTCCTGGGTTCACGCCATTCTCCTGCCTCAGCCTCCCTAGTAGCTGGGACTACAGGCACCAGCCACCATACCTGGCTAATTTTTTTGTATTTTTTAGTAGAGACAGGGTTTCACCATGTTAGCCAGGATGGTCTCAATCTCCTGACCTCGTGATCCACCTGCCTCGGCCTCCCAAAGTGCTGGGATTACAGGCGTGAGCCACCGTGCCCAGCCATAAATGACATTTTTAAACATTGATATATAATTTCATACAGTAAAATGCACAGATCTTAATGTACAGTTTGATGACCTTTGGCCAATATGTACACCCATGCAACCACACTGTAATAGAGATATAGATAATTCTCATTATCCTGGAAAATTCCTCCATGCCCCTTTTTGGTAAATCCCTTTCCCCTCCTAGATGCAACCATTTTACCATTTTTAACCTCTGTAGACTTTTTTCTTGGGACAGAGTCTTGCTCTGTTACCCAGGTTGGAATGCAGTAGTGCAATTATAGTTCACTGCTGCCTTGACCTCCTGGGCTCAAGCCATCCTCCCACCTCAGTCTCCTGAGTAGCTACGACTACAGGCATATGCCACCGCACCCAGCTAATTTTTTAACAGTTTTTTTGTAGGCTGGGTGCAGTGGTTTAGGCCTATAATCCTAGCACTTTGGGAGGCCGAGGCAGGGGGATCACAAGGTCAGGAGCTCAAGACCATGCTGGCTAACACAGTGAAACCCCGTCTCTACTAAAAATACAAAAAAAAAAAAAAAAATCAGCCGGGCGTGGTGGCACATGCCTATAGTCCCAGCTACTCGGGAGGCTGAGGCAGGAGAATTGCTTGAACCTGGGAGGCAGAGGTTGCAGTGAGCCGAGATCGCGTCATTGCACTCCAGCCCGGGTGACAGAGCAAGACTCTGTCTCAAAAAAAAAAAAAAAATTTTTTTTTGTAGAGACGAGGTCCTTCTATGTTGCCCAGACTGGATTCTAACTCCTGGGCTCAAGTGATCCTCCTGCCTTGACCTCTCTAAGTGTTGGGATTACAGGCCTGAGCCACTGCGCTCGGCCTCTATAGATTAGTCTGTTCTTGAACATCATATTAATGGAGTCATATAGTACATACTCTTGTATCTGGCTCCTTTCATTCTGCTTAATGTCTGTGAGATTCGCCCACGCTGTTGTATGTATCAGTGTTTCATTCCTTTTTTTTGCTGAGTGGTAATCCTTTATATGATGTAGCACAGCTTGTTGATCTATTCACCTGATGAAGTACAATTGGGTTGTTTCTATTTTTTGTTTTTCTTATTATGGCTCAATCTGCTATGAAACTTCTTGTACCCATCTCGCAAATGCCTTTTCAATACCCTAAGTGTGCAACTTCACAGTTATTTCACCTTGTCCACTCCAATCATCACCTTGACTCTCCATGACCTACATCTCAGATCCTGTCACCATGGAAGCTGTTTCACTTTGAAATCTCACCTCCTCTTTCCCAAGGACATAAAAGCCATCCAACCTGAGTCCCCCAGACTCCTGTACCCTAAACGTGTGCTTTTATACCACTGTCCTGTTGGAAAATTTTTGGGTTGTTTCTCCCACTTTTTTTTTTTTTTTTTTTTGAGACAGAATTTTGCTCTTGTTGCCCAGGCTGGAGTGCAATGGTGCGATCTCGGCTCACTGCAACCTCCGCCTCCTGCGTTCAAGTGATTCTTCTGCCTTAGCCTCCCAAGTAGCTGGGATTACAGGCATGTGCCACCACACCCAGCTAATTTTGTATTTTTGGTAGAGATGGGGTTTCACCATGTCGGTCAGGCTGGTCTCGAACTCCTGACCTCAAGTGATCCGCCTGCCTCGGCCTCCCAAAGTGCTGGGATTATAGGCATGAGCTAGCACCCCTGGCCCCACTTTCTTTTTAAAAAGTGTTATTATATATTTTTTATTATATATATTTTTGAGATGAGATCTCACTATGTTGCCCAGGCTAGTCTCAAAGTCCTGACTCCGGGCTTTAGGTGTTCCTCCGACCTCAGCCTTTCACGTAGCTGGGATTATAGGCATGCACCTGGCTTCCCACTTTCATTCAATAAATTTTGCGCATCTACCATGGCTTTCCTAGGCAATCCTGTCATAGCCACAGTTGTCACTACTGCTTATTCTCTGTCAAGTCCCCAATCTACATCTCCCCCTCAGGCCTCTTTCTTGAGACCTAAGTCCACACTATCTAACTGCTCTCTAGGCGGCTTACCCTGAATACTCCACAGGCATTTCAAAGTCATCAGTGTCCACTCAGACCAGGTCAGCCTCCTGTCATCCCTGTCCCAGTGAATGGAAACACAAAGCCCCAGTCACTTAAGGCAAACACCTGGGATTCATCCTACTCTGCCTTCTCCCTCAGTTCCCCCATCCAAAAGATCTCCAGGCCCTGTCCATTTTGCTTCTGAAAGATCGCAGGTGTCTTTCCCTTGCTCTTCATTCCACTGGTTGCTAAATCCCTCATCAACTCAAGGGGAAACGAGCAGAGTTGCTTCTCTGATGGGTAGTGTGGTTTCTGCACAGCATCCCCTTCATCCCACCACTGCTGGGCATTGAGGTTCATTCATCTATTCAGCATTGCTCTTCACGAGGGCCTTCCATGGGCCAGACACCCTATCTTCATCTCTCTTAATCGCTCTTTTCAGTATCTCTCTCCTTATCTCTCATATTTCCCACAGCTCTGTCCACAACTCTTTCTGTCTCACCATGTTATTCATATTACTTGTTTCTTCCCCCGTGTCCACTCAAACGCCACATCTCTACACACCCCTACCCCTCTGCCTCTCTGTCACATGCATACACACTTCTGCTTATTCACTCATTCAACAAATATTCAGCGAGCACCTTCCACGTGAGACATTCTATTTTTTTTCTTTTTTTTTTTTTGCGCTCTCAGCTCACTGTAACCTCCACCTCCCAGGTTCAAATGATTCTCCTGCCCCAGCCTCCAGAGTAGCTGGGATTACAGGCACATGCCACCACCCCTGGCTAATTTTTGTATTTTTAGTAGAGATGGGGTTTTGCCATGTTGGCCAGGCTGGTCTTGAACTCCTGGCCTCAAGTGATCCACCTGCCTCAGCCTCCCAAAGTGCTGGGATTACAGGTGTGAGCTGCCGTGTCTGGTCTGCCTCTCCGTCTTTCTCTCTCTCTGTCTTCCTCCATCTCTCTTCGCATCGCTTTCTGCCTCCCCATCATTCTCCATGTTTTCCCTTCCCATCTCTCCCCATCTACATACCTTATTCTTTTACTCCATTTCTCTTCCTTCCCCATTTCTCTCTGGGTGAGAGAATGAAGGAAGGCTAGTGACTAGTCACCTCTTCCCTTTAGGGGCCAGAGTTCAGGCCTGCCTCAGCTCTGCCAGGCTGGTTGGCACTACTCTTGTTTGCCCTTGGAGTCTCTGCACAAGGATGCTTAAAAAAAAAAGTTTAGGCCAGGCACAGTGGCTACCGCTTGTAATCCCAACACTTTGGGAGGCCGAGGAGGGTGCATCACGAGGTCAGGAGTTCGAGACCAGCCTGACCAATATGGTGAAACTCCGTCTCTACTAAAAATACAAAAAGTAGCCAGGCGTGGTAGCATGCACCTGTAATCCCAGCTACTCAAGAGAAGAATCGCTTGAACCCAGGAGGCAGAGGTTGCAGTGGGCCAAAATCACGCCACTGCACTCCAGTCTGGGCGACAGAGTGAGACTCCATCTCAAAAAAAAAAAAAAATTTGTGCAGCAGCGACAGAAAAGTAACCTACAATATTAGAGGAAGACTCACATCTCTCAGAAACTATATATTAAGCAGGCAAAAAAATTATTAAAGACAACGGGTGCGGTGGCTCATGCCTGTAATCGCAGCACTTTGGGAGGCTGAGGAGGGTGGATCACGAGGTCAGGAGGTCAAGGCTATCCTGGCTAACACGGTGAAGCCCCATCTCTACTGAAAATACAAAAAATTAGCCAGGCGTGGTGGCATGCATCTGTAGTCCCAGCTACTAGGGAGGCTGAGGCAGGAGAATCGCTTGAACCTGGGAGGTGGAGGTTGCACTGAGCTGACATCACTTCACTGCACTCCAGCCTGGGTGACAGAGCGAGACTCCATCCCAAAAACAAAACAAAACAAACAAAACACACGCACACACAAAGGTGGGAGTGTTATGTAAGAGAACTGCAGGGGATATTTCCACTCCCAGGCTCAAAGGGGTGAGGGGAGAGAGAGGTTACAGCAGTGGTTCTTAGTTATTTTGTGCCACAGATCCCTTTGGCATTCTAGTAAAGCATAAAATTTAAAAAATATACATACAAAAACAAATCGGCCAGGCGCAGTGGCTCACGCCTGTAATCCCAACACTTTGGGAGGCCGAGGCAGGTGGATCACCCGAGGTCAGGAGTTCGAGAGCAGCCTGGCCAACATGACAAAACCCTGTCTCTACTAAAAACAAAAAATTAGCTAGGCATGGTGGTCGGCGCCTGTAATCTTAACTACCTGGGAGGCTGAGGCAGGAGAATTGCTGGAACCGGGAGGCGGAGGTTGCAGTGAGCCGAGATCACGCCATTGCACTCCAGTCTGGGTGACAGAGCAAGACTCCGTCTCAAAAAAAAAAAATTGCATCGAAATCAAATTCCAGTTATCAAAATATTAATAAAAACTTTCAATAGAGTAAATTGAAACTGTCCCAAGATTGACAAGAATTGCATGCTGGGATCTGGGCAGAAATATAGTTATAATTAAGCATAAACCAGGCTGCACTTTGGCTCACTGCTCTATTCCTGCAAGTCTCCAGATCCTGACCATCTGCATCCCCGTTGTGCTAACATTAGGATGAGAATGTCTCTATATTATGATCCATTGTCTCTATATTTAAAAAAAAAAAAAAAAAGAAGCCAGGCACGGTGACTTACGCCTGTAATCCTGACACTTTGGGAGGCTGAGGAGGGCGGATCACGAGGTCAAGAAATCCAGACCATCCTGGCCAACATGGCAAAACCCTGTCTCTACTAAACATACAAAAAAATTAGCTGGGCTTGGTGGCGCGCATCTGTAGTCCCAGCTACTCAGGAGGCTGAGGCGGGAGAATCTCTTGAACCCATGAGGCAGAGGTTGCAGTGAGCCAAGATCATGCCACTGCACTCCAGCCTGGGTGACAAAGCAAGACTCTATCTAAAAAAAAAAAAAAAAAAGACCAGCACTGTGGCTCACGCCTGTAATCCCAGCACTTTGGGAGGCCAAGGTGGGCAGATCACGAGGTCAAGAGTTTGAGACCAGCCTGGGCAACATAGTGAAACCCCATCTCTACTAAAAATACAAAAAAATAATGGCATGAACCCAGGAAGTGGAGCTTGCAGTAAGCTGAGATCCTGTCACTGCACACCAGCCTGGGCGACAGAGCGAGACTCCGTCTCAAAAAAAAAAAAAAATTGCTGGACGTGGTGGCGGGTGCCTGCAATCCTAGCTACTTGGGAGGCTGAGGCAGGGGTATCACTTGAATCCGGAAGGTGGAGGTTGCAGTGAGCCGAGATCGCGCTACTGCACACCAGCCCGGGCGACAGTGTGAGACTCTGTCTCAAAAAAAAAAAAAAAAAGATAATTAGTCACCATGGCTGGGTGCAGTGGCTCATGTCTGTAATCCCAGCACTTTAGGAGGGCAAGGCAGGTGGATCACCTGAGGTCAGGAGTTCGAGATCAGCCAGAGCCAACATGATGAAACTCCTTCTCTCCTAAAAAATACAAAACTTAGCTGGGCGTGGTGGCGGGCGCCTGTAACCCCAGCTACTCCGGAGGCTGAGGCAGGAGAATTGCTTGAACCCAGGAGGAGGAGGTTGCAGTGAGCTGAGATCATGTCACTGCACTCCAGCCTGGGTGACAGAGAGAGACTCCATCTCAAAAAAAAAAAAAAAAAAAACCTAAGGCGTGGTGGCACATGCCTGTCGTCCCAGCTACTCAGGAGGCTAGGGTGGGAGGATCACTTGAGCCTGGAGGTTGAGGCTGCAGTGAGCCATGACCATGCCACTGCACTCCAGGCTGGGCAACAGAACAAGACGCTGACTCAAAAGGAAGAAAAGAAAGAGAAGAAAAGTCTATCTGGGTATGATGATGACTCCTAATATCTTCTCTCTGGTGGTTGATCTGGTCATTTGATAAGATCTCTAGGCAGGAGGTCTTAAGACAATTGCACTTCTTTTGCAAAGAAGTTTTTTCAGTCAGATAAGGAAATTCCAGAAAGTGTGGTAGGACAATTCTAAGGCAGCTTCTAAGGCCTCTCAGCATTTCAAAGCACCAGTCTTTGGGGTATCACTTTCTGAGCCCCAGCATCTTCTTGCATGTCTATTCTTTTCCCCTCATCTCTGTTTCCTTCTCAGAAGGCCCTGAGTTTCCTTCTCCACCCGCTTGTCTTCCTATATACCCTTCAGTATTCACTTTTTTTGGTGGGGGGGATGGAGTTTCGCTTATTGCCCAGGCTGGAGTGCAATGGCGTGATCTCGGCTCACTGCAATCTCCACCTCCCAGGTTCAAGCGATTCTCCTGCCTCAGCCACCCAAGTAGCTGGGATTACAGGCATGCGCCACCATGCCTGGCTAATTTTGTACATTTAGTAGAAACGGGGTTTCTCCATGTTTGTCGGGCTGATCTCAAACTCCTGACCTCAGGTGATCTGCCTGCCTCGGCCTCCCAAAGTGCTGGGATTACAGGAGTGAGCCACCGCGCCAGGCCTAGTCTTCATTTTTGTCCCACAGTCAGAGCAGCTGTCATTCTCTCTATCCCAGGCAGTTTTTCTGAGCATCTAAGCACTGTCTCACCCCAGTAGTCTGTCAAGCCATTCTCAATGGAAAGACCAGTCTGGGAGGCAGTCTCACTCAGAATAAAAGCCAGAGTCTTTACAAGGCCCTACCCAAGCTGACCTCCTCCTCACCTGGCTTCAGCAGCACAGGCCTCCCTGCTACTCCATGAACACTCCAGATATCCACACTGCTCTCACATCAGGGCCTTTGAACTTGCTGTTCCCTCCACCTGAAATGTTCTTCTCCCATTGTGATATTGTTATAATAAAAATATATATTTTTGGGCCCGGGTGTGGTGGCTCACACCTGTAATCCCAGCACTTTGGGAGGCCGAGGGGGGCAGATCACGAGGTCAGGAGATCAAGACCATCCTGGCTAACATGGTGAAACCTCGTCTCTACTAAAAATACAAAAAAAAATTAGCCGGGTGTGGGGGCAGGCACCTGTAGTCCCAGCTACTCGGGAGGCTGAGGCAGGAGAATGGCGTGAAACCAGGAGGCGGAGCTTGCAGTGAGCCGAGATCGCCACTGCACTCCAGCCTGGGCGACAGAGCGAGACTCCATCCCCCCACAAAAAAAAAGGCCAGGCGCGGTGGCTCATACCTGTAATCCCAACACTTTGGGAGGCCAAGGCGGTCAGATCACAAGGTCAGGAGATCGAGACCATCCTGGCTAACATGGTGAAACCCCGTCTCTACTAAAAACACAAAAAATTAGCCGGGCGTGGTGGCAGGCGCCTGTAGTCCCAGCTACTCAGGAGGCTGAGGCAGGAGAATGGCGTGAACCTGGGAGGTGGAGCTTGCAGTGAGCGGAGATCGCGCCACTGCACTCTAACCTGGGCAACAGAGCAAGACTCCATCTCGGGGAAAAAATAAATAAATATGTATATATATGGGTTGGGTGTGGTGGTTAACACATGTAATCCCAGCACTCTAGAAGGCTGAGACCAGAGGATCACTTGAGCCCAGGAGTTCAAGACCAGCCTGGGCAACCTGGCGAGACTTCATCTCTACAAAAAATTTTAAAATGAGCCAGGCATGGTGGTGCGGGTCCCAGCTGCTTGGGAGGCTGAGATGGAAGGATTGCTTGAGCCCAAGAAGTTGAGGCTGCAGTGAGCTATGATGGTGCCACTGCACTCCAACCTGGATGACAGAACAAGAAACTGTCTCAAAAAAAAAAAAATAAAAAAAAAAAAAAGGTCAGGCACGGTGGCTCAGGCCTGTAATCCCAGCACTTTGGGAGGCCAAGGTGGGAGGATTACTTGAGCCCAGGCAGTCAAGACCAGCCTGGGCAACACAAGGAGACCCTGTCTCTAAAAAAAATTTTAAAAATTAGCCAGGTGTGGTGGCACATGCCTGTAGTCCCAGTTACTCAGGAGGCTGACAAGGGAGGATCGCTTGAGCCTGGGAGGTCAAAGCTGCAGTAGCCATGTTTGTGCCACTGCACTCCAGCCTGGATAACAGAACGAGACCCTGTCTCCCTGTCTCAAAATATTAATGTGTGTGTGCGTGCGTGTGTGTGTGTGTGTGTGTGTGTGTGTTTTGGTCTCCATCCTGGCTCCTGGCCAGACCTCCTAAAGCCCTTGTAATTTCCTAAATGATAAAGTGAAGGGAGCTTTTGTTATTCATAACAAGCTCTTTTCAACCACAACTGAGTTTATGTTAGTAAGTTGACTTTTAGAAAGCCCCTAAGGTTGGGGTTTGTTGCCAAGGTAGGCAACTGTGTGATTAGAGAGTTAGAACTTTTAGCTCCAACCCTCTGACCTCCAACTAATGGCTATTGAATCAAGTATGCCTGCATAATGAAGCCTCCATAAAAAAAAACAAAAAAGATGAGGGTTGGAGAGCTGCCAGGTTGATGAACACATGGAGGTGCAGGGAGGTGCCCAGAGAGGACAAGAAAACTCCAAATCCCCCTTCCCCGATACTTTGTCCGGAGCAACTCTTCCATCTGACTGTTCCTAAGTTTTATCCTTCATAATAAACTAGCTAACATAAGTAAAGTGTTTACCTGAGTTCTGCGTGCTATTCCAGCGAATTACTGAGCCAGAAGAGGGAGTCATAAAAACAGTTAGGAGGCCTGGACTTGTTTGTGATTGGTATCTGGAGTGGGGGCAGCCTTGTAGAACTGAGCCCTTCAACTTGGGGATTAGATAACTGGTAATTATGGGTAGAGTGTCAGAACTGAATTAAACTGCAGGACTCCCAGTTAATATCTACCAAGAACTGAAGAATTGATTGGTGTGGGAGAAGTCTCCACATGATTGGTGTAAGAAGTGGTGTTCTTGGCCAGGCGCAGTGGCTCACGCCTGTAATCCCAGCACTTTGGGAGGCCGAGGCGGGCCGATCATGAGGTCAGGAGATTGAGACCATCCTGGCTAACATGGTGAAACCCTGTCTCTACTAAAAATACAAAAAATTAGCCAGGCATGGTGGCGGGTGCCTGTAGTCCCAGCTACTCGGGAGGCTGAGGCAGGAGAATCACTTGAACCTGGGAGGTGGAGGTTGCAGTGAGCAGAGACTGCACCACTGCACTCCAGCCTGGCCAACAGAGCAAGACTCCATCTCAAAACAAAATAAAACAAACAAACAAAAAAAACTGAGATTCTTTGCAAAGAGCCTGGAATAACTTCCTTTTAGTCCTGGACTATAATGATGATGATAAATATACCTCGATGTAACCCTGAGATCCCAAGATTCACTAGCCCTTGAATAAAAAAAAGGAAAAAGAAAAAAACAGTATATTTTTTCGTTTTGCAAATCACAGTTCCCTTATTAAGATGGAATTGCTGCCAATTACAGAGAAGCTATTTGCCTAAGCCAAAAATCCATGAGGTTCACATGGACTTATAGTTACACAAATTAGAAACAAATGTTATATTTAAAACCATAGAGAAATGCCCAGGTGATGAAAGCTGGGGTGAAGGAGTCTGCACATTCATTTCAAACTGTTAAAGGATTTGTGGGCCATGCAATGGTCCCTTGCATTAGAGAAGTCAAAGAGCTTTGTGCAATCCTCTCCTGTCTGTGATCTGGAAGACACGTGCTCATCACAGAGCTCCAGCTGCTCCGAGACTTTACTCCTTTCTTCAGCTGCACGCACTGCTCTCTCGCTTTTGTTAGGAATTGACTAATTCCTCCTCTTCCTCTTCCTCCTCCTCCTTGCCATCTCTAGGCCCAGTCAGCATCTCTTGTTCATCCTCTGATCCCATGTCCAGCTATGGTTCTGGATTCAACACTAGCAGCAACAGTGGCGCTGACTCCACTTTAGGATCAATAAATATTTTTCTGGCTAGGCGCAGTGGCTCACATCTATAATCTCAGTACTTTGGGAGGCCAAGGTGGGTGGATCACAAGGTCAAGAGATCGAGACCATCTTGGCCAACATGGTGAAACCTCGTCTCCACTAAAATTACAAAAATTAGTTGAACATGGTGGTGCGCACCTGTAGTCCCAGCTACTTGGGAGGCTGAGGCAGGAGAGTCGCTTGAACCCAGGATGTGGAGGTTGAAGTGAGCCAAGATCGCGCCACTGCACTCCAGTCTAGCGACAGATGGAGACTCTGTCTCAAAAAAAAAAAAATAAGTATTTTTCTTTCTAGCCGTATATCCACCTTACATGGTCCCTCAACTCCCCAAGCCCACTCTGCCTGCCCCATCTCCTCCTTCCACATCCTCTCCTCAACCTAGCACTTGGTTGGCAATGCCTTCCTCGATCCTCTGCCAAAGACCCTCTAGCCAGTGCTTACCCTGTCTGTTCTCTCTCTTTACCCAAAGAAATACATAAAGTTTGACCAGAATGGAAACAGAGATATCAGTGAAAAAAGGTGATTTGGGGAAGTGTGCAGGCCTAGGAAGACAGAGGCTTGTTCCTTTGCTTGCTTAAAATCTTTGATCAAACGGCCAGGCGTGGTGGCTCACACCTGTAATCCCAGCACTTTGGGAGGGCGAGGTGGGCGAATCATGAGATCAGGAGTTCAAGACCAGCCTGGCCAACATAGTAAAACCCCGTCTCACTAAAAATACAAAAAATTAGCCAGCTGGGCGTGGTGGCAGGTGCCTGTAATCCCAGCTACTCTGGAGGCTGAGGCAGGAGAATCACTTGAACCCGGGAGGTGGAGGTTGCAGTGAGTGGAGATTGCACCACTGCACTCTAGCCTGAGTGACAGAGTGAGACTCCATCTCAAAAAAAAGAAAAGAAATCTTTGCTCAAATATCACTTTTTCAGAGAACGCTTCTCTAACCACTCTATTTATTTTATTATTTTATTGTATTTTTTGAGACAGGGTCTCACTCTGTTGCCCAGACTGGAGTGTAATGGCACGGTCATGGCTCACTGCAGCCTTGATCTCCTGGGCTCAAGCGATCCTCTCACTTCAGCCTCCCAAGTGGCTAGGACCACAGGCGTAAGCCACCGTGTCTGGCCAGACCACCATATTTAAAACTGGGGACAAGTCAGGCTCACACCTGTAATCCCAGCACTTTGGGAGGCCAAGGTGGGAGGATCACAAGGTTAGGAGTTCAAGACCAGCCTGGCCAACTTGGTGAAACCCCATCTCTACTAAAAATACAAAAATTAGCCGGGTATAGTGGTGATCGCCTGTAATCCCAGCTATTCGTTAGGCTGAGGCAGGAGAATCGCTTGAACCCGGGAGGCAGAGGTTGCAGTGAGCTGAGATTGTGCCACTGCACTCCAGCCTGGGCAACAGAGCGAGATTCTGTCTCAACAAAAAAAGCTGGGTGCAGTGGCTCACGCCTGTAATCCTAGCACTTTGGGAGTCCGAGGTGGGTAGATCACCTAAGGTCAGGAGTTCAAGACCAGCCTGGTCAACATGGTGAAACCCCGCCTCTACAAAAATACAAAAATTAGCTAGGTATGATGGCAGGTGGCTGTAATCCCAGCTACTCGGAAGGCTGAGGCAGGAGAATCGCTTGAACCCAGGAGGCGGAGGTTACAGTGAGCTGAGATCAAGCCATTGCACTCTAGCCTGGGCGACAGAGTGAGACTCCGTTTAAAAAAAAAACAAAAAACAAAAAACAAAAAACTGGGGACCATTGGCAATAATACTCCTATGTCCCCTCTTCCCTACTTTGTTTTCCTCCATAGGCACCTGGCGCCTTTTTTTTTTTTTTTTTTTTTTTTTTGAGACGGAGTCTCACTCTGTTGCCCAGGCTGGAGTGCAATGGCGCGATCTCAGCTCACTGCAACCTCTGCCTCCCGGGTTTAAGCGATTCGCCTGCGTCAGCCTCCTGAGCAGCTGGGATTACAGGCACGCACCACCAGGCCCTGCTAATTTTTGTATTTTTAGTAGAGATGGGGTTTCACCATGTTGGTCAGGCTGGTCTCCAACTCCTGACCTTGTGATCCGCCTGCCCCAGCCTCCCAAAGTGCTGTGATTACAGGCGTGAGCCACTGCGCCTGGCCACCTAGCACCTTTAATATACTTATTTATTTGTATTGTCTGCCTTCCCCAATTAGATCAACCATGAAGACAAGAGTTTTCATTTGTTGGGTTCTCTGGGCCTAGAGGCATGTCTGGCATATAGTAAGCATTCAGTAAATATCTGTTGAGTGAACGTATGAATAAAGAAGTGAGTTCCTCCCAGCAGGCACTGAGAACATTGGGAGTACAGGGTTGCAGCTCTCTCTGCAGCAGGAGAATGTAGCTGCAATAAAGGGAAGTCAAGAAGCCAGAGTCCAGCCAGGTGCAGTGGCTCATGCCTGTAATCCCAGCACTTTGGGAGGCTGAGGTGGGTGGATCACAAGGTCAAGAGATAGAGACCATCCTGGCCAACATGGCGAAACCCCATCTGTACTAAAAATACAAAAATTAGCTGGGCGTGGTGGTGGGCGCCTGTAGTCCCAGCTACTCAGGAGGCTGAGGTAGGAGAATTGCTTGAACCCAGGAGGCAGTGGTTGCAGTGAGCCGAGATTGCACCATTGCACTCCCGCCTGGGCGACAGAGCAAGACTCCGACTCAAAAAAAAAAAAAAAAGCAGCAGCAGCAGCCAGAGGCCACTCCAGCATCTCCCCTACCTGGCTTGGGTCAGGGAGAGGGCAGTGAGAAGTGAAAACTCCCAGCTACAGAAAAGGAAATATGTTGGGGGGAAGGGAGAAGGAAAGGTGTCTTCATCAATGCCGGGGCAGGGTAGATGGAGCCCTGGGCAGGGAGTTTGGACCAGGAAATCTCAATGAGGGAAATGTGCTGTCCTCACCTCTCCAAGAAGCGACTGGCCAAACAGAGTGACAGAGGGGATAAAGGTTATGCCTAGGGAGGCATGTGTCAGAGGCTATCATCCACTCTGTTGAACCCACAGTGACCAGCACCACCATCACACAAACATGCCTGCATGTGTGCACGCACGTGCAGTGTGCAAACCTGATGTCAGCCTCACTCCCTGGCTCTTCTGTCCACAAACGCTGTTTCTTTAAGTACCACTTTCAGTTCCTCCAAAGAATCTACTTAAACTCTTAAATTCCTGATCTCTATAGATTTTACTAAAGATTTCAAAGGAGATAAGATGAGAGGGTTACGTTGCACATTCTAAAGCAAACAAATTAAAATGTTTTGTTAGACATTTCCATATTTTTAAGGGCCTCCTTGGAGCTGCCAGGCTGGGAGTGAGGTTTCTCTCCCTTTCTAAACCCTGTGCCCATCTTGTCACCCTCCTGGAGCTGCCAGCAGACTTCAGATTCTTCTCCGATCTACAGAGCAGAAAAATTCAGCCAGCCCTTCCTTGTCTTCCTATCCACAGCTGCCTGCCCAGACTCATGAAACCTGACAAAATGCAAGGTCTTATCATTACCTGAACCTTGGACCTGTTCAAAAATACTAGTTCCTGAGAATAAATATCCCTGGTGTCTTCCTGCCCTTCCTGCACACCTCCAGTGGCTTATCAAAATATTTGTTTCATGCGCACACTGGGCTCTCATTTAAGAGGAATTTGGGAGAATGTTATTTTCTAATCTGCATTTCACACCAGGCTCCCCCTCCTTCCTGGGGTGCTAGTGTCAGCAGAACCTGATGGGGAAGTGAGGTCTGGGAGGCAGAGGAGGAAGGAATGAGGGGAAAGGGGAAGTTTGGGAGGAAGGCTTCTGAGAAGACTGGTGGGAGAGAAGGAGAGCCTGCAGACAGAGGCCTCCAGCTTGGTCTGTCTCCCCACCTCTACCAGCATCTGCTGAGCTATGAGCCAAACCAGGGATTTACAGGGTAGGGAGGGTGGGATAGGCAGCGGCATTAGATCGGAGGAATGAGATGGACAGACCTGGGCTGTGGGCTAGGAGGGCAGTCAGCTGGCCTAGGGTAGCCCGGGCTGGTGTCAGGGTAAGGAGAGGAAGGGAGGGATGAGGGCTGATTAATTTTTTTCACCCCACAGGAGGAAAAGCTTTCGGACTGCTGAAGGCCCAGCAGGAAGAGAGGCTGGATGAGATCAACAAGGTAGAAGGAAGAACTAAGGGGGCAGAGCCAGGGGGATGGGGCGTGGATGGGGAGGGCCTACCCTGGCTCTTATTTTCCCCTCCATAGCAATTCCTAGACGATCCCAAATATAGCAGTGATGAGGATCTGCCCTCCAAACTGGAAGGCTTCAAAGGTGAGGGGGAAACTGTAGGCGGTGGAGACAGGGCTGGGGGTAGGAGGGTTAGGATTTCCACAAGAACAAGGCAGGAACAGCAGAGATAAAAAGTTTACTTTTGTGGTAGCAAAAGGGGAACCTGCCTTTATTGCCCTCCTGCCACACTGCGGTCCCTTTCCCGGGCCTGCCTCTCTCAGCATCCCCTCTAGCTCCTTACACCCTAGCGGGGCCCCTCAACTCCCCAACCCCACTTCCTCTGCCTGCCCCTCCTCCTCCTTCCACGTTGTCTCCTCCACCTAGCAGTTGGTTGGCAACCCCTTCCTCAGTCCCCTGCTGAAAACCCTCCAGTCAGCGCTTATCCCTTCTGCTCTCTCCCCTCACCCAGAGAAATACATGGAGTTTGACCTTAATGGAAATGGCGATATTGGTGAGAAACGGGTGATTTGCGGGGGCAGGGTGGTGTGCAGGCCTAAGAAGACAGAGGTCTCTCCTACATGCTCCATTCCTCATGATTTGGGAGGGGGCCCACCTACCACAGTGGGAGGAAGGAGAATGGGGATGCGGAAGTGGGAGAGGAGAGAGAGGGTCTCCCCACCTTCTCCCCATCCCCATCCTCTGCCCCCAGATATCATGTCCCTGAAACGAATGCTGGAGAAACTTGGAGTCCCCAAGACTCACCTAGAGCTAAAGAAATTAATTGGAGAGGTGTCCAGTGGCTCCGGGGAGACGTTCAGCTACCCTGACTTTCTCAGGATGATGCTGGGCAAGAGATCTGCCATCCTAAAAATGTGAGTGTCAATTTCCAACCTCCCCTGTACTTACCTGTTTTCTCCTCCCCCATCCCTACCCTTGTCCACAGGCTCAACATTTCTACACGTTGCCCATCATCCCTTCTTCCATCCTTAGAGGGACCCTTCCAAGGTCCCGACCCCATCCCTATCCATAGTCCTGGTCCCCAGAAACTCCAACCCCTGCCCTTCCTCTTCCCCCTTCCACCCTCACATCCCCATCCCCTTCTAGCCTTTCCTAGCACCCTATGATTTATTCCCTTGAGAGGAGTGTTCCCTGATCCCTGTGCCTCTTCCCATCTCAACCAGGATCCTGATGTATGAGGAAAAAGCGAGAGAAAAGGAAAAGCCAACAGGCCCCCCAGCCAAGAAAGCTATCTCTGAGTTGCCCTGATTTGAAGGGAAAAGGGATGATGGGATTGAAGGGGCTTCTAATGACCCAGATATGGAAACAGAAGACAAAATTGTAAGCCAGAGTCAACAAATTAAATAAATTACCCCCTCCTCCAGATCAAGTCAGCTTAGTTTTTATTTGGGTGATTTTTTTCCTGGGTTTGGGAAGGAGAGACAGGTCTTGAGGGAAAGGTGGCAAGGATTTGGCCATATGAACAATCCATCAACAACGCTATAGTGTGTCCACTACAGCAGATGGTTTCACGCACCAAGGGGGATTCCAGCTGTGTAAGACAGCCTTAACCTCAAAGAATGCAGGCAGGTCAAAAACACATGTCCAAACAAGGTACTCAGGCCCATGACAGATTTCATGAAGAGCAAGGAATACCATGAACCAACATTCTCCACCACTATAAGCTTTGTCACTTTGACAAATCACTCAGCCTCTGTGAGGCTTTTTTCTAAAAATGGGGATAAAGTGACCTATGCTATTGTGCCTGACATATCATAAGCCCTCAATAATGTTTAAAACTTGAATGAGCCGGGGCCGATGGCTTATGCCTGTAATCCCAGCACTTTGGGAGGATGGGGTGGGCAGATCACCTGAGGTCAGGAGTTCGAGACCAGCCTGACGAACATGAAGAAACCCCGTCTCTACTAAAAATACAAAATTAGCCTGGTGTGGTGGCGCATGCCTGTAATCCCAGCTACTTGGGAAGCTGAGGCAGGAGAATCTCTTGAACCCAGGAGGTGGAGGTTGTGGTGATCCGAGATCGCATCATTGCACTCCAGCCTGGGCAACTAAAAAGCGAACTCCGTCTCAAAAAAAAAAAACCGAACATACAAACAAACAAAAAACACTTGAATGGGTAGATGAATGAAAGAACTGGTGCTATTAAATAAAGCAAAGAATTTACAGCTGGGCGTGGTGGCTCACGCCTGTAATCCCAGCACTTCAGGAGGCCGAAGCGGGCAGATTACCTGAAATCAGGAGTTGGAGACCAGCCTGGCCAACATGGTGAAACCCCATCTCTACTAAAATACAAAAAATTAGCTGGGCATGGTGGCAGGTGCCTGTAATCCCAGCTACTCGGGAGACTGAGGCAGGAGAATCGCTTGAACCCGGGAGGTGGAGGTTGCGGTGAGCCGAGATCACGCCATGGCACTCCAGCCTGGGTGACAAGAGTGAGACTCTGTCTCAAAAAAAAAAAAAAAAAAAAAAAAAGACTGGAAGGAGAAACTCATTGGAGACAATGACTATGGACATCCCTTTTAAGAATTTTGCTGCAAAGGGTAACAAAACGGTATGTGTGGTAGCCGGCCGGGGAGAAGGGAGAAGAGAATCATTTTGGAAGTTTGAAAACAGAAGTCATCTTAAATCTTACTGAGCCTCTGACTAAAATTCTCATCTGATTTCCGCAAACTTTTCTGCCTTCACTTTTCATAATGAATAAGCCGCCTCCTTTATTTAGCCATATCAGCCTAGGCACAGGCCCCCAAACTCATGCCTCCACTAATCTGTTCTCTGCACCTGAGATGTACACCTTCTTCTGAAACTTGGGTAAGTTCTAACTCGTTCTTCATATCTATTTATTTATATATTTTTGACAGATATCTACTCCGATCATTCTTCATATCATTTTTTTTTTTTTTTCCTGAGATGGAGTCTCATGTTGGCCAGGCTGGTCTCCAACTCCTGACCTCAGGTGACCCACCCACCTTGGCCTCTCAAAGTGCTGGGATTACAGGCGTGAGCCACTGCTCCCGCTCCCGGCCCTTTTTTTCTTCTTTTTCTTTTTTTTTTTTTTTTGAGACGTAGTCTCACTCTGTCGCTAGGCTGGAGTGCAGTGGCGTGATCTCAGCTCACTGCAACCTCCGTCTCCCAGGTTCAAGCGATTCTCCTGCCTCAGCCTCCCAAGTAGCTGAGACTACAGGCACGCGCCACCAGTCCAGCTAATTTTTGTATTTTTAGTAGAGACGGGGTTTTGCCATGTTGGCCAGGATGGTCTCCATTTCTTGACCTTGTGATCTGCCCGCCTCAGCCTCCCAAAGTGCCAGGACTACAGGCATAAGCCACCACGCCCGGCCTCATATCTCTTAATAAGAGTTTTTCTAGAAACATTTCTCAATCACCCCAGGCATAATCATATTTTATTTCTCTACTTCTTTCTTTTTTTTTTTTTTTTGAGATAGAGTTTCGCTCTTGTTGCCCAGGCTGGAGTGCAATGGCACGATCTTGGCTCACCACAACCTCCGCCTCCCAGGTTCAAGCGATTCTCCCGACTCAGCCTCCCGAGTAGCTGGGATCATAGGCATGCGCCACCACGCCTGGGTAATTGTATTTTTAGTAGAGACGGGGTTTCTCCATGTTGGTCAGGCTGGTCTCGAACTCGTGACCTCAGGTGATCCGCCCGCCTGAGCCTCCCAAAGTGCTGGGATTACAGGCGTGAGCCACCGCGCCCATCCTTCTTTTTTTTTTTTTTTTTTTTTTTTTTTTGAGACGTAGTCTTGCTCTGTCACCCAGGCTGGAGTGCAACCTCCGCCTCCCTGGTTCAAGGAATTCTCTGCCTCAGCTTCCCGAGTAGTTGGGATTACAGGCGCCCGCCACCACGTAGGGCAAATTTTTGTATTTTTAGTAGAAATGGGGTTTCATCATGTTGGCCAGGCTGGTCTTGAACTCCTGATCTCGTGATCCACCTGCCTAGGCCTCCCAAAGTGCTGGGATTACAGGCGTGAGCCACCGCGCCAGGCCTTATTTCTCTACTTCTATAATATCCTGTGCATTATCTCCAGCGCCTTCAAATCATAGTCATTGAATGATCTGTTGAATGGGTATAACTCTGATGGGAGCAGAGAGTTCTAGAATCGGGTAGTAAGAGACAAAGGAGGGTAACAGTACTGCATTTCACAAAATGAAACCCATTGTTAAGAAATTACAAATTCCCAATAATTTCAAATATAAAAATTTATTCATGAAAATTATAGGTTATAAAATTAAATGTCCGTCTTAGTCGATGGTTGCCCATATTTTGATGAACGAGTCATTCCTAGCCTATCTTTGTTCAAATGATTTGCATACATTATGCAAATAGGTAGAACTGCCCGAAGAATGCCTACGCTGCGTGGTGCGGACGAAACGCTTCCCGGGGCCTTTGGATTGGTCTGTCTAGCCACCTCATTTGCATGACGTAATATAATAACTGGAAGGCCCCGCCCCTCTGGTGCATTTCCCCGCTCCAACCACCTCCTCAAACTCACGGCAAAGGGATGCGAGAGCTGGAACTCTTACCAGGCCTGCGGAAACTCAGCCCTCCGGCAGCTAATCCCGCCCGCCAGCCCCCGTCCTCTCTCTCTTTCTCCCTAGCTGAAGGCGCCACGGGCCGTGTGTCGTTGCCTTCCACTTTTGGCGTCCCAACGTCTCTCCGCTCCCATCTTTCTACTAACGTCCGACGCACGCTCCGCCTCTTTCTCCCACATTCGTCGTGTAAATTCTGCGTCCCAACCGCCCAGCCGACCTGCACCGCATTCCCGCCCCCTCAACACGGCTCAACGGCCGACGCTGGGGGCCCGCCTCCTTAGCCAATCGGGGTCCTAGTGCCCTTAAGTCCCTCCTCTTTATGCAAATAACCTCCGCATGCTCCGCGCGCCCGGCCCTTTTTTTTTTTTTTTTAAACTAAAGACAGCCCTGGAAGTAGAGGGTTAGGGTAGAAAGTGCCCCGCCCTTTATGCAAATTAAGGGGCGTGTCTAGGCGCGGAGGGAGGTGGGAGGTGGGAGGGGGTGCTCCCGGGGGCGGCGGTTGCCCGGATGGGCCGTTAGTCGGGGCTCAGCCGCGGAGTGAGCGAGGGAGACGGGAGGAGCCGAACCCGGCGCCATCCGCCGCCATCCTCCCCCGCCCCACCGCCATCCCGTCCCGGGGAGCCCCTAGGCCCGGGTCCCGGATCCCCGCGCACCCGGCCAGGTGAGTCTGGGTGAACCGTGCGCTGACGCCCTTTTCCGGCGCGGGAGAGGTGGTGGCGGTGGCGGTGGCGGCGGCGGCGGCGGTGGTGGGCCGGGGGGAGGAGAAGCTGCCATTAGCCGCCGCCATTTTGTCCTCCTGCTGCCGGGCCTGCTTGCCCCTCCCCCTCCGGTACCTCTACTCCGGGACCCGCACCTCCGGCAGTTCATTCAGGATCCGTAGTCTGCCCCTAACCACCCACCGTCTTGGCTTCAGGGGGTGACCCCTGCGCCTGGGTCCGTAACTCCCTACCCTCCGCTGCGCTCCTGGCTTTTCACCCCCATTTGTGGGCCCCCTCCCCGGCTGCCGCCCCGTGGTGGTGGGCCGCGCCCGACGGTTCTCTCGGAAGGGCGCTTTTCCTCCATATTGGACCCCCTCCTATCATCCAGCGCTGTGTTCCCCCCTCTGGACGCCCCTCTTCGTGTCGAGCCACTCCCACTCTAGAATCCTGCTTTTATCCCAGCATCTTTGCTTTCTATGTTGCTCAGTCGCCCTATGTCTGCTTTTTCATTTTTCCTGTTCCTCGTCTCCTTTCTCCCCCAACCCCGTTTTTCTTCTTGGGCCTCTGCCCCCTTACTTCGTTGTCTACATCCTTTTTTTTTTTGCCATTCCTGTTTCCATATATTTTCCACCTGCTTTCGTATTCATTATTTTCTGTTAGTTTTGGTCTATTCGCTACATGACTCTTGTATTCGTTTTCCCTTCATATATTTATCTTCACAGATTGGCCTCCTCAAACACCTACGAAGCAACATCCATCTTATCTCTAGCTTGTCATAAAGTTCTTTCTCCCCAATTTTAGCTTTCATTCTGGGCCTGTCTGGATTTCCCTGCTTTCTTCCCCACTATTTCTCATCTCTTTACACTGTTCCCGTCCATAAACGAATGCCTGGTCACTCTGGAATGGACTGAGAGACCTGTCGTCCGGCTTGCTTAGGGAGCTGGAGGTATCGAGTAAAGAAACACTGGTGATGGACATTTTTAATGAGGATAGGAAAACGAAGATGGCTCTGGCCTTGGCCCTCTGTTTTCTGGCCCATGGTTACAGGGTGCTAAGGTGGCTCCATAATGCTTTTTCTCAGTTCTTCATATGGTAAAACAGTATTTCATCTGGAGGCGATTTTTTCCAGGAGCCAATACAGGAGCAAGTTTAGGAAAAGATGGGATATTTCAAATACTTGAGGTTCCTATAGCCTGGGAGTATGTACAGCCCTAGTTGTTCTATGAGGATTTCTCTGGTACCAACCCCCATTCCGGCTGAGCAAGCTCATAAAATCCTTAAACTCCCAGCATACCTTCCTGCAAACCTTCCCAGATGGACACGAGGCTGCTGGGCTGGGAGCCTGGGGTACAGGGCCCTGGGGGCATGATTAGGGAGCTTGTGTCCAATAAACAGGGAATCTAAAGTGTTGTTTCTTCTTCTCTGATGGAATTGTATGCTTCTTTTTTAGTTTTCTCTTGCTTGAATTTGTCCTGTTGTAAGTCTCTGAAACGATTTTGGTGGAGAGAGAAGAGATTATTACTTGTAGGGAATTACTCTTTGTAGACAGGCACAAAGGGCAGAGTGTTTATACTAGGAGGATGCTGGATTTTTACTTAGATTTCCTTGACAAAGGTGTCTGGGGGAAAGGAGGGAACATGGCATTTGAGCTATGAGGGAGCTAAGTAGATCATGGTTGCTTGAGAAGAGTGGGCAGTTTACATAGACTGGAGGAAAAGACACCAGAGGGCCTCATATCTGAGTCCCTAATGATAATGCAATGGAGTTTTTAAGTTTCTGTTATGGTCTGTACAGGGGACAGAGACTGAGACACTTGCTGTCTGGCCCACAGGCTCTGGCACGTTTTGGGGGAGGTGCCTGCAGGACCCAACATACTCAATGAGCTTCCAGCGCAATGTCCGATCGCTCGGGGCCGACTGCCAAGGGAAAGGATGGAAAGAAGTATTCCTCGCTCAACCTGTTTGATACGTATAAGGGCAAGTCCTTAGAGATCCAGAAACCCGCTGGTGAGAGTCCTGCAAAGATGCTTCTGATGGTTGAAAGCTAGGCATGCATGGGGCATACGTTTTAGAGCTCTTTAAAGGGAAGTGGCTGTAGTAGAAATACCAAAAGACTAGAGGAGATTTCCCAACTTTACACTGGGTCCTTTAAAGGGGGTGTGGGCTCTGGGTGAACACCAGTTATCCTCCTACAAAGGCGTGTCTGTGGTTCCCTGTCTTTGGACACGTAAGAATTGGAGGAAAATAAATGTGGATTTGGGAAACTTTGAGGCCAGCTTGCTTCTTGCAGGCTCATGATCAACCAATCTCACATAAAAGTATTGAATGTTACATATCTCAGCCTTCTTGATAGGGATTTCATAGATTTTTTTTTTTTTTTTTTTTTTTTTGAGACCAAGTTTAGCTCCTGTTGCCCAGGCTGGAGTGCAATGGTGTGATCTTGACTTACCACAACCTCCACCTCCTGGGTTTAAGCGATTATCCTGCCTCAGCCTCCTGAGTAGCTGGGATTACAGGCATGCGCCACCACACCCGGCTAATTTTGTGTTTTTAGTAGAGACAGGGTTTCTCCATTTTGGTCAAGCTGGTCTTGAACTCCTGACCTCAGGTGATCCGCCTGCCTCGGCCTGCCAAAGTGCTGGGATTGCAAAGTGTGAGCCACCACAATCAGCGCGATTTCAGAGATTATTAAGGGCAGGGGAAGGAATCCCTTCTAAGAGAAGTTTGGAGGAAGTAGGTAATAAAATATTCAACATGTATAAATGTGTCCCAGGATAGGAGGCCATCAGATCTCCCACATGAGGCATTTTCGACCCTCTCTCCGTCTTGTTCTCCAGTTGCCCCTCGCCATGGCCTGCAGAGTCTCGGGAAAGTTGCCATTGCCCGGCGTATGCCACCTCCAGCCAACCTTCCAAGCCTGAAAGCCGAGAACAAAGGCAATGACCCCAATGTCTCACTAGTGCCAAAAGACGGAACAGGATGGGCAAGCAAACAGGAGCAGTCCGACCCCAAGAGGTAGACAGAGGCTTGGGGGACCTAGAGTGATGGGTATTTTAACTTGAACTTCAGGGAGCATTGGGGCTTGGTTTAGTCCAGCCACGTCTGAGCCAGAGACGAAGAGGTCCCTTTCTTACCTATTGCAGGTTCCTTGTTAAATGACTAAGGAATGGTACTAAACTTTAGCTTTTTGTCTTGGAGAGAGAGCATGAAAAAATAGACAACAGCCTACAAAGGATGACAAAATTAATTTGTCCTTATATTTGTAAATGGTAGCAATGGGCATGATTTCAGTCCTGAGTCTCCACCAGTTGGAGAAGTCAGGGAGGCATCTCAGGTGTGAATAACCTTCCCATTCTGTCCCCTCAGTTCCGATGCCTCAACCGCTCAGCCGCCGGAATCGCAGCCACTGCCGGCTTCACAGACGCCTGCCTCCAACCAGCCGAAACGACCCCCAGCAGCCCCCGAGGTACCTGGAGAACTGGAGGGGTGGGGAGGAAGAATGGTTCATAGCTGCCCCACCCACATCATTTATCATCTTTCTGAACACTTCCCCAGAACACTCCTTTGGTTCCAAGCGGGGTAAAGTCCTGGGCACAAGCCAGCGTCACCCATGGAGCACATGGAGATGGTGAGTGCAGCACTTAATTGGGGAGCTGTGTCTGGGCACCATGGGATGCATGAACCCTGCACTGTATTTTCAGCCAAGTGACCTTGGTCCTCTTTGGCTAAATCAAGGACCACCCATATTCAGTTTCATGGAGGCACATGAGCAAGTTTAAGTCTCAGTCTTATATGATGGAGTGTAGTGGTGCCAGAACTGACCTCCTTGGGGAATAAGCAGTTATTCTGTAGGGGGGTGAGTTTGAAGGCGGGAAACCTGATGGTCTGGTACCTGTCAGAGCCTTCCACTTTTTTTTTTTTTGAGACGGAGTCTCATTCTGTCACCCAGGCTGGAGTGCAGTGGCGCAATCTCGGCTCACTGCAACCTCTGCCTCCTGGGTTCAAGCGATTTTCCTGCCTCAGCCTCCAGAGTAGCGGGACTACAGGCACACGCCAACACACCCAGCTAATTTTTTGTGTGTTTTTAGTAGAGATGGGGTTTCACATGTTGGCCAGGATGGTCTCGATCTCTTGACCTCGTGATCCGCCCGCCTCAGCCTCCCAGAGTGCTGGGATTACAGGCGTGAGCCACCGCGCCCAGCCAGAGTCTTCCACTTTTATAGCATGTCCTCAGGAAATGTCTTCTGTCTCCTGTTCTGCATCCCCATCCTAATAGGTGGAAGGGCATCAAGCCTACTGTCACGATTCTCTCGAGAGGAATTTCCGACCCTGCAGGCGGCTGGCGACCAGGACAAGGCTGCCAAGGAAAGGGAGTCTGCCGAACAGTCGTCTGGGCCCGGACCAAGCCTCCGCCCCCAAAGTGAGTGGCTGCCTTTTGGCCAAGACATTACCTATTGCATCTCAGAGCTAGGTGCTGGCTTATTCACCTTCCTCCCCATCACTTTCAGCTGTGTTCACTTGTCCTCCAATCATTGATACCTCTCTCTACCTTTTCCAAAATACAGATTCTACAACTTGGAGGGACGGAGGTGGGCGTGGCCCTGATGAGCTGGAGGGCCCGGACTCCAAACTTCATCATGGTCATGATCCCCGGGGTGGGCTACAGCCTTCAGGCCCACCCCAGTTCCCTCCCTACCGCGGAATGATGCCGCCTTTCGTGAGTCTTGGTGTCTTGTCTTGGAACGATTACACTGGAAGCTGGAGAGCTAGGAATCAGGACTTAGTCTTTGACCTATGAGATAGAAGGGAGGGTGGGAGGATGATTGATAGCAGGCTTAAGGAGCTAGAAGGGTATATGACTGTCCCTCTGAGCAGCTACTGTTGGACCCTTTTACAGATGTATCCCCCATATCTCCCGTTCCCTCCGCCCTATGGACCCCAGGGGCCTTACCGATACCCCACTCCTGATGGGCCCAGGTGAGCAATCCAGGTCTGGGTTTGTGGCTGGGGGCAGGGGAAGCTTATTGGGGGAGGAGATGGTTTTCTAGCCAGGAGGCTCAGTCTAGGATCAGTCTCGCATGTGGTTATACAACATGCCATATTTCATTTTCTTTTTTGTGTACAGCCGTTTTCCCCGTGTGGCGGGCCCCCGAGGCTCAGGGCCACCAATGCGCTTAGTAGAGCCTGTGGGTCGTCCCTCTATTCTCAAAGAGGATAATCTCAAAGAGTTTGATCAGTTGGATCAGGAGAATGATGATGGTTGGGCAGGTAAGTGGATATTAAGGGTCAAGAATTTGGATCTTGAAAGGCAAAACCTAATGAGGAAAAAAAAATACAGGGTTATGTGGGTGAAAGGCAGACATTGAAGTGTAGGAAGACCAGGCCCAATGGCTCACATCTGTAATCCCAGTGCTTTGGGAGTGTTAGGTGAGAGGATCGCTTGAAGCCAGGAGTTCAAGACCAGCCTGGGCAACACAGCAAGACCCCCCACCTCTACAAAAAAAAAAAAATTTTTTAGTTGGGTGTGGACTGTGCATCTGTGGTCCCAGCTACTCTGGAGGTTGTGGTGGGAGGATCAGTTGAGCCCAGGAGTTGGAGGTCACAGTGAGCTATGATCGTGCCACTGAACTCCATCCTGGGCAACAGAGCGAGACTTTTAAAAGGAAAAAAAAAAAAGAGTAGGGGAGGATGGATGGGGAATACCAAGTCCTTGCAAAGTGGTGAGAGGAGTAAGAATGACAAGACTTCATTGGTGGATCTAGACTTCGGAGGGAAGGATATTGGCATTGGTAGTCCATCTTGTTACATAGTTCCAGACTACCTCCCAAGATTGGAGGGCAGAATGCTTGGGTTACTAATACTCATATTTCCCCTCAGGGGCCCATGAAGAGGTTGACTACACTGAAAAGCTCAAGTTCAGCGATGAGGAAGATGGGCGAGACTCTGATGAGGAGGGTGCTGAGGGCCAGTGAGTTAGGGCCATCAGGGGAGAAGAGGAGGGGGTCTTGGTTTGTATTTTGGTAATATACTCTTAGAGGAGTATATTAGTTGCAGCTGATTTTAATTTCACTGTTGATCTGCTCACAGCAGGGATTCCCAATCAGCTTCTGGTGAGGAACGGCCCCCTGAAGCAGATGGCAAAAAGGGCAACTCCCCCAACAGCGAACCGCCCACTCCTAAGACGGCCTGGGCAGAAACCTCTCGGCCTCCAGAGACAGAGCCGGGACCTCCTGCCCCAAAGCCTCCCCTACCCCCACCTCACCGGGGCCCCGCCGGGAACTGGGGCCCCCCTGGGGACTACCCAGTGAGTGTCTCCAATAAGGGATTGAGAGGGTCAGCTGTGGGAAATTGGTGTCAGCTGAGTAATTGAAGCGGTTGTGATATAGAGGAAGGGGGGTGCTAAAAATGGGCTGTGTGAAGTGCCAGGCTGCAGAACATCCTGGGAAGCTTTTAAATATCTTTGGTAATAGGGGAGTCTGGGTAAGAAGTGAGAAACTGGGATGCTAATGAGGAAAGAAGAAAAAGGAGCCCTGGGTGTTTGGGTTTCGGAAGGAGAGAGGGAACAGAAAAATAAAAAGACTAGGGTGGCTAGATAGCTGGATCTGTTAGTATGCATCAGTAGTCCAAGCTACTCAGCAGGCTGAAGCAGAAGGATCACTTGAGCCCAAGTTCAAGACCAGCCTGGGCAACATAGCAAGACGTGGTCTCAAAGAAGACCAGGATAATGAGTTTGTCACCACCCAGAGAGATCAACCCCAAAGCCTGGGTCGTTGCATCCTGCAAGTAGCGACAGTTGATTTGTTGTAAAAGAGATGATAGAAAGCATAGTAACTGATTCCCCTGGCCCTGCTGGGTCTTGCCAATTGACAGGATCGTGGGGGTCCTCCCTGCAAGCCCCCAGCACCTGAAGATGAGGATGAGGCATGGCGGCAGCGACGAAAGCAGTCGTCATCTGAGATTTCCCTGGCAGTGGAGCGGGCCCGGCGACGGCGAGAAGAAGAGGAGCGGCGCATGCAAGAAGAGCGCCGGGCAGCCTGTGCTGAGAAGCTCAAGCGACTCGATGAAAAGTTTGGGGCACCTGACAAGCGGCTCAAAGCAGAGCCTGCTGCCCCACCTGCTGCCCCTTCTACCCCAGCTCCACCACCTGCAGTCCCTAAAGAACTCCCTGCACCTCCAGCTCCACCTCCAGCATCAGCCCCAACACCAGAGACAGAACCTGAAGAGCCAGCACAGGCCCCTCCTGCCCAATCTACTCCTACTCCAGGTGTGGCTGCGGCTCCCACTCTGGTGAGTGGTGGTGGCAGTACCAGTAGCACCAGCAGTGGCAGCTTCGAAGCCAGCCCAGGTATGGAGATGGGGATAGGTACTACCAGATGTCAGATCACTGCTTCAAGGTGCTTAAAGGTGCAGGGTGGTAAGGCTGGGGATAAATGAAGTAGAAGGCAGTTGTTTTGGTTTATTGGACTATCAGTGATAGTGTTCTATCATTTGTATATCTGAAGGAGGGAAGGTTTTGTCTGGAATCTTAGGTTGTAGTCTAATACCATTTCTTGGCAGAGTACTGTAGCTCACGCCTATAATCCCAACACTTAGGGAGGCTTGGGGTGGAGGATCGCTTGAGCCTAGGGAGTTTGAGACCAGCCTGGGCAACAAAGCAAGACCCTGTCGGCCAGGCATGGTGGCTCACACTTGTAATCCCAGCACTCTGGGAGGCCGAGGCGGGCAGAACATGAGGTCAGGAGTTCAAGATCAGCCTGGCCAACATAGTGAAACCCGTCTCTACTAAAAATACAAAAATTAGCCAAGTGTGGTGGCATGTGCTTGTAGTCCCAGCTGCTTGGGAGGCTGAGGTAGTAGAATCGCTTTAACCCGGGAGGCAGAGATTTCTGTGAGCCAAGACCATGCCATTGCACTCCAGCCTGGGTGACAGAGCAAGACTCTGTCTCAAAAAAAAATCCTGTCTCACAAGAAATACATAAATAAAAATGAAAACTATTTCCTATAGGCCAAGACTGAAGAAAGTACTGTTGTTCTAATGGTTTCATAGAAAGTTAATGCCACCACCATAGGCTCATGAGAGGCCATGAAGTGCTTTAATGGGTCTTAAATGGGAGGGGCTTCAATAGAATAGATGTTGAATAGAATATTTTAGTCTTAAGGGAGCTAGAGATGAGACGTGAGATTCCTGGGGTGTTCATGGAGTGTCTATTGTTGGACTAGATCACTCTGTTGTGTTTTTTCCGATGCAGTGGAACCACAACTGCCCTCAAAAGAGGGTCCTGAACCACCAGAAGAGGTTCCTCCTCCTACCACACCCCCAGTTCCAAAGGTGGAACCCAAGGGTGATGGGATTGGTCCCACCCGCCAGCCCCCTAGTCAGGGCTTGGGCTACCCCAAATATCAGAAGTCGTTGCCTCCTCGTTTCCAGCGGCAGCAGCAGGTGAAATCAAGTTGTTTACCCTCTAAGGGCTGCTTTTCTTCCTGGCTTCGGTCCCTAATTCTCTTCATAAGTTACCTTCTGGGTCCCTTTGCTTCTTTGTCCAGTTGTCTCCATTGTCACGCCAATTTCCCCTAGTCCAAGTTTTTTCTTTGCTGATTCCTTTGTCCATGTGTGCTTTGAGCCTCTCTCATCTTGTCTTTCCTCCTTTCCTAGGAGCAGCTCCTGAAGCAGCAGCAGCAGCACCAGTGGCAGCAGCATCAACAGGGCTCTGCCCCTCCTACCCCAGTGCCCCCATCACCACCACAGCCTGTGACCCTGGGGGCTGTGCCAGCTCCACAGGCTCCACCCCCGCCCCCCAAGGCCCTGTACCCAGGTGCTCTGGGCCGGCCCCCACCCATGCCCCCAATGAACTTTGATCCCCGATGGATGATGATTCCTCCTTATGTGGACCCCCGGCTCCTCCAGGGTCGTCCCCCTCTAGACTTCTACCCTCCTGGTGTGCATCCCTCTGGTAAGGGGGCATGGGAGGAGTGAGAAACAGGAAAGTCCCCTCAGTCTTAGGCATTGGATATTAGGGTCTTACTGTGACTCTGGTACGATAGGTTTTGCCCATCATAGTGATGAGGGAAGGGCATATGCTTGGCACTGCTGAGATAGCTCTGTTGCAAAAATGGGCTTAGTTAAGAAATAAGCAGTGGTTGGCCAGGCATTGTGGCTCACGCCTGTAATCCCAGCACTTAGGGAGGCCGAGGTGGGCAGATCAACTGAGTTCAGGAGTTCGAGACCACCATGGCTAACGTGGTAAAACCCCATTTCTACTAAAAATACAAAAAAGTAGCCGGCGTGGTGGCGCTCGCCTGTAGTCCCAGCTACTCGGGAGACTGAGGCAGGAGAAACGCTTGAACCCAGGAGGTGGAGGTTGTAGTGAGCCGAGATTGTGCCATCGCACTCCAGCTTAGGCAACGAGCGAAACTCCGTCTCAAAAATGAATGAATGAATAGCACAACTCCATCTCAAAAATGAATGAATGAATGAAAGAAGCAGTGGTCCTTCATTTGCCAGGATTTATTTGGGGTGGGTTGATTCTCTTGTAGGGAATCTGAGTGGATAACCTTGTTATATAAGAGCAGGCAAGGCCCGGACCTACTGGGAACAAGAGATGGAAGAGCTGACTTGACCGCGAGGGGAGATGCTTTTTGGGCTGGAGGGCTTGTGACATGAATAGGATTATTTTTCTTTTTCTTTGGTTTCTTCAGGCCTAGTTCCCCGAGAGCGTTCAGACAGTGGGGGCTCAAGCTCAGAGCCATTTGACCGTCATGCACCTGCTATGTTACGGGAACGGGGCACTCCACCGGTGGATCCAAAGTTGGCCTGGGTAGGAGATGTCTTCACCGCCACACCCGCTGAACCCCGCCCACTTACCTCACCTCTGCGCCAGGCTGCGGATGAGGATGACAAGGGGATGAGGTGAGTCTTGGTCATGAGAAATGGGTGAGTTCACAGTGAAAGGATCTAGGCCTGGGAGAAAGGTACTTTGGGTTAGTGGTAGGGATAGGGATGAACGGGAAAGGAGAGGCTGGATGGAGTGGCTCATGCCTGTAATCCCAGCATTTTGGGAGGCTGAGGCAAGAAGATTGCTTGAGCCCAGCAGTTCGAGACTAGCCTCGGCAACTGGATGCCATCTCTGCCAAAACAAACAGAAAAATAGTAAAAGAGAGTCTGCATCATAATAAAGTGTTCTTTTCCCACCTAGTTCTGGTTTTCCTGAGATACTTATTTCCATTCTTTCTGTCTGTCTCTTCAGGAGCGAGACTCCTCCAGTACCTCCCCCACCACCCTATCTGGCCAGTTATCCAGGCTTTCCTGAGAATGGAGCCCCTGGGCCCCCAATCTCTCGCTTTCCTCTGGAGGAACCAGGGCCCCGTCCACTCCCCTGGCCCCCAGGCAGTGATGAAGTGGCCAAGATACAAACTCCACCACCCAAGAAGGAGCCCCCTAAGGAGGAGACTGCACAGCTGACGGGGCCAGAAGCAGGCCGAAAGCCTGCCCGCGGAGTCGGGAGTGGAGGCCAGGGCCCCCCACCACCACGCAGAGAGAGTCGCACAGAGACCCGCTGGGGCCCTCGTCCAGGGAGCAGTCGTCGTGGAATCCCTCCAGAGGAGCCAGGGGCCCCACCCCGCCGGGCTGGGCCTATAAAGAAACCTCCACCACCTACAAAAGTAGAAGAGCTGCCTCCCAAGCCCCTCGAACAGGGGGATGAAACCCCCAAACCCCCAAAGCCAGACCCACTCAAGATAACCAAGGGGAAGCTAGGGGGCCCCAAGGAGACCCCACCCAATGGAAATCTTTCCCCTGCCCCAAGGCTTCGGAGGGACTATTCGTATGAAAGAGTGGGTCCTACCTCTTGCCGGGGTCGGGGCCGAGGCGAGTATTTTGCCAGAGGGAGGGGTTTTCGGGGGACCTATGGGGGACGAGGGCGGGGAGCCCGAAGCCGGGAATTCCGCAGTTACCGAGAGTTTCGAGGAGATGATGGGCGTGGAGGTGGGACAGGGGGACCAAACCACCCTCCTGCTCCCCGAGGCCGCACTGCCAGCGAGACACGGAGCGAGGGTTCAGAGTATGAGGAAATCCCCAAGCGGCGCCGGCAGCGGGGCTCAGAAACAGGCAGCGAGACCCATGAGAGTGATCTGGCTCCTTCAGACAAGGAGGCTCCCACACCCAAGGAGGGAACACTCACCCAGGTCCCTCTCGCTCCCCCACCACCAGGAGCCCCACCTTCACCAGCCCCAGCCCGCTTCACTGCCCGGGGTGGGCGAGTCTTCACTCCCAGAGGGGTGCCATCTCGCCGGGGCCGAGGAGGAGGGAGGCCCCCTCCTCAAGTTTGCCCAGGCTGGAGCCCTCCAGCCAAGTCTCTGGCTCCCAAGAAACCTCCCACAGGCCCTTTGCCACCAAGTAAGGAGCCTTTGAAAGAGAAGTTGATCCCAGGGCCTCTGTCCCCTGTGGCGCGCGGAGGCAGCAATGGAGGTAGCAATGTGGGCATGGAAGATGGGGAGCGACCCCGAAGGAGGCGACATGGGAGGGCTCAGCAGCAGGATAAACCGCCTCGTTTCCGGAGGCTGAAGCAGGAACGGGAGAATGCCGCAAGGGGGTCTGAGGGCAAGCCCTCCCTAACCCTTCCAGCCTCCGCTCCTGGACCTGAGGAGGCCCTCACAACAGTCACAGTGGCCCCAGCACCTCGCCGGGCAGCTGCCAAGTCTCCTGATCTGTCAAACCAGAACTCAGACCAAGCCAATGAGGAATGGGAGACTGCATCAGAGAGCAGTGACTTCACCAGTGAGCGCCGAGGGGACAAAGAGGCACCCCCACCAGTACTGCTGACACCCAAGGCTGTGGGAACTCCTGGGGGAGGTGGAGGTGGAGCCGTACCAGGTATTTCAGCCATGTCCCGCGGAGATCTGAGCCAGAGAGCCAAGGATTTGAGTAAACGGAGCTTCTCAAGTCAGCGGCCAGGCATGGAACGGCAGAATCGGCGCCCTGGCCCAGGGGGCAAGGCTGGCAGCAGTGGCAGCAGCAGTGGAGGAGGCGGTGGGGGTCCTGGAGGAAGGACCGGGCCAGGACGAGGCGACAAGAGGAGCTGGCCCTCTCCCAAGAACCGAAGGTGGGTAGGAACAAACAAATTTATTGTGGTTTAAAAATTGGAGGAGGGGGAAAAAGCCTGAGGGAAAGATAAGTTTGGGTGGAGTGGAGATTGTGGCCTGAGGGGCCATGGGCTCTAGAATGTCAGTAGGATTTCCATGTCTGGCTAAGGCAACTGGAAAGCGGTTGGTAGGGTGTTAGAGTCAAGAACACCCACCTATGTATTCATTGCTGGTTCTTTGCTTTCCAGTCTGTGCATCTGTATGCATAGGAATCCTTAGAAGGACTCAAAAACACCTGGACTTTAATAGGGAAGAGAATAGGTTGTAAGCAGAAGTTGGGAAACATAACTTGTGGGAAAAAGTAACGATTTAGTGGATACTGGAGCTAATGCTCTGTTTTCTCCAGTCGTCCTCCAGAGGAGCGTCCCCCGGGGCTTCCCCTGCCTCCCCCACCTCCCAGCAGTTCTGCTGTCTTCCGCCTGGACCAAGTTATCCACAGCAACCCTGCTGGCATCCAACAGGCTCTGGCCCAGCTTAGTAGCCGTCAAGGGAGTGTAACTGCACCAGGGGGTCATCCAAGGCACAAGCCTGGGCTTCCCCAAGCCCCTCAGGGCCCCTCTCCTAGGCCCCCAACCCGATACGAGCCCCAGAGGGTCAACAGCGGCCTCAGTTCTGGTAAGCTGGAGGGGTTATGGGTGGGAATATCTCCATCCCCAGAGAAGGTCAAGTGCTGGAGGGAGCGGGTGGAGAACCTGGCCTAGGGACCCTGCTGCTGGGTGCGTTTCTGCAGGGAGCAAGGGTAGAAGAATTGGGAGGTGGAGTAGAGAGGAAAAGTTAGGGTCAGTGGCAGAGCCAGGCAGATGCTGACCCTTTTTCTCTTTCCCAGACCCCCACTTTGAGGAGCCGGGGCCAATGGTGAGAGGGGTGGGTGGGACTCCTCGGGACTCTGCCGGGGTTAGTCCCTTTCCCCCTAAACGTCGGGAGCGGCCTCCCAGAAAACCAGAGCTGCTACAGGAGGTAAGGGATGGGTTTGAGATTGTGCTTCACTGCACTCTTACTCGTGAAAATTCTTCTGGGTTATGTTTTCTCTGTTTTCTTTCCTGTTTCTTTCACTGTGTTTTTACTCCAGAATTCTCAGTATTAGTCTCCCATGTGTCTCCCTTGTTGTCCCCACACCCTGTGTCACCCCACTCTGTCCTGGCTTCCTATAATTCCCAATTCCCACCCAATTCATGTTTTGCTTCTGGCCCTTCTCATCTGTAGGAATCTTTGCCACCTCCTCATAGCTCTGGATTCTTGGGCTCTAAGCCTGAGGGCCCAGGCCCTCAGGCAGAGTCCAGAGATACAGGCACAGAGGCCCTGACCCCTCACATCTGGAACCGTTTACATACTGGTGAGTAAAGCTGAGTGAAAGGACTATGGTAGAAGGGTTAAGAATGAGAGGGGCTTCTGAACTGTCATCTCCTCACTTCTCTTCTGGTTGGTGCTCCCTTCTCCAGCCACTAGCCGAAAGAGTTACCGGCCCAGCTCCATGGAGCCTTGGATGGAGCCCCTGAGTCCTTTTGAGGATGTGGCTGGCACAGAAGTGAGTGAGGGTGGGAGGGTGTGTCTGAGCTGGGACTTTTTTGAGCACTGGTCATACCCCCCACCTGCTCTGGGTTGAGTCTGGAGCTGTTCTCTCACTTGGCTGTCCCCTTTCTGCAGTTTGTATGTGTGCATCAGTCAGGTATTGGGGTGCTTTCTACCCTGACTTAACTAGCTCCTTCTCCACTCCTCTCAGATGAGTCAGTCTGACAGTGGGGTGGACCTGAGTGGGGATTCTCAGGTGTCATCAGGTCCCTGCAGCCAGCGAAGTTCCCCTGATGGAGGACTCAAGGGGGCAGCAGAGGGACCCCCCAAGAGGCCTGGAGGCTCCTCACCCCTGAATGCTGTTCCTTGTGAGGGTCCACCTGGCTCTGAACCTCCTAGGAGACCACCACCTGCCCCCCACGATGGGGACAGAAAGGTAAAAGACCAAAAAAGGATAAGGGGAATGTTTCCAGGAATCTGACTTTGGCCCTACCTTTTTCTGCTTTTTCTCTCTGCGTGTGTGTTCTGGGCATTCCAATTTGGATTTCCCTTTCCCTCCCCCAATGCACTTTACTGTGTGCCCAATCCAGGAGCTGCCCCGGGAGCAGCCTCTGCCCCCTGGCCCCATTGGCACAGAACGATCACAGCGTACAGACCGAGGCACAGAGCCTGGCCCCATTCGGCCATCCCATCGACCTGGTCCCCCAGTCCAGTTTGGCACTAGTGACAAGGTCTGTGTGGGCTGGATCTGGGTATCCTGAGTTGGGTGGAGAGAAGGGAAGGACTAAAGGTGGGACATAGAGGACACATGTCTGTCACGGGACAATGTCTCCTGCCTTCTTGTGATCACAGGACTCAGACTTACGCCTAGTGGTAGGAGACAGCTTGAAAGCAGAGAAGGAGCTAACAGCATCAGTCACTGAGGTAAGTGGGAGTAAGAGTTTGGTGGAAAGGCCCAAGATTTCTGGGGAAGATTGCTGGGAGTGACCAGGGCGTCCAGGATGCCAGACATCCCTCTCCACGAGGCCTCTCCTTCCCAGGCCATTCCTGTATCACGAGACTGGGAGCTGCTTCCCAGTGCTGCTGCCTCTGCTGAGCCACAATCCAAGAACCTGGATTCTGGGCACTGTGTCCCGGAGCCCAGCTCCTCAGGCCAGCGCCTGTATCCTGAGGTTTTCTATGGCAGTGCTGGGCCTTCCAGTTCTCAGGTAGGCCCCGCTTCCCATTGCATGACCCCTTCAGTGAATAATAATTTTTTTCTGCCTGGTATGTATTTATAATCAAGCCTTTCTACGTTGCAGAGTTGTGAGATACCACTTTGTCACATCATTTTTCTCCCTACTTTTTGCTTCTATGGGTGGGATGGTGATCTTTTTTCTTGACCACAGATACTAAAGCTGTTTCAACCGTGCTCCTCTCCTGCAGATCTCTGGGGGAGCCATGGACTCTCAATTACATCCAAACAGTGGAGGCTTCCGCCCTGGGACACCCTCACTGCACCCTTACAGGTAAGACTCGATGCCTGTGGATCACAGAAGTACTTGGAGATGTGTTTCGGGGAGAGGGAAGGGGAAGACACAGTTCTAGGGTACTAGAAGCTAGTGGACTTAAGGCATTGCTAGGACTCTGGCTTCCTAACAGCTTTTCTCCCCACAATTTATTTTCAGATCACAGCCCCTATACCTACCCCCCGGCCCAGCCCCTCCCTCAGCACTGCTCTCTGGGTTAGCTCTCAAGGGCCAGTTTCTGGATTTCTCCACAATGCAAGCTACAGAGCTGGGGAAGTTGCCGGCTGGAGGAGTTCTCTACCCTCCACCTTCCTTCCTCTACTCTCCGGCTTTCTGCCCCAGTCCTTTGCCTGACACATCGTTGCTTCAGGTAAGAGGGGGGCAGGTATTAGATATTGGGGGATAGGGTAGGGAGAATGATTTTGTGGGGGTTGATATATTTCTCCCTGTTTCCCGACAGGTACGCCAGGATCTGCCATCCCCTTCGGATTTTTATTCTACTCCTCTGCAGCCTGGTGGCCAAAGTGGCTTTCTCCCTTCAGGGGCTCCTGCCCAGCAGGTATATTGTATCTTCACACTTCCCCTTCATTTGATTTCTCTGTCCAGTTGCTGGCTTTGATTTTCCCTGGTTTTCTGACATTCCTCCCTGCCCCCAACATGCACACCCAAATTTCTTGTTACAGATGCTTCTACCCATGGTAGACTCACAGCTGCCTGTGGTGAACTTTGGCTCCCTGCCGCCAGCACCACCTCCTGCCCCACCTCCCCTTTCTCTGTTACCTGTGGGCCCTGCTCTGCAGCCCCCCAGCCTGGCTGTGCGGCCCCCACCTGCTCCTGCTACTCGGGTGCTGCCTTCACCTGCCAGGCCCTTCCCCGCTAGCTTGGGGCGAGCAGAGGTAAGGTACAGGAACTGAGGGGCTAGGGAGCGCCAAGACTTGGGAGTAGGGATTCTGTATTTCAAGGTAGGCAGCTCATGATTTTTTTCCCCTCAGCTGCATCCAGTGGAACTAAAGCCGTTCCAGGATTATCAAAAACTGAGCAGCAACCTTGGGGGACCTGGATCATCACGGACTCCCCCAACTGGAAGGTGAAACGGAATAGGGATGTGGACTTTCCAAGTGCTTCCTTACTTTGGAACCAGGGTCTGGATCCTAGGCTTGCCTTAGACGCCCTTCTTCCCTTAGGTCCTTCTCTGGCCTCAATTCCCGTCTCAAGGCCACGCCTTCCACCTACAGTGGAGTCTTCCGCACCCAGCGCGTCGACCTTTACCAGCAGGTGAAGGAGAAACCCTTGTGGCCCCAACTCTAAATTCGAGTTGCCACCTGATTTCCTGTCCTTCCGTCTCATCGCTGACCTCTCACTGTGACTCACTGTTTAACACATGCCTGTCCCCTAGGCCTCCCCACCAGATGCCCTGCGCTGGATACCTAAGCCTTGGGAGCGGACAGGGCCGCCACCTCGAGAAGGGCCCTCCCGACGGGCAGAGGAGCCTGGGTCCCGAGGGGACAAGGAGCCTGGGTTGCCCCCACCCCGCTGAGGGAGTTCCTCTTGCCCCCTACCCCCGGGGCTTGTATATAGATTATAAATATATAAGGGGGAAAGGGGTGGGCGGGGAGGGGTTCTGGGGCTGGGGCCTCACTTCCCCTCCTCCCCCTTCCCCTGGTCCCCTGTCCCTGGGGCTGTTTGTTAAAAAAGAGTAATAAAAGGATTTAAAAAAAAAAACTTCTACAATGATTTGGGGGATGAGTTGTTTGCATTGTCTTAAAGCATGGTGCTGAGTGATCTGTAGTTTCAGTCAGGGAAATATTCATTACTTATTCCAGTGAGCTGTTGAAACTAAAAACATGACCATCGTATTGGATCTTTAAATTTTTGTGAGTCTGGAATTTGGGCTGAGCTCAGCTGGATAAATCTGCTTTTTTGTGCCAGTGAGCGAGGTCAACTGGTTATCAGTCTGCAGCTGACACCTGGGCTGGTCCCAATATGGCTTCCTTTGCATATCTAGGGCCTTGGTGGGACATCTGTAACATTACTGGGTTATCAACCAGTGTCTTCACATGGACTCTCCAGCAGGCCTGTTAAATGTCCGTGAGCTCATGTTCCAAGAGGTCTAGCTGGAATTTTCTAAGCTTATGCCATGCTTAGTTGATAAGAGCACTAAACTAGCCAAGGTAGGGGATGGGGGGGTTTAGAAGGGACTTCAACTGCATCTCAAAGGGACTAGCAAAGAATTTGCAGCCATGGGACTTCAGTTCTTTATGATGAACTAAGGGGAAATCTCTGTTAAGGCCTCAATGTTGGAGCACACTTAAGGGGCTCTTTGAATTGGATAGACCAATTCCAGCATTGTCAAACTAAGTGGGATTTCACATGGTAACGCTGCATGCTAGTTATGCTAAAGACTATACTTAGGTCTGCAGCTGCTCAGAAACTTTTTTTGATGGGTAATTTGAGAGCTCTATGCTAGTGTGCACCTGGAATATGCTCCCAACTCAAAATACAGGTTTTTTATTTATATATAAAGTGCTTTCGCACAAAAAATACAAACATCAGGCTGGGCGCGGTGGCCCACGCCTGTAATTCCAGCACTTTGGGAGGCCAAGGCGGGTGGATCACAAGGTCAGGAGTTCGAGACCAGCCTGGCCAATATGGTGAAACCCTGTCTCTACTAAAAATACAAAAATTAGCCGGGCGTCGTGGCGGACGCCTGTAGTCCCAGCTACTCAGGAGGCTGAGGCATGAGTGAGAATCACTTGAACCCGGGAGGTGGAGGTTGTAGTGAGCCGAGCTCGAGATCGGGCCACTGCACTCCAGCCTGGGAGACAGCAATACTCTGTCTCAAAAAAAAAAAAAAACAAACATCAAAACTGGCTTGTACAATTTAGCGTGCTGAGTAGAACACAACAGTGTTCCAAGGAAGTATTAATTTAAAAAAGTTCACACAAGATTAAGGGACACACTACCTAATGGAGACAATGTAGAGAGAAAGCAGCCAGAAAAATCCGACTTTTATTTCTTAAATACTGTGAAGGAAGAGGGGGGAAACGGTCCCCTGATGAGGAAGGGCCATAGAGCAAAGAGCTAAGGATCATCAGCAAAGGCCCGCTGGGCATTGGGGAAGCGCTGGGGACTGTAGTTGGGGTCTTCCTGCAGTCGTTTTTGTATATCAGACCGGAGCTAAAGAGAAAAAGTAAGCAGGTTGGAGAAACGCTGGCCAAGTCCCCATGATCCCAGCAAGCACACAAGGCCATCCCTCAGAAGCTAACATTTCCCCCCCCAAGCACACTGTCAAATAGCCCGGGGTGGCACTGTCAAGCCTTCCCAGATGCCAAAGGGGAAAACAAATGGTAGCACCAGGCTGACCAGTTCATCGCTGAAGGGATCCAGGGAAGAGGGACCCTAGCCCAACCCCTCCCACTAGACCATCCCTATTCTGCTTCAAGGTGGCACCTGCTGCCTGTAGCTCTCCTGAACCTCTGGTGCCTCCAGGTCCCGGCTCAGGCTCTCGGGGCTCGTCAGGGGCCGAGCTCCGGCTGCCTTAGCTGCCCGGCTCACAGCCTCTGAGAGAAGCAGCTGGGGGCCCTCACCCTGCATCGTCTGGGGGACAGGGGGTTGGGAGGGAAAAGAGGATCAACGTCAGATCCAGTGCCACCATCCGGCTCACCCTTTCCATGAGTCAACCACTCCACTGAGTCTCCATGCTAGTGGAGAGAGGGGAAATTAAGAGTCCAGGATGTGGTTTTTACAGCAGAAATGCCTTCCTAATTCTCTTTGGCACTAGCCAAAACTAAAGTGAATGTGCTTGAACGTGCTCTTCAAAACGAAAGGCAGAAGGGGTCAAGCCATCCGGGATTCAGAGCTAGGTAATCCACAAGAGGAAACCCACCTTAAAGGAAAATGGGATCTAAGCACATGGGGATTAGGCAGCTGAGCAACTAATACAGGACTGCTAGCAAACAGACTAAGGTCAAGTCCTGTATGGTTATGCAACAACCAAGAGCAAGTCTGAATCCCAGAAAAAGTTTCCTCATTAAACGAGGGGAGGGGAGACTGAATAACAAGAGCTCCCACCATCTCTACATAGTTTGATTCCAGGCATGACGGGGAAACCTGGATAGAGAGAGAGGCTTAGGGAAGAGGAAAACCAACCTTGCGTCTCTTGGCAGGCATACCACTGAGGTAGGCATCACTCAGAGGGGGCTGCGGTTTCACCTTCCGCTGGCTCTGAATGTCCTGCTGGATAATAGGGACCCATTCCTGGGGAGGAAAAGAGAAAATAGTAATGTCCTTGACTTTCAGCTGCCATGACCCACTGGATTACTTCCTGACACTTACTGGGGGGACTGCAGCTGCCCAAGGTTCTGTCTCAGCTGAAGCTCCATCCTGTTCATCCCGGGAGCCCCCCTCAGGAGCAGGAGGTGGACCTCGGGACATGGCCTCTTCTGCTGTTGTTCCAGGGGCTGGGGAAGCATTCTCCCGCTGGGTGTCAGATGGCGGGAAGAGCCAGGCTTCAGAATTTTTAGCCTCCAAACCTTTCTCCCCCAGCCCTCCACTCCACATTATCTGGCCCCTCAACCTCCCCCTCTCTAGAGTACCTGAGGCTCAGGGGAAGCTCTTTCTGCTCCCTGAACTTCCATTGGCTCCTCAGGAAGTGGCTGTGAAATTAAAGAACACCATACTTCCTCTCAGATCTCTCCAGTTCTCTCAAGTACCCTGACCCCATCGCCCAACAGGTCCCTTACCTGGGGGGGATCACCAACCCTGCGAACGTATCTGAGAATGGCATCAGGGCCTACAGGCATGTGCTCCAGTACCACCTGAAGCCTCAGTCCCATCATAGTGGTCAGCCAGCTCACCAAGGAGGGATTCACCCCACGAGACATACGACGCTGAGGGACAGAAAGCAGATTTAGAACACAAAACCCTCAACCACCTTTAGAAATAGATTAGATCCAGGTTACAGAATGTCAGTTTAGAAAAGAAAAATGAAAACTGCAGAGAATGGAAACCTCAGGAAACAAAAGGCTAAGGATCTGGGGCTAGGTGGTGCTTACAATTCGGCCATTGATAACAGCAGCAAGCTCCATCTGCTGTCCCCCCAAGCAGTGCAGGTTTAGGGCCAGGCATTCAAACAGGCCTTGGTTACACAACTCCAGCAACCGGGCCCCAAATCCACTATCTGTGGGCAAAATACAAGGAGGGAATGCTGGCACGTGGCAGCCCTGCACATGCAACAGGCCCCACTTGCCCCCGCCTGGCCAGCCCCTGACCTGTGCAATGCAGCACATGCGCAGCAATGCTATTAAACTGCTCTTGGAGAAATTCCAGGTTTGTCCGGATGATGTCCACACCTGGCTGAACCTGCACCAAGGACTGAGAGACAAGATAACACAAAGATCCCAAAATCAAGAATCATAAGACTGGGAGTGGAGGAGGCAGCTGCCTTGACCAGACCCAGGAGAGGAAAGGAATAGAGAAGGGTTACTCACAAAACTCTCCCGCACATACTCTTCTAGCCCCGTGATCAATGTGTGGGTTGCCATCTGTGGAGGAAACAGAACAGGTTTAGTTCAAAGCCTCAGTCCTCCCAAGACTTCCACCTCGACCCCAACAAGTCCAGGGCTTGTGTGGGGGCAATTGGAGCTTTACCTGGCAGAGAAGCAGTCAGAAATAAGGAATAAAATGTGCAAAAGAGGAGAGTTCTGGGGCCCCTGGCCTTCATTTACCCGGATGTTACTGGGTGTGGGCTCCTGACCACCCAGGTAGTGCTGGTGGAAGAAGGATCGCAGCTGGGGCTGGAGCCGTTGTAGTGGCTGGAAATGCCCATGGAGAAGCATCACTACGTCCACCATAGAGAAGTTCTGGCACAGAAGAGAAAGCAAGGCCCCAAAGAATCCTGGGGGACAAGGGCAGATGTTAGCAATGGCCTTTACCACCTGGCCTGCCCACCCACAACCAGATCATCAACCTCATCCCACCTTGGCAACACCCCTAAACCAAGGCCATCTACATTCCTCTGGCTGCCCCTTCCTGGAGCAAGCCAAAGCATCCTTTTTGCTCACCAAGGGCCCCATCAGCTCCAGGCTCAAAGATGTTGCTGGATCCACTGAGGCGTTGTATGAAGGCAGCAATACTTTCACTGCTGCCAGCCCGAGCCCCCAGGGAGCCCAGCAGGGAGCTGAGCACACCCTGCACCACTGAGGTAAAAAACTCCGGTGACAGGCTCTCAAGACCCAGGCCTCCAGGACTCCCTGCGCCACCAGAAGGGGAGCCTGGTGGGGGCATGGTCTGCTGCTCTGGGGCAGGTGGTGGGGGTGGAGGAGGTGGGGGTGGTGGAGGGGCTGTCTGTGTTGCCTGGCAAATAAAGAAAGAACAAAGAACAGAAAGTGAGGTGAGAATGAAGACACACGGAAATAATACGGCATCAAGAGGGCACAAACCAACGGGTCTGGGAAGATGGGGAGTTACATTCTGATCTTCACTGCTTAAAGCAGAAGTATGGTAGGTATTTAACAGAGTCAGGCAGCACAACTTACCTACCTCTTCCTCTGAACAGGCTGTCAGAAAGCAGTGACACTAATTACTATACTTTCTTTTTCTAAACCTCATTTTCTTCATCTTTAAAATGAAAGGTTCAGAGTCAATGAATTCCCAGGGCCCCTTCCCCTAACATGTCACTAGGGGCTCTTACCCAGTGGTTATATAATGGCAAGAAGGTACCACTGCCTGGCTGGGCCGGGGGACAGGAAGATGAGGTGAATGGCAAGCCAGCCACTCACCTGCAAGAAGTCAGTCATGCCTTGGAGAAAGGCAGGGACACCAGGCATCGCCACAGTGATGGTGGGAGAAGCCACACCAGACCCTCCAGCCCCTGGCCCTGCAGGCCCTAGCAGGTTCCCCAGAAGCTGAGAGAACTGAAGATCAGCCATGGAGGGTTGAGGGGTGGGTGGAGGCTGGGCAGGCCCCCCAGGAGCGGGGCCAGCTGTGGTAGCTGTGTTGGTGGTGCCAGCACTGGCAGAAGCAGTGGCAGGGGCTGGCGGTGGAGCCATACCTGGGGTCCCCTGAGCTGTAAGAAACCAAAAAAAGAAAGCTGGGCTGAGCATGGTGGCTCTTGGCTGTAATCCTAGCAACTTTGGGAGGCCAAGGCATGAGAACTGCTTGAGCCCAGGAGTCTAGGCCACATAGCAAGACCCCATCTCTACCAGAAAAAAAAAAAGACAATTACTAGCCAGGAGCTAGTACTGCTAGCTACTCAGGAGGCTGAGGTGGGAGAACTGTTTGAGCCCAGGAGTTCAAGGTTACAGTGAGCTTTAACTCACTGGATTGCACCATTGCACTCCAGTCTGGGTGACAGAGCAAGACTCTGTAACTTAAAAAAAAAAGAAAAAAGCTGGCCGGGCACGATGGCTCAAGCCTGTAATCCCAGCACTTTGGGAGGCCAAGGTGGGTGGATCACAAGGTCAAGAGTTCGAGACCATCCTGGCCAACATGGTGAAACCCCCTTCTCTACTAAAAACATAAAAAATTAGCTGGGCGTGGTGGCGTGCACCTGTAGTCCCAGCTACTCAGGAGGCTGAGGCAGGAGAATCACTTGAACCCGGGAGGCAGAGGTTGCAGTGAGCCAAGATTGTACACTGCACTCCAGCCTAGCAACAGAGTGAGACTCCATCTCAAAAAAAAAAAAAAAAAAAAAAAAAGCTGAAACCTGAAGACACAAGACACTACAGCAGCCCCATTCCAGGAAAGCAGGAACCAAGAAAATATGGAAAGAACTGGAAAGTGCCAGTGAGCAGACTAGGAAAGGAGTTTAAACTCTGAGTGGGGAAGAATGAAAACTCACCCACAAGGACTGGCTGCATAAGAAGCTGCCCCACAAGGCCGCTCACCATCTGGGCCAACGAGGCATTGGTACCCAGACCGGCGCCCTGCTGGATAGAGAGCAAGGGAGAATTTCAGACCTGCCCTTCCATGCACCACCACAGGAGTCTCTCCCTAGACTGTTACGCACTAGAACTCCCCGACCCTTGCTCACCAGTGTCCCAGAGACTGGGGGCCCTCCAGGATGGGAAGGCCGAGCCTGTGGAGGAGTGGGCCGGGCAATCACCACCCGGGTTGGAGCTGTTGGGAAGCCTGGCACCTGCTGTCCTGTGGGTGGCAGAAGAGACAGACCGAAGAGGGCTGAGGGCCAGGCCCTTGCCAGCCAGCTGCCACCATGGACTGTGCCCTACCTCCCAAGCCTCCCCTTCCAGGTCATTACCTGCGGCCGCGGAGGCAACAGCTGCCACCATGGCCTGATGAGTGATCTGGTGGGCGACGGCGTGCATGAACTCAGGGGGCAGGGAGGGCAGCTGGATGAGGGTGGAGCCTGGGGGGCGGGTCTGATGTAACCTTGAACCTGGACCCCTTCAACCCACCCACTCAGCCCTTCCCTTTCTCTACCCAGAGCTCAGCCTGCCCTGATGCCCTCACTCTTACCCAGGGTTTGGCCATGACCAGGGGGTCCCAGGGGGCCAGTGGGAGCACTCGGAACACCACCAGGCTGTGTGCCAGAATCTGGGCAGGGAGACAGAGACAGTGGCCCTGAGGTAGGTAGGGCCAAGGCCTAACTATATCCTTCTGAGATCAGGCATACTTCAGGCCCATAATCCCCCAATCAGAAAGCCTGCCTTTCCCTCCATCTAAACAGGGAGAGGTACTCCCTTCACCACACAAACACACCTCCAAAGACAAACCAACCCCCACACCCCCCACATCTGTCTACTTAAGCTTCTGCTCTGGTCCCCAGGCTACCACCACCAGCATGTGCCTCTCCCTTCCCCACCCTGTTCCCTCACACCTCAGCATGAACCTCCCTCATCATGCTGATCCTGCTCTTCTCGCCAGCAACTATTCTCACCTTGAATGTTCATGTGCATCATGACCACGGGTTCCACACTCTGGTGGGAAATCCGGATGACCCTCGGGTGGCTGGTGGCTGGCGGGGGAGCTGGACCTGGCGGGGGAGCCCCCTCAGCTGAGGACTCGACATTGGTAGAAGACGGAGCCACGGATGAGGCCTGCCCAGGACCAGGGGGAGGTGCCTCTGCATTGGGAGTTGGGGGGGGCCGAGTCCCATTTCCTGTCATGGTCACAGTGGTTCCCACATTGATCTGAAAAAGACAGATGGACAGGCAGATGTGAGAAAAATACAAGAGCCTAACCAAGAAAACCTCATGATAAACCTCTAAAGTATCTCCAGCCTTCATCACCATGTTTCCAGTCTCCTCCTTTCCTAACCTCCTTCAGGCCCAGTAGCTACCCTGGGTCACTCTATCAACACCCCTCACTCTCCCTCAGGCCAGACTCCCCCTAACCCACCTGTATGGGAATGGCTGCCTGCTGGAGCACCATGGGGGTGGTGTAGTGAGACATAGGCCGGACCACATGCAGGTGTCGTGGGGGCGTGCAGGCCAGATTGCAGCGCAGGTCAGACAGTGCAACAAAGGTGTTGCCCAGCAGTCGCAGGCTCTCCCCTACCAAGTTGATCAACCGCTGATCCTCCTCCCGGCCCTCGTGCTGCGCACAACCAGCCAAACACAAAAAGGCAGAAAATATCAAGCTGGAGTCCATCTCACTAATAAAAGCAATAATGCCTACTGAGAATACCATGTCCTCCAAAACTTTCAGTTATATCCTTGGAAGTTTACATGTAGACCAAATCTTTGCAAATAAATTATATCTTATTCACATAAGGAACATCCTATTAAAACACTACTATGAATCAGTAAGTCATCATATACTGATCTCCTGTACTTTACATTTTCTAAATTCATTCAGGGGCACAAGGGGTACGATACGAGGACAGTGCTTACAGCAAAGATTATCACCTTCTCTGTAAGGGAGGACAAAATCACTTACAGGTTTAGAGAGAAATTGTTTTGTTGCAATGTGTGTTTTTTTGTTTTGTTTTGTTTTTTGAGACAGTCTCGCTCTGTCACCCAGGCTAGAGTGCAGTAGTGCAATCTCGGCTCACTGCAACCCCCTCCTCCCGAGTTCTAGCGATTCTCCTGCCTCAGCCTCCTGAGTAGCTGGGATTACAGGTGTGCACCACTACATCCAGCTAATGTTTATATTTTCAGTAGAGATGGGGTTGCACCATGTTGGCCAGGCTGGTCTCAAACTCCCAATCTCAGATGATCCGCCCACCTTGGCCTCCCAAAGTGCTGGGATTACAGGCGTGAGCCACTGCACCTGGCCCTGTTGCAATGTTTTTCCAGGGAGGGAAAGAGTTATCTGCATTTCAGCCTGTTCTGTTTTGGGAGTACTGGGGCTGAGGAGAAAGGGCAGGGCCATCAAAGGGCTCACATTGTTATTGTAGTCCGTGGTGGCAGCAGCACCCAGAACCTCGTAGTAGCGCTGCAAGAAGGGCTGGAGGCGACTCTCCAGCCGCTGTAGCTCCTGGAGCACCTCGACATACTCCGCAGGGGAAGGATGGCTGTGGACAAACCCAAGGGGCAATGAGCCAAAGCCTTCCTCAGATTCCCACCCTCACAGTCAACAGGGACCACATGTGCCCTCTTTCTCCCTGGTCTCCCAGAGCCCTGGCCCAATCCTTCTCTGGACCAGCAGAGCTTCTATTCTCTTCAACCTCCGCCTCCCAGGTTCAAACGATTCTCCTGCCTCTGCCTCCCAAGTAGCTGGGATTAAGTTGCCTGCCACCACACCCGGCTAATTTTTGTTTTTTTTTTTTTTTTTTTTTTTTTGAGACAGAGTCTCGCTCTATCACCCAGGCTGGAGTGCAGTGGTGCGACCTCAGCTCACTGCAAGCTCCGTCTCCTGGGTTCACACCATTCTCCTGACTCAGCCTCCCGAGTAGCTGGGACTACAGGTGCCCGCCACCATGCCCAGCTAATTTTTTGTATTTTTAGTAGAGACGGGGTTTCATCATGTTAGCCAGGATAGTCTCGATCTCTTGACCTCATGATCCACCCGCCTCGGCCTCCCAAAGTGCTGGGATTACAGGCGTGAGCCACTGTGCCCGGCCTGTATTTTTTAGTAGAGACAGGGTTTCACCATGTTGGCCAGGCTGGTCTCGAACTCCTGACCTCAGGTGATCTGCCCGCCTCTGCCTCCCAAAGTGCTGAGATTACAGGCATGAGCCACTGCACCCAGCCAAAGCTTCTATTCTTTACTCCCACCCATGAGAGGATAGGGAGAAGAAAATGAACTGCTCCCACCCTCCCCACCACAATCCTGCACCTACAATGGTGAAAGACTAATTCTAAGAAAGAGAGCAGGCCTTCGTGAACTCAGAGGAGAATTCCGATCAGGCTCAGGAGATACCATTTGGATTTCCTTGCCGTAGGGAGAGCAGCAGTTCTTCTCAGCTGCCTGTCCTAGCGTCATTTACCTATACCGAGAGAGCCCCTCCTCGCCCCTCAATGCTAACCCTTCAACTAAGACCTCCAAGTAATCCTTTCCCTCCCTTGCCATGGTTCATTTCCTTCTCCCCATACTTCACTTAGGATTCCCCACCCACTAAAGATTCCCTCCATCTCTCACTTGGGTGCATTTGTTTCCGGGGCAGGTGTTGGGCCCGCTGGGGCTGGGCCAGGAGTGAGCTCCGGGTTCTGGGCTGGGGCACGCTCCTCCACTTCTTCTGCCTCCATGGGCTCCCGGGGAGGTGCTTCACTTTCAACTGGTTCTGATGTTTGAGAGCTCAAGGCTACTGGCTCCGGGGTCACAGCCGGTGGCTGCGGGGGCGGCTGACTGTGCTGCGGTTGGGGCCCTCCTCGACACTGAAGGTAGGGGAGAGTCAGGATACCAAAGGCAGGGTAAGACTGCTGCAGAGGATTACTCTACAGGAGACTGAACAGAGAAAGTATCCTAACTAGACTCCCTGAAGGCATGGCTCTGCAATTTTATCTCCGACTCGCTAGCAACTAGCATAAGACTGACACAAATTAGATGCATAATAAGCATCTGTAATTTTTTTTTTTTTTTTTGAGACAGAGTCTCGCTCTGTTGCCCAGGCTGGAGTGCAGTGGCATGATCTCAGCTCACTGTAACCTCCGCCTCCCAGGTTCAAGAAATTCTCTTGCCTCAGCCTTCTAAGTAGCCAGGCCTACAGGCGCGTGCCACCACACCCAACTAATTTTTGTACTTGTAGTAGAGACAGGGTTTCACCATGTTGGCCAGGCTGGATTGGAACTCCTGACCACACGTTATCCCCCTGCCATGGCGACCCAAAGTGCTGGGATTACAGGCAGGAGCCACCACACCCGGCCACAGCATCTGTAATATTTGTAAATAAATTTCTAACAAAGAGTAGAGATTGTGGTTTCCTTTCCTCCACAAGTTGGTTTCCCAGCCTCCACAAGTTAAGAGAGTAGAATCCTTTAATTGAAAAGAGATGCCATGAGACTAAGTCTGAAACAAACTCCCCAGATACCAGGCACCAAGAGGATTGGCAGAAATGAGAGAGCCTCACAAAGATACTTTTTCTGCCCAAAAGAATGAATACTGCAGAGAAGACTAGATTATGAAGGCCAAACCCTGTGGATGTGGCCAGTGAAGCCCTAACTCCCAGGCTGAGAGAAAAGGGAGAGGGAGGGTGGAGAGAGACCCTAGCCAGCCTTGCCCACTTACCTCCATCCGGGATAGTAAGGTCTGTATATCCCTGATCATGTGCTGAGCCATCACCAGCCGTACCCGGGGCTCACTCTACAATGAGAGAAGGTTTATCAGGGTAGGTTACAGATGAAGCCATGAGTTCTACCACCTACTAAATCAGGTCCCAGCCATCTCTCAGCCAGGTCCACCCCACCTCCCAGCCTCCTTCTCCCAGATCCCCTTCCCTGACCCTCGGAGGCCCCTCAATACCTGAATCGGGGCCTGTTCCATGTTGATGTGAACATCCACAGCAGAGCCGTCACTCTGGGGAAAGGGTAAGGGAAGTTGTTCTGGGAGAAGCCAACACTAAGGCCTCCACACCTCCAATTCATTCCCTGGAGCCCTACCTCCTTTTCTCCTTAAAGACTGAGACCAATAGCACACCACAGGGCCCCCTGAACCCAATCTAAAGATGGAAGCATCTATCTTATTAATTCCCTGGTGCTACCACAACCAAAGCTACCCACAAAAGCCCTCCCCTGTGGAACATAAGCTTACAGGAAGATTGAAGGTTCCAACCATGACATAGCTGTTGGCATTCCGGTCATGAACAGAGGCCCCAGGCCCCCGAGTACCAGGGGGGGATCCCCCACCATGAGTGGCTGAGGCAGACCCCGTCCCAGAAGATGCCCCAGAAGGGAGGTGAGTCTGAGGAGGAGCCCGTTCCACCAGGTGGATAACCTTTCCCCCAACATCTGCAGAAAAATAGACACACACCAAAACATAGTATGAACAGGTAAACCCATGGCCTCAGTTCATCCCTCCAGACAGTAGCCCCAACCTCTGAACTGCCTCCCCAGCCCCCTTACTGTATTCCTGAAGCTTCTTATCATCTTGCAGAACTCGTCCCTGGTAAATGAGCCGTTGTTTTTCAGATGGGATGCTGACAGAGGCAGCAATGTGCTCCTTAAACTCTTTTACATTCATCTGAAAAGAAGAGGCATGCACAGGAATGGAAAGAATGGAGGAAAGAGGAAGAACAAAGACAGACAACCGAGTTGTGGAGGTGAGGGGTAAAAACCACCACAGAATCACTACCCGTTTGTCTTGACCGTGAGATCATTACTGTGCAAACCCTTAAACTAAAGTAACAGCTGTCAAAATACAGACAATAAATTTGGCTTGGCGCGGTGGCTCACACCTGTAATCCCAGCACTTTGGGAGGCCAAGGCAGGCAGATCACATTAGGTCAGGAGTTCGAGACCAGCCTGGCCAACATGGTAAAACCCCTTTTTTACCAAAAATACAAAAAAATAAGCCAGGCATGGTGGTCGCCTGTAATCCCAGCTACTAGGGAGGCTGAAGCAAGAGAATCACTTGAATTCGGGAGGCGGAGGTTGCAGTGAGCCGAGATCGCATCACTACACTCTAGCCTGGGTGACAGAGAGGGACTCCATCTCAAAAAATTAAATAAATAAACTTAATGAAGCTCAGGTTATAGATCCAGGAAAAATAACACGGATGAAAAACAAAAAAAAAACACATGGACATTATATTATCTGTCTGGCATCCAAGGGAGTATGTGTCTAGAGACATCAGTGACCCCTTTCCAAACACAAGATGATACCAGTTTATTTACCAGACTCTCCTGTGATTTCCAAGATTAAAAAATGGCAAAGAAGATGGGGTCTGGTATCAGGTTAATGAAGAAAGACTAAGAAGATAAGAAAGCAAAAAAGGTCCCAGCACAGTGGCTCACACCTGTAATCCCAGCACTTTGGGAGGCCGAGGCAGGTGGATCACCTGAGGTCAGGAGTTCAAGACCAGCCTGGCCAACACGGTAAAACCCTGTCTCTACTAAAAATACAAAAATTAGCCGGGCGTGGTAGTAGGCGTCGTCTGTAATCCCAGATACTCAGGAGGCTGAGGCAGGAAAATTGCTTGAACCCAGGAGGCAGAGGTTGCAGTGAGCTGAGATTGCGCCCCAGCCCTCCATCCTGGGCAACAAGAGCAAAACTCCATCTCAAAAAAAAAAAAAAAAGCAAAAAGAGAAATATTTTTCCTAACTACAAACTGACTCTTGGGAAGTACCAGAGTATTTATATACATCTAATCACAAGTCTATATATGGCTTTCTTATATCCAGGTAATATCACATTTTAGAAAACCATGGACCACCCCACATGCAATTTGTCTCCAAGTATTACAGGAGTAAAGACACAGATAGCTATGTCCAAGGCTTTAAGCTCAAGAGACTCAAGCTATGCCATAAAAATTAGTAATTTCACTCAACAGTCTATCAAGGACCTATCTCCATTATGGGTTCTGATTTCTACCCTTTAAGAACACAGCATAGACCTGACCAATGTCTATCAGTAAGACACACTTGCTTAGGGTTCCTGTGCTGTTTCCCTTCCCAAAGGCCAGAGCCATGCCTGTCCCTTTGGGTTGGGGTCCACCCATGATGATGACACACAGATTCTTCCTTCCTCTGTATTTCCCTCTGCATTAAGTTCTATCCATGTGGAGGACAGAACAAAATCAGCCTCACTCACAAAACATCAGAAAACGTTCTACTGGAATACGAACAAAGGGATCAATAAAAATAAAATCTGAGGCCAGGTGCGGTGGCTCATGCCTGTAATACCAGCACTTTGGGAGGCCGAGGAGGGCACATCACCTGAGGTAAGGAGTTCGAGACCAGCCTGACCAACATGGTGAAACCCCGTCTCTACTAAAAATACAAAAATCAGCTGGGTATAGTGGCACACGCCTATAATCCCAGCTACTCAGGAGGCTGAGATAGGAAAATCGCTTGAACCCAAGAGGTGGAAGTTTCAGTGAGTCGAGATCGCGCCACTGCACTCCAGCCTGGAAGACAGGGCGTGACTCCATCTCAAAAAAAAGAAAAAAAAAGAAAATCTGGTGACCAGAAAATCAAGCTCATCTCTCAGGCTAAGGGGCCTAAACGAGGAAAAGCTAAAGGTGTCTTCCAGAACTAGTGAGGTGTCTCACCTGGGCCCCCACAATAAAGGTACGAGTTTGAGAGTCCAAGGTCTTCACCAACACCTCCAAGCTGTCAGGCTCCTCCACAGCGGTACTGGTACTATCATTAGGCTCCATGGCCGACAGGTCTCTAAAGAAGAACGAAGGAAGGAAGGCCCGCTGTTGCCCAGACCAGAGTGTACCCGAAAGACTCCCTAGCATTAATCCCTGCCCCAATACCTAAAAAGTTTCTCCTGCACACACACACATTCACACCTGTCCCCATCCCCCTTCTGATTCCGGGGCACAGGGAGAGAAACACAAAGGGCAGGAGATCGACGGCTTAGGGAGCTGGAGGACGAGAGGTGGGAGGGGCTCCACGACGCCAATCACAATAAGCAGGGAGCCAGTCAGATTAGGAAGGAAGCACGAGACCAGAGACTAGTGTCATCACCGGTCACGGCAGGACAAGCGCCCCAGAGGTCGGAAAATCCTGGGACAACGCGAAAGCGGTGGTCGCCCCACACTCTGCGGAGAAAGTGGTTTCGCGCACGCGCGCCACGCCCATCGAACCCTCCTAACTCACTATAGACCCGAAACGGCACTCACGGGGCGACAGACCTGCTAGCTGACTGCCCGCGTCTACTGCCTTCCCACGGTGTTCCAGCAGAACGGCACAACTAACCCACAGCCAAACACACACACACACACACACACACACACACACACACACACCCACCACCCCGCGGCTCCGCCCCCGACTTCCCCACGGACCGTCACTTCCGGTCTCCCCCAAACCTGCCACCGACGGCCACTTCCGTTTCCCCGATAGTATTTGGGGATCTCGAAGCGATACTTCCGGCTCCCCCCAGGTCCCCAAGCTTTACTTTTGTGGGGCACGACGAGAAAGTCCGCAGCCCCAAACAGTGAGTTTCTGAGGGCGAGTCGGGCCGGGGCCGGCCTAGGTGGGAGGGAGCCGAGCACCCCGAGGAGCCGCCACCGCTGTCGCCCGGGGGACCGTACTACGCCTGCGTGCGTCGCACTACGGATGCGTGGACACTTAAGCATCGCCCCACCCCCTCCCCCCTCTGGCGGCGTTCACGTCTGTGCGCGCGCTTGAGCGCTAGAAGATTGAGGTGGCTACCGTAAATGCCTGAAAAACAGTCACCAGCTGGGACTCTACCACTGCCTCGAGAGGGGCTATGGACGGTCGTATGGACCTTGGACTTTGGAGATGGGGGATTATGCCACATTCATCTATGTTTAAATCTTGGCAGGCTGATAATTTCAGGCGGCACTGTCCTAGCCAGCTAAAACTCTTCTCCACCCTATTGCCCTCGCTGCGCCCTTTCTTCTGTGCCTCCGGAAGTTACTCTTTCAGTAGGCGTTTGGGGGCGGCACTGGTCAATTTTGTTCTCGGTTGCTTGGTTGGGCTAGATTTCGGTTCTGCCGGGTGGGCGTTTTAAGGGCTGTGGGCGTCACATTCGTCGGTGTGTGGCCAAGGGGACATGACACGTTTTAGGAAAAGTAAACGTGCTACTAAGTTGCACGACTTGTCAAGAAAAGAGGCGCTTCCGAGTTTGAGAATTGGGAGCAAATGGAGTCCGAGTGGACAGAAAGACAAGACCCTGACCGTGGGGAATTTAAAGGCCGGCCAGCGTGCTTCCGAAGGCCGGGGGTGGAGGCATTACCGCCTCTCCGTGCCCTCTTCTCTTAACCTGCCCTGGGCCAAGGGCCTCGGCCCCGCGAAACTGCGAGTCCTCCAGAAAGACACATCGCTGTTGGGGTGTCCAACCTTTCTGGGATTCGTAGTTTATACCCAGGTCCTGGTTATATTTTAGTTAAGAGTTCTAATAAGCAGCTGTTTAATGAGCACTTGTGCCAGCCCATATACTACGGGTTTTGTGTATTATTTTAAAAAGCCTTTTAACGAGCTTTTAACATTTTTTAAGTGAGTACACTTAGACGAACATAAGTGTCAGAATTGACAAATCCAGGCCTACAGGACTCCAGATCGAGCACTTGTACTTTACTGCCCCAATAAAAAGCTGTTAACATTTTAGCTTATTTTTTTGAGAGAGGGTCTCGCTTTGTCGCCCAGGCTGGAGTGCAGTGGCGCAATCACAACTCACTGTAGCCTCTGCCTCCCGAGCCCAACCGATCTTCCCACCTCAGCCTCCCTAGTAGGGACCACAGATGCACACCACCACACCTGGCTAATTTTATTTTTATAGAGATGGGGTCTTGCTATGTTGCCCAGCCTGGTCTTGCAGACTTGGCCTCCCAAAGTGCTGGGATTATAGGTGTGAGCTACTGTGCCTAACCACATTTTAGCTTTTTATTACAAAAATTTTCGGCCGGGCGCAGTGACTCACACTTGGGAGGATGAGGCGGGTGGATCACGAGGTCAGGAGTTCAAGACCAGCCTGGCCAAAATGGTGAAACCCCATCTCTACTAAAAATACAAAAATTAGCCTGGCGTGGTGGCGGGCGCCTGTAATCCCAGCTACTTGGGAGGCTGAGGCAGAGAATTGCTTTGAACCCGGGAGGTGGAGATTGCAGTGAGCCAAGATCGCGCCACTGCACTCCAGCTTGGGCAACAGAACGAGACTCCCATCTCAAAAAAAAAAAAAAAAAAATTCAAACATTACACCAAAATAGAACAGTATTAATAAACTCTAATATACTGGTCACCCAAATTTTGTTTGTTTTTTAACTAAATCGCAAGCCTCAGCCCTCGGCAAATTTTTTGTGGCAGTCCATGGGATATAAATTTATCAAGCTAGGTGTGGTGGCTCATGCCTGTAATCCCAACACTTTAGGAGGCTAAGGTGGGCCGACTGCTTGAGCTCAGGAGTTTAATACCAGCCTGGGGCAACATGGTGAAACTCCGTGTCTACAAAAAATTAGCTAGGCGTGATGGCGTGCACCTATACCTCCTACTCGGGAATCATCTGAGCCGGGGAAGTCAAAGTCATGCCTGGGCGACAGAGTGAGACCCTGTCTTAAAAATAAATAAGTAAATAAATAATCTATCGAGGAAGATCCATCTCTCACAGCATTAACTGCTCCAGTCACTTGGTGCTATCCAAGGACAACCTATTTGGCAATTCTTACTGCCTATTATTTGAGAACTTATTACCCACCAGAAACTAAGTGCTTTGCAAACATTACTATTAATTATAGCAAATATATACTTTGGACTTACCATGTGCAAGTCTTTGCTAAGGGCTTTATGTGCATTATTTCATTTAATCCTATAAGATTGATGATTTGCCAATTTTACAGATGAAAAAACAGACATAGCAGTTAGGGGTTGGTGGTGTTTTGTTTGTTTGGAGACAGAGTCTCTGTCGCCCAAGCTGGAGTGCAGTGGCACAATCAGGGCTCATTGCAGCCTCGACATCCCAGGCTCAAGCAATCCTCCCTCCTCAGCCTCCCTAGTAGCTGGGACTACAGGCGTGTGCCACCACATCGGCTAATTTTTGTATTTTTTGTAGAGACAGAGTTTTGCCATGTAGCCCAGGCTGGTTTTGAACTCCTGGGCTCAAGCCATCCGCCCACCTTGGCCTCTCAAAGTGCTGAGATTACAGGCATGAGCTACCTGCCCTGCCTGTAGTTAGGGTTTGGACACATTCTGCCTGACACCAACATCTATCCTCTCTAACAGCCAGATTACATAGCCTCTTTGTAGTAATAAATGTTGAGTGAATGTGTCAGTGAACACTGCCAGGGTATACATATTTTTCTAATTGTAAACTAAAGAGAGCAATCCACCGTGCCCCAGCACCTGCATCATACCTGTTCTAAAGCATTTACCAAGTTGTATTGCAATGGTTTGTCTACACAGCTAGTTTTCCCTCTAACGACTTCTTCAAGATCAGGGGCTATGTCTTATTCGTTTTTTTATGTCCCCGGGGATTAGCTAGTTCTTGGGAAACAACTGGGACTTGGGATTCAAAACAGTTTGCTAAGTGAATGAATGAGAGGCCCAGTCAAGCTACTTCCCTTCAGTGCTGCACAGTGCAACAAATAACCAGCTCAGATACAGGTTCAAAGACCACAGGCTTCTCCCTGGACAGCTCAGCTCTCCTCATAACTCCTGAGAAACCCTGGACATGCCAGGGTGTACTATGGAGTGGTTGCATCCGGAAGAGGGGGAGGAAGTCCCAAACACTAAGTAATCCAGGTTTGGGTTGGAAAACAAGGTTGAAGTTACTCATTAGCAGGTGAAAGGGTCAAGGGTCGAACGCAAGGGAGCTGAAAGCAGAGTGGACTGAGCAGCCAGTAGGGGAGAGAGCAGTTAAGGCACACAGAGCACCAGCTCCCTCCTGCCTGAAGATGTTCCACCAAATTTGGGCAGCTCTGCTCTACTTCTATGGTATTATCCTTAACTCCATCTACCAGTGCCCTGAGCACAGTCAACTGACAACTCTGGGCGTGGATGGGAAGGAGGTATGGACTGAGATTGGGGGAAGCCTATGGTGGAGGCTCTGAGGGACTTGGGTGGATGGCCTAGGATGACTGGAGACCATCTTGGGAAAGGAAGAGAGGAAGGGGGTGTGAGTGTTGTGATAATGAAAGCAAGAAGAAAAATATCAGTACTGTGGCCATCAATGCAGAGGCATGGCAGAATTGGGGGGTGGGGTGGTTACCCAGGTTGACTGGGGAGGGGCAAAGAGGAAAAGTCATTTAATGACTCTTTGTCATGGATCCAATCCCCAGTTGGAAAGAGGAAGGCAGCCAACACCTCTACCCCTAAATCTTGCTGTTTTGACTGATGAAGAGGTTGAACCCATCCTGTGCTGGAACCCACCCTCTTTTGCTCCCTTCATTGTCTCTCCAGTTCCCAGAGGTCCACTTGGGCCAGTGGTACTTTATCGCAGGGGCAGCTCCCACCAAGGAGGAGTTGGCAACTTTTGACCCTGTGGACAACATTGTCTTCAATATGGCTGCTGGCTCTGCCCCGATGCAGCTCCACCTTCGTGCTACCATCCGCATGTGAGTGGTAAGGAGGCAGAAGCATCACTGGGTTCAGTCTCTGCCCAAAGTGTGAGAATCCACCCACCAAGAGCTGGCCTCTTAGCTGGTATATCTACTATGCTTGGCCCACGGAATTCAGTGGCTGTATTAATTGCCCTCTGGAGAAAGATGTGCCTAACCAATGCTTGGTAGCTTGAAACCCAAGGAGAGCTGGGCTTCAATAACAAATACAATGGAGTAAATAGAAGCCGGGACAGGCCAGACGTGGTGGCTCACGCCTGTAATCCCAGCACTTTGGGAGGCTGAGGCGGACAGATCACGAGGTCAGGAGATCGAGACCATCCTGGCTAACACAGTGAAACCCCGTCTCTACTAAAAATATAAAAAACTAGCTGGGCATGGTGGTGGGCACCTGTAGTCCCAGCTACTCACGAGGTTGAGGCAGGAGAATGGCGTGAACCCGGGAGGCAGAGCTTGCAGTGAGCCGAGATGGCGCCACTGCACTCCAGCCTGGGCAACAGAGTGAGACTCTGTCTCAAAAAAAAAAAAAAGAAGCTGGGACACTATGGTTGGGGTGATGCTCATTCTTTCCTCCTTGCCACCACCACCTCTGCAGGAAAGATGGGCTCTGTGTGCCCCGGAAATGGATCTACCACCTGACTGAAGGGAGCACAGATCTCAGAACTGAAGGTTGGTTCTTCCCAGCCCTCACCCTCCCTTGAGTTTGGTTCTGCATCTCTGTTCTCATACTTCTCCCACCTGCCTTGACAGGCCGCCCTGACATGAAGACTGAGCTCTTTTCCAGCTCATGCCCAGGTGGAATCATGCTGAATGAGACAGGCCAGGGTTACCAGCGCTTTCTCCTCTACAGTGAGTAGGGATACAAGGCAGGAAGGGTTGGAGGGAAACAAGGGAGGGCAGGAGAACTCCTCACTCTGGGTCCTATGACACCCTCCCAGGAAGAGCTAGGTGCTTCCAGGGGTTTTGACTGGCCTGACCCCACCTTGCCCTTCCAGATCGCTCACCACATCCTCCCGAAAAGTGTGTGGAGGAATTCAAGTCCCTGACTTCCTGCCTGGACTCCAAAGCCTTCTTATTGACTCCTAGGAATCAAGGTAAGGGGTTAAAATCTCATAAAACAGGATTAGGACTCACCAAGTCTTCTGGTGTTACAGGGTGAAAGAGGCTCGTGTGATGTCACCAGAGGGATGTGGCTAAGAGCTGTGATGTCACCTGAGGGAGGCAGGATGGGTTCTGGGCTACTCAAAAGAGAGGTTTCTGAGTTTGCACTGGATAAAGGGGGCAGAGGGTCATACGTGGAGGGAAAAGAGCCTTAGAGACTCCCCTTTGACACAGGGAATGAAAGAACACGTTCTCCCCCACCCCATTACTATCAACTTTGCTTTTCTCCCTGGACTTCCCTTCTGTCCTTCTTTTTCCCTCCCCCCATCACAGAGGCCTGTGAGCTGTCCAATAACTGACCTGTAACTTCATCTAAGTCCCCAGATGGGTACAATGGGAGCTGAGTTGTTGGAGGGAGAAGCTGGAGACTTCCAGCTCCAGCTCCCACTCAAGATAATAAAGATAATTTTTCAATCCTCATCTCATTCTGGGGTTTGTCTCCAGACGTCATTCCCACTCCTCCCATTTCAACATTCCCCCTGGATCCTCTACCACCTAAACTCCCAGCTGGACGGTGTCAGTAAGAACAGAGTGGCAGTAACTCTCACTTTGTAGTGGTATATTTAGGATTTGATGTGACACAGTTATTTATTGCTGAGTGAGCAAACCCCTAGCCCCCAAGTGGGGACTACAGGCTTCAGTGCTTCCCCCACACTGCCTGAGCTACCAGCCCTTCTGCACTGGCCCTCCTGCCAATACTGCCTGCACTGTCCCCACTCCCTCTGGCTCCCATGATCACCAGATCCGCCCTGCAGGCTCCCTGTCACCTGTGGGGCCCTATCCAGACCCCCTAATCCACTTGCCTAGCAGCCCCACTCTTCCCTCGATGGCTCAGATCCTGAGATCCAAGGAACACCCTGGGTTTCCCAACCACTCTCTTACTGCAGAGGTCTGTCTATCCTGCCCTGGTCTCCTCCACCCCAGGAGAGTTTTCAAAGGTAGAGAGGACCCTTTGGTCTTTATTCACCACCATCATACTTTTTTTTTTTTTTGCTTTTAAAAAGTGGAGGTGGAAAAAAAAAAAAAACTGAAGGTGGGAGAAAAGTAAAAGCAAAAATAACAGCTGGTGAATCCAAGAGCAGTGCCCTCACTGTCCATAAACACAAACACCCTAAATAGTTCTGTTCTCTCCTGTGTATGAAGGGGGGCCCTGCACCCTCGTACTCGGGTTTCTTCCCCATCCCTGAGGTCCCTATGCTTACAATTTGGGTCATGCCTCACACTTTTCTCCTAAAGCCCACACTCTCTTCACCCTTTGCCCCCACCCCACGGTCACAGCCCCTTTCCCGGGTCTCCCCTCTGCTCCTCACCTTCCCTCTCCAACCCCTCACTCTCCCAGTCAGTGGCCGCCTCATCCCCATTGGGCTCCCGGAGGCTGACAGCCAGCACCAAGGCCTGCAGGAGACCAAAGAGGCAGGCGAAGTGCAAAGGGTGGGCAGTAAGTAGGCTCAGAACAGCATGGAGCCCATGCAGGGCAGCCAGGAAGGACAGTAGGCCATGTAGCCAGAGGCCCAGCGGTCCACGCAGGCCCAGTGTGTCCAAGGCTGCCCGCAGTGGTCGTGAGCACAGGGCCAGCAGGGCAGAGGCCAGCAGCTCCAGAAGATGCAGGGTCAGGTTGGTGGAGATCTGCAGACACTCTTCTGGGCCCCCCAAGTACCGGGAGGGAGCTCCTGGTTCCCCCCGCAGCCAGCCCAACAGCTTCTCACGCCTACCAGGTTTCTCCAATGGGGCTCCTGGCCCAGGGACGCTCAGTCCCCCTTCAGGGGACACCCCTGGTCTCCTGGTGCCACCTGAATCCACATGATCCCATCTGAGTTTGGGACTGGCCCCTCCAGCCTCCAGTCTCCCAGACTCTTGAGTGCTAGAGATAGGCTGGTCCCACTTGAGGGAATCCATTCTTTTGCTCCCTAGCTGCTCAACTTGGGGCTCCTCCTTGCTTGGTTCGGAAGCAGCCCCAGAAACCCTCAATGCCCCCGAGTCCTTAGTCTTGGGATGCCCCACATCTTCCATGGTTTCTGGGGCACTATCCCAGTCACTTCCTGAATTCTCCGAGGAGCTGTCCACCCGTCTGGGTTCTGGGTAAGGCGGGTCAGGCCTCATTGGTTTCCGGCGGCCCCAAGGGCGAGGTAGCCAGCCACCAAGCCGTCGCAGGAACATGGCTGGGGTGTGTAATGGGCCCCCAAATTCTGAGGCTGCTTCCTGGCACTACTCAGACTCTCAGGATCTCCTCAGAAGCCAGAGTCTTTCTGGCTCAGAACAGGTATTTGCCTGGTGATGCAGTCCTACTCTGAATTCAGAAGTGGCTCCTCCCTTCTCTGAATAGTCATGCAGCCTCAAGTGTGGCAAGTAGTTTGCTTCCTCTTCAGTTCTGGGGTAAAGGGGGGCATACCCAAATTCATTCACCATCCACACCCCCACAATCTGAGATTCCAAGAATCTCAGATCTGACAAGGCCTGGGTCACCACCAGAGAGTCCTCTCTGCGTTTCCGGATTTCCTTCCCAGCAGGCAGCACCCCAAGTTTCACTCACCAAGGCCACACCCCAAGGTGTCCCAGAAACTGGGGAGGCAGTGCTCCATCCAATAAAGCGGGCAGGAAGGTGGCCCCAGGTCCTAGGTGCTCCTGGATCGTGTAGTCTTTAACTGCTGCCCCAAGGGACCTCAAGGAATAGGAATTCTCTTTGTTAGGAGGTGGAATGAAAGTGTCCAGCAAACTCCAGCCAGCAGCGTTCGTCCCTTGATTTAGAGGGCTATGATTTCTACAAAGTGGCCCGACTGGCCCGCGAACACGCAGCAGAGACGCGGCCTCCACAAGGTCAGAACTAAGATGTCCTCAGAGATCCCCAGTTACGAAGCAAAGCGCGGGCCTACTTCGGGACCTACGCGTCCGGGCGCTGTGCGCGGGGACCGCTCCCGGGCCCAGCGTCGGGGCCGCGGCCTTGGGGAGCCGCCGGGAGCCGCGAAGCCCGGAAGCAGCTGCACCAGGACTGGAAGGACCCGCGGGGGCGGTGCCGCAGCTCATGGGGCGGACCCTGCGAATAGACCGCCCCCGTATACCCCGCGCTGTCTGTGCGCGCCGGACCGCCAAACCGAGATTAGCAAGGACCAGGACCTTAATATAAACCCAGCTCCCCATTTTCCCGGGTTTCTCATGCTTCCCTAAACTCGGTCGCCCCCTACAGCCCCCTGCCCCTGGGTTCTTTTCCACATCCCCCACCACTCCTCCATTTCGCATCCAAGACTTCATGAAAGGCTTTCCCAGAAAAGAAAAAATGAGGAGTCTTGCGACTTGAACAGCCCTCCCCTGCCCGTCTGCAAATTTGAATTCCTGGATTTCACAACAGTGAGCTCTTCTTGTGCCTACCACCCGGCATGAGCAAGACAAGGGGGTGGGTGGTGGGAGAGTGGGGAAGTGTGGGAAAGAAAAGTGTAGACAAATGGGTGGAACAAAGAAGTTTAAAGTTTAGATTTGGGGGCTAGAGTTCTGGTCCCAGTTCAACTAAGTGTACAAGCTTGATAATCGTGGGCCTTCCTATCACACTGGCCTCTTCCAGCAAAACCCTACCCATTCTCATCTCTAGAGGCCTTGACTTCCCTTATCACCCTGCATTATAATATTTGATAACATGGGCCGGGAGTGGTGGCTCATGCCTGCAACCCCAGCACTTTGGGAAGCCGAGGCCGGCGGATCACCTGAGGTCGGGAGTTCAAGACCAGCTTGGCCAACATGGAGAAACCCCGTCTCTACTAAAAATACAAAATTAGCTGGGCGTGGTGGGGCATGCCTGTAATCCCAGCTACTGGGGAGGCTGAGGCAGGAGAATCCCTTGAACTCGGGGGGCAGAGGTTGTGGTGAGCCGAGATCATGCCATTGCACTCCAGCCTGGGCAATGAGAGCGAAACTGCATCTCAAAAAAAAAAGAAAAAAATTGATAACATGGCACTTTCCCTCTCCAGCTGTGAACTCTTTGAGGGTTGGGAATGTCTTTACCTGTATTCTTGGCACATAGTATATGGACTTATGTTTGTGAAATCAGTGAATTGGCTGTAGTCAGGGAACTCCTCCTGGGGGAAGTGAGACTTGCACGAAGCTGGGCAATTCTTGGTCCAGGGGGGTTGAAAGAATAGGTGGGGGACTCCCAGGAGGGTCTGGGACCTGAAAGTGAACCCAGATTGGCAGGGAGGTGACCTTATCATGCCACCTGGAGAGGCTGCCCCTTCTGACTCAGGTGGGACTTGCATGTGGCTCCCAGGCTTCTGTTTGGCTTCCTCAAAATAGCTTCCAGAAAAGTGAATAAACCACAAATGGTTGATTTATTTCTGACTCTCAGCCCGTCTCTCACGAAGACAGAGCCTATTGACCAAAAACTTCAGGATCTGCATCTGAGCAGATCCCAGGAAGGGGAAGTCAAAGGGCCCAGGTCAGAGGCCCAAGTTCAGACTTCAGCAGCAGACTAGGGTCAGACTTTACCAAAGTCAGAACTCGAGGTTCATGTAAGTCCTTAGATCCCGCTCCCAAGCCCTGTCTTTCTCCTCCCTCCTTCTCTCCTCCCTCCAGCTCAGTGTGGCCACCCGAGGGGGTCTCTCCCTCCCAGCCACAGCTCGGGTATCCCAAGCTGGGAAATGTGTCACTCGGGGCTGGGGTGCTGATCTGTAGCCTAGTCCTTCCTGGTCCCTCTTGAGGACAGTGGGGATGGGATTGGCACGGCCCTCACCCCGGGGTCCCAGCCCCATTCCTGGCTCCCAGCCCCCCCTCAGCAGCAGTTTGAAGCCCGGGCTGGAGATGGGCACCCCAAGTGGAAGGTTGGGAGGCTGAGGACCCTGCGACAGTGACAGCAGGTGAGCAGTGGATGTGCGGTGGTTGGAATCTTGGAAGTGGGTGTCACAGTTCTCGCAGTACTGGAGGGAGGGAGTAGGAGACCTGCAGAGAAAGAAGAAAAAGCATTAAGGGCAGGGGAAGGAAAAGGGGAAGAGTTGAGGCCTCAGAGGGGGCTGGCAGGGTAGAATAGGATCTTTTCAGCTTTTCTGCTAAGGAACAAATTGCCAGCTAGGCATAGTGGCTCACGCCTGTAATCCCAACACTTTGGGAGGCAGAGGCGGGCAGATGGCTTTGAGCTCAGGAGTTTGAGACCAGCCTGGGCAAAATGGCAACGCCTGCTTTTTTTTTTTTTTTTTTTGAGATGGAGTCTTGCTCTGCTGCCCAGGTTGGAGTGCAGTGCCATGATCCTGGCTCACTGCAACTTCCACCTTAGCGATTCTCCTGCCTCAGCCTCCCAAGTAGCCGGGATTACAGGCACATGCCACCATGTCCCGGCAAAGCCTGCTTTCTACAAAAAATATGCTTGAGCCCAGGAAGCGGAGGTTGCAGTGAGCTGAAATCACACCATTGCACACCAGCCTGGGCGACAGAGTGAGATGAGTGAGACTTTGTCTCAAAAAAAAAAAAAAAAAAAAAAGGGACAAATTGCCTTCCTTCCTACTTAACAGTGAGGGATCCAGGCTGGTCCAAAGGTGGTGGTGAGTTATCTGAATTAATTGTTCACTCAGTTACAGATCAAACTCCTTACTCCACTTTTCCCCTCCTTCTCACTACTGCACTTGACTTGTCTTAAAAACAAATTTCTTTAAACCATTGTGGGATCCAGAGCAGAATAGTTGAAAGAAAAAAATGGTAACCAGACCTAGCAAACTCTTGGGCAAGGGGAGGGACATTAGTCATAATGACTATAGCTAACATTCATGTATTGCATACTATGCGGCATGCACTATTCTAGCATTTTACATATATTAACCCATTGAATCCTAACAACAATTCTTACTACCCCCATTTCTAAGATGAGAAAACTGGAACATGTAGACATTAGGTTGTTTGCCCAAGTAAGTGGAATCAGGCTTTAAATCCAGGGAGCTCATGTTTATAACCACTTGACTATACTACCCTGTCAACCTACACATGAGGATAAGGAAAGAACTCTTCAGCACTGTGCTGGGGCGTCTGGTGTGGTGTGGCTGGGAGAGGCAGAACACAATGAGACATGGGTCTGAGCTAAAGTTTCCCCTTACCGGTTTTCCGGGCTCCTTGTCTCTCCATGGCTCTCCCTGACCATGCGGGCTACCTCAGGGAAGCCAGCTTCTTCAGCGAGCTGAGCCGCATCCCTGCCACTCAGCTCACAGACCCCCACCCAGGCAGCCCCACGGCCCAGGAGATAGCTCACAGCTGCCCCCTGGCCCGCTCGAGCAGCACACATCAGTGGGGTCCACCAGAAGGCATCCCGGGCGTTGATATTCCCCCCAGCTCCTCCTGCCTCATGCGGTTCCAGCAGTCTCCTAAGTTCTGGCAGGTCCCCCTCCTGGGCTGCCCTCAGTATCCGGTGAGTCATCTTATCCTCAGCCTCAAGGGATCTCCCTTGTCCATGTCTTCCTGATGCTCCTTCTGCCACTGCTTCTGCTGCTGGTGCCTTCATTATTCTTCTTTTCTTTCTCTTTCTTTCTCTGGCAGGTTCAGTCTGAGATCTCTGGGAGTCAGGAGCGCTGCTCTCATCCCCAATCAGGGCCTCATAGAAAGCTCGGGCTGCAGCCCCATCCAGGGTGGACTCTGGCTTCTCGGGCTGTGGCTGCTGCTGCCCATCCTTCCAGAGGTCGCTGGGGTCAGTGGCTGGGGTGAAGGTGATGAGCAAGGGCCGGGACATGGCTTTTGGGAGAACTGAGAAAATGATACCAGGCAAGGGAAGGATGAGACAAGTAAGCCAAGCTCGTGGTGACCCTGTAGCAACCACAGCCTCAGAGACCTGCTGGGATGAGAAAAAGTAGTCAAAAACACTTTCCTGCCACTAAAGTAACCCCACAACTTAGGACTCTGCAGGGCCTAAGGGAGAGAGACTTTGCGTAAAAACATGGAACCCTACAATACCGACTTTGCTCCTTAGTAAAGATTAATAAAACTCCATGAGACTGTTGTCCAGAGGTCCTGCGTCCGGCCCCCACCCCCATCCTCACCAACAATAAACACCAGCCTCTTTCTGAAACCACTTTCCCACCCCGTAAGACATACCAGTAGGAAAAAAAAATCAGCCTGGCCCTTTAAGTCTTCCGCGATCCCATTTCGGAGTTTCCTCTTCCCAAACAAAAATAGATGGGTCACTCCCTAGAAGATCTCGGGGAGAGTCTCCTATACGTGTTGCTGTGTAGCTTCCGTACCGCAAAATGGCGCCATTCTAATCAGAAGAGTTGACACAATCAAATAGCCACACGGCACGAAGACGCATGCGTGGCGACAACAACAACAAAAACCACAACCCACATTACTTGAGGGCTCGGGCGTGCGCAAAGCTCCGGGTTCAGTTTCCCGCGCTGGAACTTTTTCAATAGTAAACGAGCAAAGCTCCGCGCGCCCAGGTGGCGCGAGCACTAGGATCTGTCGGTTGGGGTCCTACTTTTACATAACGCCCCCACAATGCCCTTCGCCTTCCTCAACGTGGCCCCCGCTCCAAGCCCATTTTCTGGAGCCAGGAATCCACTCTGTGGGTTAGGAAAGGCCCTCAGGAGGCGGAGGGAAACCTGTGGAATGCCGAGAAGCCGTGTAATGAAATAACGTCACGCCTGCCCCTCACCATTACTCTGACCAGGGTTCGAAGGTCACACTTAGAGCCTAAGGGGAAATGGAGAAGTGCAAAGGGACGAGCAGAATGGCTGGCACCACCTCAGGTTAGCGCACTGGGACGTTCCAGTTCTCACACCGCCCACCCCACCCCACCCAAGTCCCTACGCACGGAGCCAAGCCGCACCTCTCCCCTCATGAGGCAGGAGCCCGGAGGAAACAGTATGCCCGTCAAGGGTCTCTGGCGGGACTGATTCGCACTAGGGGCCCAACAGGCAATAAGGACCCAGCGGATTGGCCGAGGATAGGCCAGTCCCCTGGGCAGCAGCGCCGCGCCGGGACTAGAGGGGAACGTGAGGAGAGCTGCGGAAAGAGATCCAGCCTGGCTCCCTCCTTTCCCCGCCCTAAGTCAGCCTCTTCACCCAGTGAGCACAAAACTGTATTGCCCAGACTCCCGGGCCCCGAACGCCATACCTGGCTTCCGCTTCCGGTGGCTTCTCGTTGTGCCCCGCCCGCAAGCGCCCTCCTCCGGGCCTTCGTGACAGCCAGGTCGTGCGCGGGTCATCCTGGGATTGGTAGTTCGCTTTCTCTCATTTAGCCAGTTTCTTTCTCTACCGGGGACTCCGTGTCCCGGCATCCACCGCGGCACCTGACCCTTGGCGCTTGCGTGTTGCCCTCTTCCCCACCCTCCCTAATTTCCACTCCCCCCACCCCACTTCGCCTGCCGCGGTCGGGTCCGCGGCCTGCGCTGTAGCGGTCGCCGCCGTTCCCTGGAAGTAGCAACTTCCCTACCCCACCCCAGTCCTGGTCCCCGTCCAGCCGGTGAGTCTGAAGTCGTCGCTGCTCCGAGTCCCTTGTCGCTGGGAGCGGCACATGGGGTCTCCGGACTTTGATGTGGGGGCGGGGGAGGAAGCGACCAGGTCCGGCACGAAGGAGGGAGAGGTGGCCTGAGGAGCGGAGGGGGGATGTGTGGATTCCGGTGAAAGGGACCTGACAATCGCCCCCAACCCGTGAGAAAAGGAGGAGCCCAGTTCTTGCTTGAGAATGATAAACTTGGAAACCCTTGGGAAAGGCGTGGGGGTCATGCAGAGACTTGTATTGGTAGGGAGCCTGAGTCGAGGTCCCTGCCGGAGTTGACACAGAGGAGAGAGGGCCCTGGCCTTCGGGAGCTCCAGGGATGTGGGTCGGGCTGGTGGGTCAAAGTATCTGTTGGCTTCTTTCAAGTGGTGGGACCCCAAAGAATGTTTAACTTCAAAGAAAAGGGGCTGAGATGTAAATTAGAGGAGCTGGAGAGGAGTGCTTCAGAGTTTGGGTTGCTTTAAGAAAGGGTGGTTCCGAATTCTCCCGTGGTTGGAGGGCCGAATGTGGGAGGAGGGAGGATACCAGAGGCAGGGAAGGAGAACTTGAGCTTTACTGACACTGTTCTTTTTCTAGCTGACGTGAAGATGAGCAGCTCAGAGGAGGTGTCCTGGATTTCCTGGTTCTGTGGGCTCCGTGGCAATGAATTCTTCTGTGAAGTGAGTTCTCTTCAACCTCCCTACTTGCCAGCTTCACATATCTTCCCACCAGACGTTCCTTCACATATTCCACTTCTGCACTGTTCTCTTACATGCTATTTGAAAACTTCCTATCAGCAAAGAGTCCCCCCTATAAACCCCGACGAACCTGTGCTAAAGTGGCAAAACTGGGGCCCAAGTCCTGAGTCTGCCACCGTCCAGCAATATAACGTTGGGCTAGTCAATTTGTGTCTTTTTCTTTTTTTTGAGACTGGGTCTCACTCTGTCACCGAGGCTGGAGGGTAGTGGTGCGATCTCGGCTTACTGCCACCTCTGCCTCCCAGGTTCAAGCGATTCTCCTGCTCCAGCCTCCCAAGTAGCTGGGATTACAAGTGCCTGCCACCATGCCTGGCTAATTTTTGTATTTTTAGTAGAGACAGGGTTTCACTATGTTGGCCAGGCTGGTCTCGAACTCCAGACCTCAGGTGATCTGCCTGCCTCGGCCTCCCAAAGTGCTGGGATTACAGGCGTGAGCCATTGCGCCCGGCCTGTATCTTTTGTTACTAAAGTGGCACTGCTAGTACTTGTCTCAGGTGGCCTTTAGGAAAACTGAAATGCTACACATTGAAATGTTTTGTTCAGAAACCATGCTGTTCAGCTTCCACCTTCCTTAGCCAGCTGAGAGGACAAAACTGGTTCCTAGAGACGGGATACAGGAGTGGAGTAGGGACAAAGATCTTGAAAAGAATGTCTAAGAAAAAGATTGCTGTATCTACTTATCCTTAGAAAAGAAAAGCCAAAGCTTTTATGGGAGAGAGTGTAGGTGAACTAGGGAGAGACACAAGTACTTCTGCTGAGTTGGGAGTGAGAAACAAGCACAACAGATGCAGTTGTGTTGATGATAAGGCATCACTTAGAGCATTTTGCCCAGGTCAAAGATGAGGATTTTGATATGGGTTCCCTCTTGGCTTCCATGTCCTGACAGGTGGATGAAGACTACATCCAGGACAAATTTAATCTTACTGGACTCAATGAGCAGGTCCCTCACTATCGACAAGCTCTAGACATGATCTTGGACCTGGAGCCTGGTGAGGCACCCTCAGGGTTGTTTTGTGTGTGTGCGTGCACTATTTTTCTCTTCAAATCTCTATTCACTTGCCTGAATTTTGAAATTTCCTTTGGTTCTCTGATTTCTTTAACCCCAAATTCATGCTTTATTTTGATCCTCCACCTGACTCTTGTCTAGTTTTGTGACGTATATCACTTGTTCTCATGTTTTCTAAATCCGCAATTCAGACCTATTCCAAAATGCGTTTCCTCATGGGTCTGGTTTGTTGTCTGTTTCTCCTGCTTTGCACCTTCCAGTCTAGAATTTCATCTTCTGCATTGACATTGTTGCAGTTATGTATTGAGGAGGGAGTTGGGAGGGAGAGCAAGGAGCAGAGGCTGAAAAGGTGTGAAGGGAAGGCAGAGCTGTCTTCGTTTGATGCAAGGGTCAGAAGCCCAGGTTTCTGGGTCCCATGCCCAGATGTTGGATGGGGTAAGGCCCAAAAGTAGGTGCTAGGCAAACTGAATAGCCCGCAGCCCCTGGATATGGGCAGGGCACCTAGGAAAGCTGAAAAACAAGTAGTTGCATTTGGCCGGGCTGTGTTTCAGATGAAGAACTGGAAGACAACCCCAACCAGAGTGACCTGATTGAGCAGGCAGCCGAGATGCTTTATGGATTGATCCACGCCCGCTACATCCTTACCAACCGTGGCATCGCCCAGATGGTGAGGCCTCTCTGCTCCTACCTGCCTCCTTCTGAGCAGTAAGAGACACAGGTTCCTGCAGCAAGAAGTCATGTTTAAGCCCTGTTTAAGGAAGCTAGCTGAGAAGAGGGGAAGAACCCCAGAACTTGGGCCTGGGAATTGAATTCTGATTGGGGGTCATCCTGAAGGGATTGTTTTCAGGGAGGGAGACAGACCTTGAATCAGAGAGTTGTGATAGACTGCCTCTTCCTCAAGGAACAAACAACAAATGGCTCTGATGGTTTGTAGCCTGCCTAATTGGAAGAAAGGCAACACAGAAGTTTGAGAGCCCATCTAGTCCAGAGAAGGGGCCTCTGGACAGAGGTGGGAGGAGTGGGGGACAGAGTGGTATGGGTTGGGCTGCGAAGGGAGTTGCCTCTTCTTTACATCTACCTGCCAACCCCTTCCATTGTATTCACCTCAGTTGGAAAAGTACCAGCAAGGAGACTTTGGTTACTGTCCTCGTGTGTACTGTGAGAACCAGCCAATGCTTCCCATTGGTGAGTGTTGAAGAAGGGAAAGGAAAGCACCGTGTGGCAGTCTTATGGGAAGGAGTTGGGGCTCAACACATTGGAGCCTGAGTCCTGAGGGGAGGTTAGGTAGGAATAGGGGGATACCTGGCCTGCTGAGTCTGGCTGTCTCCCAGGCCTTTCAGACATCCCAGGTGAAGCCATGGTGAAGCTCTACTGCCCCAAGTGCATGGATGTGTACACACCCAAGTCATCAAGACACCATCACACGGATGGCGCCTACTTCGGCACTGGTTTCCCTCACATGCTCTTCATGGTGCATCCCGAGTACCGGCCCAAGAGACCTGCCAACCAGTTTGTGCCCAGGTAGGGAGCAGGGAGAGTCATTAAGGGTCAAAGGAAAGGCCCAAGATCCCCCAGAGAGGGGAGGACAGGGCATGGCCCTTTCTTGAGGTCTGCTTCTCCCAGAATCAGGGCATCTCCCTGCTGAGTGACTGTGGGAAAGTTATTTGATTATCTGTGCTTGAGTTACCTTATTGTAGAATGTTCTTGAGCTGAGAAGTTGGGAACCACGAGGCTTTAGCTCTGAGCAGGTCCATAGAGGAGCTCAGGTGGGGAGGTGGGAATGCAGGTGACTGGCAGGGCCTGGATGGGGCTCATGCTGCTGCCTCTCTGACCTCTGCCCTGGCCTAGGCTCTACGGTTTCAAGATCCATCCGATGGCCTACCAGCTGCAGCTCCAAGCCGCCAGCAACTTCAAGAGCCCAGTCAAGACGATTCGCTGATTCCCTCCCCCACCTGTCCTGCAGTCTTTGACTTTTCCTTTCTTTTTTGCCACCCTTTCAGGAACCCTGTATGGTTTTTAGTTTAAATTAAAGGAGTCGTTATCGTGGTGGGAATATGAAATAAAGTAGAAGAAAAGGCCATGAGCTAGTCTGCTGGTGCTTGCTGTTGGGGAAGGGAAGGTGATGGTGTGTTGGACTCCAGGGGCCCTCATGGCCCAGCCCACCCTCCCCAGATTGAAAACCAGGACAGATTTGTGCTCAGTGGATTGGGTGGTGTTTTTAGTATGGAGCAGAACAGAATTCCTAGGACTGCGTGTGATGAAATGCAAGGTCAAAAGGAAAAGACAAAGCATATTTCAAAGATGAGAAATATTTGTTTGGATATCTATGACTGTCTGTTTATACTGTAAGGGGCTTAATCAGCAGCTCCATCTTTTAGTTTTAGTTCTAAAGGAAAAGTAGCCTAAAGTCAGTATAACTAAAGGGTGGAACGAGGTGGGACAAGGTCCGGAATTGCTGCTCAGTGATGTGTGTGTGCCTGCCGCTGGTGGAGCTGAGACTGCTCATCTCAGAAGGATGGGGATGCTTGATTTCCTGGCCAGGTTGTCCCAGCACAGTGGGGATTGGCCCTGTTGTATGACGAAGACAGCACATGGTGGCAGAGATAGATACTAACCCATGGACTTTCCAAGGGAGGGAATAGGTCTTTGGAGGGTATGCAAGACAAAGGTAGACACTGGATAAAGAACCCGGTAGTGCCCAGGTATTACCCCATCTGGGCCATTACTCCCACACTCAGGAACCAGACGTTGTGGGTGAGGACATGCTGTCCCTCCTGCCAAGTAATAACTTCCTTCCCAGCCAGGATCCTGCCCCAAGTAGGAATATAGCTCTGCATTTACAGCAGCTCCTGCTCAGACCTTGTCAAAACCACCCTGCAGCTTAGGATTAAGGAGCATGGTCACAGGAAGGTGGGGTTTCAGGGCATCCCCTCAGGAACTGCCCATCTCCCCAGAATTCCAAAATGAAGGTCCATATGCTTGTAGGTGTGCTGGTCATGGTGGGCTTCACAGTAGGAAAGGGTAAGTGGGGCCCAGGGGCAGGGAGGGAGGAAGGGGTAACTGAGTCCAGGAAGGGGGTGGAGCGTGGCCATGGATAATCGGGCTTCCTACTGGCCCAGGGTATTTGAGAGTGACCCAGTGCCTCCATCCCTCCTTCTGCCTCCCCAGTTCCTGTTCCCGACATCCGGACGTGCCACTTCTGCCTCGTAGAAGACCCTTCTGTAGGATGCATTTCAGGCTCAGAGAAGTGTACCATCAGCAGCTCATCCCTGTGCATGGTGATCACCATCTATTATGGTAAATAAGGTCCCAGGAAGGGGCTGCTGGTGGGGCAGCCAATGGCTTGGTCTTCTCTCCTCTCACAGATCAGGGCTGCTCCGGGCATGGGGTACAAGAAGAGAGGAGGGGCTGAGTGCAATGGCTCATGCCTGTAACCCTAGCACTTTGGGAGGCTGAGGCAGGTGGATCACTTAAGCTCTAGAGTTCAAGACCAGCCTAGGCAACATAGTGAGACCCTGTCTCTACAAAAAAATAGCCAGGCATGGTGGTATGCACCTGTAGTCCCAGCTACTCGGGAGGCTGAGGTGGGAGATCTCTTAAACTCAGGAGGCATAGGTTGCAGTGAGCCAAGATTGCGCCACCATGCTCCAGCCTGAGTAACAGAGCTAGACCCTGTCTCAAAAAAAACCAGAAGAATCTTGGAAGGAGGGGTCTAAGGTTCTAGGGGGCCAGCAGAGCTCACTTTTCTAGCCTCTTGAAGGACTCTGGGTTAGAAGTAAATTAGGTCTGGGTGAAGGATGGGAAAAGTCAGTAGCAGGGGTTCTTGGACTATGGGAAGCTATTGGAAGGGGTTATCAGCTTTCCCCTCTCCCTCAGATGTCAAGGTTCGCTTCATCGTTCGAGGCTGTGGACAGTACATTTCCTACCGCTGCCAAGAAAAACGCAACACCTACTTTGCAGAGTACTGGTATCAGGCCCAGTGCTGTCAGTACGATTATTGCAACTCCTGGTCAAGCCCCCAACTCCAGAGCTCTCTGCCGGAGCCCCATGACAGGCCCCTGGCCCTGCCTCTGTCTGACTCCCAGATTCAGTGGTTCTACCAGGCCCTGAACCTCTCCCTGCCCCTCCCCAATTTCCATGCTGGGACGGAGCCTGATGGCCTGGACCCCATGGTCACACTGTCCCTGAACCTGGGCTTGTCTTTTGCTGAGCTGCGCCGCATGTACTTGTTCCTCAATAGTTCAGGACTTTTGGTTCTTCCCCAGGCTGGACTCTTGACACCTCACCCTTCCTGAATTCCACAGTGCAAATATCTTTCTGTAACACCCTCAGCATCCTGCACTGCCCTCTCTGAAAACACCCACATTCTTTGGTCACTGTGATTTCTTAGGCCTCCGTCTGTTGTACCACTAGCATCTATATGACTTTTGTGTAATTTTCTCTCTTGAACTCTGGTGCTGTTTTTTTGTTTGTTTGAGACAAAGTCTCGCTCTGTCACCCAGGGTGGAGTGCAGTGGCATGATCTCTGCTCACTACAACCTCCACCTCCCGGGTTCCAGCGATTCTCCTGCCTCAGCCTCCCGAGTAGCTGGGACTACAGGCGTGCACCACCACGCCTGGCTAATTTTTTGTATTTTTAGTAGAGACGGGGTTTCACCATGTTGGTCAGGCTGGTCTCGAACTCCTGACCTCGTAATCTGCCCTCCTCGACCTCCCAAAGTGCCGGGATTACAGGTGTGAGCCACTGTGCCTGTCTGAGCTCTGGTGCTGTTCTTCCCCCTAGAAAAGAATCTCTAGTGTGGATTCTGCCCAGACAGGCTGACCTGAGAAAGGCACAGTGGTTCCTCCATTCCTTCCCCATCATCTGAGTGTTCCAGTATCCCCCATCCCTCTCAATCCAGTCACCTGCCTATTGACATCTAGCTCTGTTTCCCCTGTCTTGTCCATGTCTCTAAGACCCAGTACCAGACTGAACTAGCAGCAAGAAGGACGAGGAGGCCGGGCATGGTGGCTCACGCCGGTAATCCCAGCACTTTGGGAGGCCGAGGTGGGCGGATCACTTGAGATTGGGAGTTTGAGACCAGCCTGGCCAACATGGTAAAACCCGCTCTCTATTAAAAATAGAAAAATCAGCTGGGTGTGGTGGCACACCTCTGTAATCCCAGCTACTCAGGAGGCTGAGACAGGAGAATCACTTGAACCCGGGAGGCAGAGGTTGCAGTGAGCCGAGATCGCGCCACTGCACTCCAGCCTGGGTGACACAGTGAGACTCCGTCTCCAAAAAAAAGGATGAGGAATAGAATTCTGTGCAGATGTCCTGACTTGGCAATTTTGTGTCCCTGCCTCACTGTCTCCACCAACCCCCGCCTGTCCTAGTGTTGTTCTGCCTCCTGTCCTCTCTTGCTCTCTTGTCAGTCTCTGGCTTCCTCGGCCCCATTTCACTTCACTGAGTCCTGACACCCATCTCCCTAGGGGCCTGTGAGAGGAGAGGGAAGGGTCTGTTCTGCTCAGCTCCATGTCCCCCATTTTCCTCCACAATAAACTGGGACTGGGCTAAAACTGTGTCACATTGTTTGTGGGGTCAGGCTCAGGTGTGGGCAGGTAAACACAGATTAAAGAGGGTTAATGCCTGGCGCAGTGGCTCACGCCTGTAATCCCAGCACTTTGGGAGGCTGAGGCAGGCGGATCACCTGAGATTGGGAGTTTGAGACCAGCCTGACTAATATGGAGAAACCCCATCGCTACTAAAAATACAAAATTAGCCGGGCTTGGTAGCGCATACCTGTAATTACAGCTACTCGGGAGGCTGAGGCCGGAGAATCACTTGAACCTGGAAGGTGGAGGTGGCGATGAGCCGAGATTGCACCATTGCACTCCAGCCTGGGCAACAAGAGTGAAACTGTGTCTCAAAAAAAAAAAAAAAAAAAAGGGTTAGTGAGGTTTGGGATCCAAATAGGATTGCAGAGCCCTCTCCATTGCACTTGGCGTTTGTCGCTTCCTCTCGGCCTCCTGTAAAGGGCACACATCCCTCCCCACCCTCTGCTTAGCTGGAGATCAAAGCATGGGGACTGTGATTCTTCCCAGCCTTAAACATACCCTACAAAACCTGGAAAGTTAGACCCTGATGATGCCAGGTCTTTTCACCTAAGAAAAGAAACTTTAGGCCAGGTGCGGTGGCTCATGCTTGTAATCCCTGAACTTTGGGAGGCCGAGGTGGGTGGATCACCTGAGGTCGGGTTTGAGACCAGCCTGACCAACATGGTGAAATCTTGTCTCTACTAAATATGAAAAATTAGCTGGGCATGGTGGCTCATGCTTGTAATCCCAGCTACTTGGGAGGCTGAGGCAGGAGAATTGCTTGAACCGGGGAGGTGTAGGTTGCAGTGAGCTGAGATCACGCCATTGCACTCCAGACAGGGCAACAAGAGCGAAACTCTGTCTTAAAAAAAAAAAAAAAAGCCTGGGCGCGGTGGCTTGCCTGTAATCCCAGCACTTTGGGAGGCCGAAGCAGGCGGATCATGAGGTCAGGAGTTCGACACCAGCCTGACCAACATGGTGAAAGCCCATCTCTACTAAAAAAAAAAAAAAAAAAATTAGTTGGGCATGGTGGCACGTGTCTGTGATCCCAGCTACTCAGGAGGCTGAGGCAGGAGAATCGCTTGAACCTGGGAGGCAGAGTTTGCAGTGAGCCGAGATCGTGCCACTGTACTCCAGCCTGGGTGACAGACCGAGACTGTCTCCAAAAAAAAAAAAAAAGAAACTTTCTCTTTAAACCAGAAAGACTCAGGAACTCAGAGCCACATGCCAGAGTTACCTGCTGCTGGGGCCCTGGACTCCTGCCATTCCTTAGTTCTTTTCAAGGATTCTGGCATCCAGGATGCCCTCTCGAGGGGCCCAATTTGAGGGGCAAAGTGCTGAGAGCACTGATGTTGGGCTGCAGTGGTTGGATCTTCATGCTAATATTTTAATTTTGAAATAGTGCAAACGTATAGAAAGCAAGGATGGATACAACAGCCTTTTCCATACACTGGATAAACATGCTGGACATAACGCTGCTCTGAGTCAGGCTTGGTATTGAGCAGCAGGACTCCCAGATGAGTATAGCCAGGTGTCTGCCCTTCCAAGTCTTGCAGCCCAGTGCTTGGGTTATGAAACCTTTTTCTGAAAAGCAGTGCAGCTTTGTGGCTGGGAGGTCCAATCCCAGCCCCTCTACCACTTGGATATGTCAGTCTCTTCAGCCCCACCTTGGTCACCTGTCAAGTAGGGATAGTGCCTCAGATGATTGAGAAAACACATGTAAATGTGCATACACAAGTAGAAGTTAAGGCCTTTTCCCCCTCAAAAAAATATATTTGCCCTAGAGTCAAATGCATACACAATGTTCAGCTTTTTTTTCTAAGGTTCTTACTATGTTGCCCAAGCTGGCCTTGAACTCCTGGGCTCAAGAGATTCTTCTGCCTCAGCCTCCAAGTAGCTGGGACTACAGATGCACACCACCATGCTCACCTGGCTGATTTACTTATTTTCAAACCTTTTTGGTAAAACATTCAGAAGCTTGCACATATCACAAGATGGATTTTTGTAAACCACACATCTGTGTAACCAGCCACCAAATCAGCGTGAAGACCTTTACCTGCAGCCAAGCCTGCCTCTGTTCCCCTCTCCCAGGTGCTCTTCCCAGCTCTGGGGTAGCCGCTGTCCTGACTGGTAGTAGCTTAGATGAGTTCTGTCTGTGCTTGATGGAAATGGCATCGTACGCATCTGCTTTTACCTATATAGTGTTTTGCACACGTGTTAACAAATCTGTGTGGCCTGTACTCTGACGGAAAATACCAAACCAATGATAATTAAGTCATGAGGCAGTTGGCGTACAAAGAGAGGTACAAACCCTTAATGTGCCCCCCAACCCCCACCTTGCTAAGTCCACCCTTCTCCATGACCTCTGACGTCAGTATAAGACAGAGAAAGGCCCAGGTTTATAGCAGGTCAACCTGGAAGACACCCTCAGAGGCTGAAGAACTTGGCCCAGAATTGAAGAGACCAGGACTCCAATAAGGTCTAACATCTCTTTGAGAGTGGCCTTCTCGGCTCGGGGTGACTCACGCCTGTAATCCCAGCCCTTTGGGAGGCCAACGCAGGCAGATCACTTGAAGTCAGGAGTTCGAGACCAGCCTGGCCAACTGGTGAAACCCCGTCTCTACTAATAAAATATAAAAATTAGCCAGGTGTGGTGGCATGTGCTTGTAATCCCAGCTACTCGGGAGGCTGAGGCAGAAGAATCACTTGAACCTGGGAGGCAGAAGTTGCAATGAGCCAAGATCACACCACTGCACTCCAGCCTAGGTGACAGTGAGACTGTCTCAAAAAAAGAGTGGCCTTCTCACCCACCTCCTTCTACCTGGGCCTGGTCCTTTCGCAGCCCCCTTCCCACCAACATAGCCCTCTAAACGCCCCTAGCCCCCACACAGCTCTGGTCTGACAGCACTGCCGAGGATGCCCACTAACTTTCTGGCATTCACCATAGGAGGGCTTTCATTTCCTCTTTCTCTTTTTGTGTCTAGAGCAAATCACATACCAAGGCAGGACAAGAGGACAGCTCAGCAGAGCTGGGGGTCCCTTACCTGACCCATGGTAGGGCAGTTAGGCAGGTGCACCTCCCTCAGCCTTCACCTCCACCAGAAGAAAGAGACATACCAAACAGTTTACACACAAATTTATTTGGGAGAAACATCCAGGGACTAGGGGACAAGAGAGGAAACCTGGTGGGCAGTAGGGCTGGGGGTACAGAGTAGCAGTAAGTGTGCTGAAGGGCGTCAACCAAGAGGAAGAGCCAAGGCTGGGGTCCAGTGGCTGGAGGGAGGCAAGGAGGGCTGGTATGAGGGACTAGAAGTCCTGGCCAAGCCCAGATAGAAGTCAGGAAGGTGGCTGGAAACTGGTGGAATTTTACACCAAAGTTTGCTGCAGTCACACTAAGGAGTATAGAGCCCTCTGTTTTGAGGGTCATTGCAGAAATCCAGGAAGCAGTATTGAGAGAATATCCAGAAGCCAGACACCGGAGAAGTTCGGGTATTTGAACAATCACTCATCTGCTCCTTACTTCGGCAGTCACTCACCATGACGTCAGAACCGCTGCCTGGGGAGGGACAGTGGGCACCAGTGATACGGAAGTCCCCAGGAAGAGCCCCAAATCCTCTCATCCCCACACTCATAAGTCAAAAAAAAAAGAAAAAGAAAAGATTCCTGTAGTTAGGCATGGGTGGACATGCCCAGTGTTCACCAGCCATGGAACTCCACTGAAGTTCCCATGCAAGGCTGGAGGAAAAGAGCCATATGAAATGTAATGGTTGGAGGGGGAGTTGGGAGTTACTGAGCCAAGTGAGGAGAACTAGCACCATAGGACCATGTGAGAAAAAGCTGGGAAATGTTTTGGAGATTGGGTGGCAGGAAGGAGGTGTATTGTTATTTATTTTTCAGACCAAAAGAGAATAAGATGATGTCTGCTGCTGTTATACATAATAGAGAAAAATCTTTGTGCCTGCATCCCAAGAAGTCATGTTCAGGGATGTTTGCTGCTGCCCTGCTTGAGAGAAATGACCAAAATGCCCATCAATAGTGGGATGGGGAAATCAGCTGTGATATGCGCATGCTATGGAGTAGTATACAGCAGGTCAATAAAACAAGGAAGCTGTTTACAAACTGATATCGGAACATTCAGTTCCCCTAACTTAAATGTGGAATAATGTTTACAGTGGGATGCTACTATCTTGGGTTGGGGCGGGGGAAGAGGTGAAAAAATAGTAAACAGCATATTTGTGCAGGGTGGAATGTGCATAAAAGATTGCAGGAGGGATCATCCAGAAAGTAAAAAAAGTGGTCACATGTGCAGGGGAGCCAGGTGGGTTAGGGTAGTAGCGGGAGACTTTGGTTTGATGGTATTGTATACTCTGATATTTGACCCACATCTGTGCATCGGCTATGTTAAAAGGGTAGTAAGAGGACTTGAACACAGGCAGCTGCATGCAGTGGTTGTTGAGAGCACCATCTCTGGAGCCATCACAAATTCTGGCTCAGCATCTGTGAGACTCAGGCAAGGTTATGACCTTTCTGCACCTGTTTCCTCATCTGTAAAATGCACATAGTAATAATACCTGCCTCAGCGGATTGCAAGTGTTTAGAACAGTGCCTAGCACATATTATGTGTTACGTTTTTGCTAACTTAAGAAAGGTGGGGGGTCGGTGGAAGAGCAGGCATCGGGAAGGAGTCAATTTTCAGCGAGGGAGATGTCCAGTGGTCAACGGGATATGAGGAGAGCGGTTTGACATAACATTCAGATTCAGAAGGAAGTGGTATGTGGCTGCTGGTTGAAGCCAGCAAAGCAGATAAAATCCTCTGCTTTTGAGTATATGAAGTGGGAAGACAGCTAAGGACCAAACCTTGGTGAACATGAACCACTAAGGGTCAGAGAGAAAACGCTCCATGAAGGAGACTGAAGAAGCCGTGGAGGATGCAGGAGAAGAGCAACACCAGCAGTAACTGCAGACAGATGCGGAAGCAGACAGCTTGAGGACAGGCAAGGGCACCTGGAGATCTGGAGGGTCCCCGTCAAAGCTGCGCACCTTGATAGGGTAGAAGCTATTCAGCTACAGATTGAGGAGAGAAGGTTAGTGGAAGTGGAGACAGAGTGTGGCTCTGAAGAAAAGGGAAGAGAGGCTGGGCACGGTGGCTCACGCCTGTAATCCCAGCACTCTGGGAAGCTAAGGTGGGTGGATCACCTGAGGTCAGGAGTTCGAGACCAGCCTGGCCAACATGGTGAATCCCCATCTCTACTAAAAATACAAAAAATTAGCTGGGCGTGGTGGCGTGCACCTTTAATCCCAGCTGCTTGGGAGACTGAGGCACAAGAATTGCTTGAACTGGAGAGGTGGAGGTTGCAGTGAGCCAAGATTGCGCCACTGCACTCCAGCCTGGGTGACAGAGCAGCAAAAAAAAAAAGACAGGATTGGAGCAATGTCTTATGGGATTATGGGAACAAGACTTGGGGTGCAGCTTAGGAGGCTGAGAGAGTTTCCGTTTGGGAGAGTGCTGGGCCCATGACAGGAGAAGGCCACTTACTGTTCTTTTTGTGGAGAGTGATGCAGCTGCTGCCAGCTGGGGTGAGGCAGATGTCAGATCCCAGAAGGCACCCTAACTCCTTGGTCTCCAAGAGGCATCGGTAGCAGCGCAGGTATTTGGGGAATGGAAGTGGTTGAGGGGGTTCCCAATTGACAGGAACAAACTTACCTAGAACACAGAGAAGTGCTGACCCCACTCACACCCCATTCTACCTCACACCCTACCACTGCCTGATTCCAGGCCACTCAGCCCCACTCCTCCCTCCCTTCCTGTCTCAGAAAACCATCAAAGCCCCAATTCTCTGCTTCCTTCCCCAACTGCATACACATACATCCCCCTTTTCCTCTGGTCCTAAGGCCAGACCACATGTTAACAAATCCCCAGACCCAGCAGAGCACTTGGTGTTAGGCAGAGGAAAGTGCTAAACCAACACTTTGAATCCTGTGTCTCTGTGGCTGGTGCTTTGCAGCCAAGTGGGGAGCCCAGCAGGCTGGACTCAGTCTTGTTCTATCCTGTGGATTCTGGTTTTCTCATCCAGCACACTCCCTAACCCTCCCTATTCTATGTTGCCCTCAGATCCAGAGAGGATTCCTTCAGTATCTCTATTCAGGTCACTGCTGTGAAGTGAGACAGCCCTGGGGTGGTCACTAGAAATCTCCTTCAGAGGCTGGGTGCGGTGGCTCACGCCTGTAATCCCAGCACTTTGGGAGGCCAAGGCGGGCAGGTACCTGAGGTCAGGAGTTCGAGACCAGCCTGGCCAACATGGTGAAACCCCGTCTCTACTAAATATACAAAAATTAGCTGGGCTTGGTGGCTTATGCCTGTAATCCCAGTTATTCGGGAGGCTGAGGCATGAGAATCGCTTGAACCCGGGAGGTGGAGGTTGCAGTGAGCCGAGATCTCGCCACTGCACTCCGGCCTGGGATACAGAGCGAGACTCCATCTCAAAAATAATAATAATAATAAATTTTTAAAAATCTTCAGATTGCACATCAGTCCATGAGCAGGCATTCCCTACCAAACCCATCTGTCCCATCTCTCCTCCTGCATGGGTTTACCTGAGCATCCTGGACAGGTGTACCCAGACACTTGGTGTCTGTGGGTTTCTCCATCCAGGCCAGGAGACCCTTCTGAACCCTTGGAGCCACTTACCAAACACCAAGCTCATCATGACCAGCACTATTAAGAGGACCGTGTAGAGGGCTTGGGGGCTGCTGTGGAAGCACAGGGGACCCAGACTCTGGCTCCCTGCAGGGCCTGCCATAAAACGCATGACTGCCTGCTGGCCTCCAGTTTGGGCTTATATTGGTGGAAGAGAGGTTGGCCAAGAGGAAGGAGAGAGGCAACACCAGCTCAGGGTGGAAATCAGTGCCAGACCAGCCAGAGGGGCAGAATGTTCGCACCCACAGCCACTCTGGGGCATAACATCCTGCTTGAGGGCAGGGGACCAGCAATAGGGGAATGAGAAAAGGAACTGTCTTTCCTATTAATTGGACAGATGTTTATTGAATCACTGCATCAGATGCTGGGGATACAACCCTGCACAAAGTCTCCACCCTCACAGGGCACAGTCTAGTAGGGGAGACAAGTCCACCAGCAATGATGTGGGGAGGGCAGAGTGCTGCCAGGAGCACCTCGACAGTTAAACCACTGACCAGAGGGATTTCGGCAGAGGAGTAACTTGATCGGATTTCTGTTTATAAAAGATTGCCATGGCTGCACATTGCATTTGGGTCAAGAGTGGAGGCCGCCGGGAAGTAGGACGCTATTCCCGAGTCCGGTCACAAGATGGCGGACTGGTCCGGCAGAAGACGAGCAGGGACGAGGAAGCGGGGCTAATGAACCTGAGATACAGTTAGAAGACTGGACAGATTTGCTGTTGGACTGAACGAGGGGTGAGGGAACAGGGGTAGGCTTGCACAAGGAAGTGGTACCATTTTCCAAGATAGGAAACATGTGGTCTGTCTCAAAAAAAAAAAAAAAAAAGCAAATAGGGGGTGCCCAGTCCCACTTCTCATACCCTGGGGACACCTGTCAGACATCCTAAAACAAGGACACCTGGATCCCAAGCGATACGTACTCAGCTCAGTGCTCCCTTGGGGTTCCAGGAACCCAGCGCCTTCCCTCACCTCATCCTTTTTCCTGCCCCGCCTGTGCTCAGCTGCGGCTCAGTGGGCCTGAACTCCGGAGCCCACAGAATCTGGCGCTGGGCGTCCGCTCTCCGCGCCTGACCGCACCTCAGAACTCCGGTAGGACGGGGGGGTGGCCCCCCGCTCAAGCTCTGTTCCCTGGGGAAGAAACCTGGAAAGTGCGAACCGCGCGTCGGGACCCAAGCGTCGGGCCCCAGCGGACATCCGGAGCCCGAAGCGGCTCCCCAGGAAGGCGGCGCCGTAGCGCCACTCTCCCTCCCAGGCGAATTCTGGAGACCGCGGCCCCAGGCGTCTCACCCATTTTCTCCGCTGGGGACCCGCTGGGCTCCCCATCCACGCCTACTCGGTCCCCACCCCACCAGCTCAGTCTTGACTCAGAAACTCAGGGTTTTTACTTTTAGGATCGTTGGGCTGTGCGTTAGGGGAGGAGGTGGTCCTCAGCGTCCTGGAACGACACCACCTGCTCCAATTTCCCGTCTGGAGGTTCTGGTCGAGGCTCCGAACTCGGGTTCCCTGCTACCTCCCAGACTATTCAAGAATTATCCAGTCCCAGGATGATAAGGGGGAAGATGGGAAGAAACAGACGGGAGACGCCCGCCCAGAAAGACTGCGGGAAGAAAGAAATTCGAGAGGAAACTGCACGCCACTGAGCGCCTCCCAAAAGCCTTGGAATGAATGAATTTAAAAACTATATTAGGGCCGGACTGCGGTGGCTCACGCCTGTAATCCCAGCACTTTGGGAGGCCAAGGCGGGTGGACTACCTGAGGTCAGGAGTTCGCACCCAGCCTGGCTAACATGGTGAAACCCCGTTTCTACTACAAATACCAAAAATTAGCCGGGCGTGGCGGCTCATGCCTGTAATCCCAGCACTTTGGGAGGCCAAGGTGGGGGATCATTCGAGGTCAGGAGTTCGCAACCAGCCTGAGCAACATGGTGAAACCCCGTCTCTATCAAAAAATACAAAAACATTAGCCAGGTGTGGTGGCGCACGCCTGTAGTCCTGGCTACTCGGGAGGCTGAGGCAGGAGAATCTCTTGAACCTGGGAGGCAGAGGTTGCAGTGAGCCGAGATCGCACCACTGCACTCCAGCCTGGGCGACAGAGTGAGACTCTGTCTTAAAGAAATAATAACACAAAATAAATTGTATTAGAGAAAAGCCAGAGTAGTGGAGAACTGCAGAGGAACGCGGGGCACCTACATAAATGTCTTGAATGAATGAGTGCACAGAGTGATAGACAAAAAGAATCAGAGGGCCGGGCTCCGTGGCTCACGCCTGTAATCCCAGCACTTTGGGAGGCCGAGCTGGGCGGATCACAAGGTTAAGAGATCGAGACCATCCTGGACAATATGGTGAAACCCCGTCTCTACTAAACATACAAAAATTAGCCAGGAGTGGTGGCGCCTGCCTGTAGTCCCAGCTACTCAGGAGGCTGAGGCAGGAGAATCGCTTGAACCCGGGAGACGGAGGTTGCAGTGAGCCGAGATCGCGCCACTGCACTCCAGCTTGGCGACAGAGCAAGACTCCGTCTCAAAAAAAAAAAAAAAAAAAAAAAAAAGAGAGCCAGGGGCTCCTCTTGAAGCGAAGAGGGCAAAGGGCAAAGGGGAAGCACAGGGGAACTTCGCGGCGCCCTCTGAAGCTCCCTCTCGAATATAATCGCAACGAAAAGGCCAACGACTAGAGGCTTTGCGAGGCTGAGGCTGGGCTTCGGGAGGGGATTGCCCTGAGAGGTCCGGGAGGACTTGCTGTGGAATTCAAGCGACCGTGGGCCTTGAGGGAACCGGGGGGCAAGACACCCACCCAGCATTCGCGGAATATTTCCTCGAATTATTTCGGGGAGGGGTGAGGCCGGGGCAGGGTGGGGCCTTCTTCGGAGGGGGCGCGGCCTCCGAGTAATTAATCCCGTCTTTGTTGCGTTTTGCTCCTCTCCTGTCCACCCAGCAGGGCCAGCCCAGGGCGCGCTAAGAGTCCAGAGAGTTCGTTTCCATGGTGACGGGTTCCGCGAAGGTTTTCCTGGGGTGAAGAGGCAGGGCGTTGAATAATCGCCATGGCGACAGCAGCAGATGACGGTGTCCCTTCTGAGTGCTCCTACCTAGAGTTAAGGGATACCTGAGGGTAAGCAACCGAGTGACGAAACAAAGAAGGCGGGGCCTGAGGACAGAACGCCAAGGTTAGGGGAATGGAGCCAGGCAAACGAGGGGCGGGGCTGTAGATGACCCGGTCGGGAGAGGGCCACGGTTTGTTGGGGGAGCGGCTCGAGATTGCGTTCTAGAGAGGAACCAGAGAGAGGGTCTTTAACCTAAATATAAATGAATGACTGGATTCCTGAAGAATCCGGAATGGCTTGTTGATTGGATAGATGGATGGATGGATGGACGGACGGACGGACCGATGGATGGAAATCTGGCTATCACTGACGCCTGAGCTCCCCACCCTCTTGGGCCCTCCACCTCCGGAGCCCTCACTCGCTTGTGACAGCTGTACGAGAAATACATGCCTCTCCTAGGAGCAAACCCTCAACCCAAACAGGCAGCACAGAGCCAGTCCAGCACCTCACACTGGAGGCACTCAGGGTGGAGCCCAGGTCGATGAGACGGCGTAGGATGAGGCTTTTTGGCCCAGCTGGGAACCACTTCTTTCCAGATTTCCCGTCCAGAGTCTAACTTTCCTTTCTCCCAGCGCCATCTTTTCTGCTAGTTTGCCCAGCTCCTCAGGGTGCCTGGACTTTCAGGCCTCACCTTGTGTCCAGTATAGCAGGGTCCAGCGCCCCAGCAACTGGGAAGGTCTGCATCTCTGCTGATCATCCCCTGGAACTGCTGGAACTTTGCTATATAGGGTGAGGAGTGGACAGGGGCCTGCTTCCACCCCTGGGTGGGGATTAGTTCTGAAAACAAACACAGCTGCTCTGAACCTTATTGCATAGGGAGTAATCTGAAGTAGGCTGAGGCCCCTGGATGGGGGGGTTCAGAATTCACATGTTGAGCCTACCTTTCTTTCCCTACCCAATTTCAGGTATCTAAGGGCCCCTCAGGTCATCCACTGTTGTCTACAATTACATGCAGTAAGATGGGGGAAAGTGGCAGTAGGGGCAGTTCAGCAGAGTCCCTAATGGCCATGTCCAGGGAGGGGTGTCCTTTGTCCCCAGGGTATGGGAGGTGAGACTGGGCACCCCTATTTGCTTTTTTTTTTTTTTTTTGAGACAGAGTCTCACTCTGTCACCCAAGCTGGAGTCCGGTGGCACGATCACAGCTCACTGCAGCCTCAACCTACCGTGATCCTCAGCCAAGCGATCCTCTTACCTCAGCCTCCAGAGTAGCTTGGAACACGGGTGCATGCCACCATGCCTGGGTAATTTTTAAATTTTTTGTACTGATGGAGTCTCCCTATGTTGCCCTGTCCAGTCTTGAACTTCTAGGCTCAAGTGATCCTCCTGCCCCAGCCTCCCAAAGTGCTGGGATTACAGATGTGAGCCACCATGCCCAGCTCCTCTTTGCATTTAAGGAGCTTCCCTTAGCTGAACAAAAATTTAGTTTTCAGGGGATTAACTCTTCTGTTGGATCTGGGAGGATGGGATTCAGAACTGTGCAGCTGGCTCCAGAGCTTCATGTTCCACACTTCCCATCGTTTGCCCCCCTGGAATGGGATAGAGGAGAGGGCACCAGTATCAGCTATCCACCTGTTTGCTAACGGTGGAGCATTATGGAGCTGTGGTCACCTGCCTCTTCTAACTCCAAATTTCAGGCATCACATCACCTGATTAAGTCTCAGATCTCCACTTCCAGTGGAGACTCAGTATATCTTCCCTTAAGGAGTTGCAGCGCTAATGGGGGCACACACAGCCTCTGCCCTGGGGTTTCAAGAAGAGCTTCATGCACTGGGTTTGGAGAAGACACAGAAATTTAGCCAGAGACTCCATCTAGGACATTAGAACATTGTCGCCCACGTTAAGTATCTTGCTCAAAAGAATGGAGTTGGCCGGGCGCGGTGGCTCACGCCTGTAATCCCAGCACTTTGGGAGGCAGAGGCGGGTGGATCACGAGGTCAGGAGATCGAGACCATCCTGGCTAACACAGTGAAACCCCGTCTCTACTAAGAATACAAAAAATTAGCCAGGCGTGGTGGCAGGCGCCTGTAGTCCCAGGTACTAGGGAGGCTGAGGCAGGAGAATGGCGTGAACCCAGGAGGCGGAGCTTGCAGTGAGCCGAGATTGTGCCACTGCACTCCAGCCTGGGTGACAGAGCGAGACTCCGTCTCAAAAAAAAAAAAAAAAAAAGAATGGAGTCGGCTGAGGTGGGTGGATTGCCTGAGCTCAGGAGTTTGAGACCAGCCTGGGCAACATGGTGAAACCTGTCTCTACTAAAATACGAAAAATCAGCTGTGTGTAGTGGCACACACCTGTAATCCCAGCTACTTGGGAGGCTGAGACAGGAGAATCGCTTGAACTTGGGAGGCAGAGGTTGCAATGAGCTGAGATCGTGCCACTGCACTCCAGCCTAGGCGACAGAGTGAGAATCCATCTCAAAAAACAAACAAAAAACCATCCCCAACAAAATAAAACAAAACAAAAATGGACTCAGGGCGATAAACTTTGGGGTCTTTCATCTGGAAAAGAGAAGTTTCCAAATGAAGAAAGTGGCCAGCGGCCAGGCGCAGTGGCTCACACCTTTAATCCCCAACACTTTGGGAAGCCAAGGCGGTTGGATCACCTGAGGTCAGGAGTTCGAGACCAACTTGGCCAACATGGCGAAACCTCATCTTCACTAAAAATACAAAAATCAACTGGGTATGGTGGCGCATACCTGTAATCCCAGCTACTAGAGGGGCTGAGGCTGGAGGATCACTTGAACCTGGGAGGTGGAGGTTGCAGCAAGCTCAGATTGTGCCACTGCACTCCAGCCTGGGCAACATAGTAAGACTCCATCTCCAAAAAAATAAAAAAAACTGCCAGGCAACAAACCAATGGGTGGAAGAGGGATTTATTCACTGTGTTCCACAAGGTCCAAAGTTAGAGATAGATGGCAGTTATAGGGAACCAATTTCCTCAGGTACAACCTAAGCATCTTCTCCTAACAGAGCCGTCCAAAAGGCAAAGTATGGCTCTGAGAAGACATGAGTCCTTGGCACCTGGCCCTCCGTCCCTGGCAGGGCCTGTGTTTGTTGAACTGCAAAAAGGCTGTGAGGACAGAGACTTGATGACATGGCAAGGTGGGTGTGCAGGGTTTGCTGCATAAGACGTGGGGAGCAGGCCCTTCCTCACTCTTCACCAAGATAACAAGAGGTGAGCAATGAAAATTGGGGGTACTGCTAGTAACACCATGCAGGTTGAACCTGGAAACCAGCAGAAGCACTGGGTAGGTGAAATCGGATCCTAGAAAGCTCATGAGCCGTAAGCAGGAGGGGGCAACCATGGGCTCCTGGGGTGGTTGTATGCAGGAAGAACTGAAGAAGGAGGCGGGAGGGGCCAGGGAGGCTGCACAGTTGTGATAACAGTAGGCACATCAGGGACCGGGGAGGTTTGGGGACCTGCTGCCTGAGGAAAGCTCAGGTTAGGGGCTGAAGGCCTAGGGGGACACAGAGATGGGAAGGGTTAGATTAGCTAGATTGTCTAGAGTTAGGGTTTCCCAAAGCCCAGCTCTTTGGGGCCTCTGCTCTCCCCACTACCTGCCCCTGGCTCCCTGGACACTTGAGAAGTTATACAATTAGCCTGATAGTAGAAAAAATACCTTTTTATTAATTATTAGGAATAATCCATTCATGTAATGCAGGATGTATGTTGGAGAAGGTTAAGTACAGCCACATGAATGAGGGGAAACGTGCAAGAGGAACAGTGGTGAGAAGGGGGATGGTCCCCCACTTTCCACAAACTATAAACAGCAACATGAACACAGAGAATCACAAATAAGAGGGTCTTTCCTCATGTCTCCTCTCACCCCATTCTTCCATAATGAGTCCCAGTTGGTCCCTAGAGGTGCCAGGGCATCTGGAAGTTCTGGGCTGGGAGTGGGGTGCAGTGAGTGGCCTCAAAGTTGTGCAGATGCTTCCGAGCCTGAGGAAAGGAGGTGGGACAGGTGGGGTACAGAGCACTGTTGGGAGGGGCAGCCACTGGACTCCCTCCCCACCCTCCACTTCCGCATCCACCACCCACTCTACAAAAGCTGCCACTTCCAATGCTTATAGGGTATCCCCAGTCCCCCTATGTGAGCCCTGGCCATTCAAGAACCCTTCCCACTTCCCACTCCTTAGCTCACCAGAAACAAAGCCAGCTGCCGCCGTCCATCTGCACTCATGTCCTCCCCTGCAGAGAGGAGGCGCTCAAAATAGGCCACACATCTGGGTATTCATCCCCTTCCTAGGCCCTTCCCACCCTCTCTCCTGCCCCAGGAGCTCCTTACCCACGCTCCAGGGGAAGTCGGGCCCGTGTTCTGCCTGGTAGGAGCGGAGGACAGACAGACACCAGTCCTCTTCCACCTCCCATCGGCTATAAATTGAGGCTGGTCAGGGAGAGAGATGACAGCCAGTCAGCAACCTGACCTTGCTGGGCCCCCGCCCCAAGCCTCACTGGATCCCTTCTCACCTTCCTCCAGCTGTGAGGAGGCCTCCAACCACTGCCTCACCACTCGAAGACCCTCCTCTGCCATCACCCGGGGATACCTACGGAGGAAGTGCCAGGACAGGTCAGGGCTGATTTTTTTTCATTCACCATCCCTGAACCTTCCTCCCTCCTTCCCTGTGCTGGTATCAGTATCTGTGTGTGTACACTGCCCCCAGCGCGCACACACCCTGGCTCTCACCGATGCTGCAGGAGCTTCAGCAGGAGGTCATTGCCTCGGTTGGACATGATGTCCTCAGGAACCCTGGGGGTGAGAAGAATGTACCCTGGAGGGGCTGGAGGTTAGGAGGAAGGGTCTAGATACCCAGGTTTCTGGTGGGCAGAGGTAGAAGGGACAAGTTCCTGGCCATCTCTGGGGTTCCTGAGGGCCGAGATTCCCACGCACTCACGTGGTGGTGATGATCTCATCCTTGGTTCTCCGGATCAGCAGTACAGGACCCTGGTATCTTCAGAGAACAGAGCAGTGGGAAGGGAGAGCTCAGAGGGAGACGGGTGACAACTGGCCCACCCCTATCCCTGCACTGGTAGCATTCTTACCCTCCCCTTGCTATAGCACAGCCCTTGACCTAGCCCTTCACTCAGGGGTGAGAGGGGATTATTTAAGGGGCATGGTTCAGTCTGGCCCTGCTGGGAGACCCCTGCCGTGCCAGGCCTTAACCCTTTGGTTGCCAGATCCTGAGGTGGTCCAGAGTCCCAGGGGACCTGGGAGGGGTTAGGCCAGTTGAGGTGGTGGCAGGGTCACTCAGGATGTGAGCCAGTGGCCTTTTACCAACTTGCACTTTAGTACTAGTTTCAGGGTTTGAGCGCCCAGCAGAGCTGTATGGGGGGCAGGTGTTCAATGCCGGACGCTGGCCGGCCCTCACCTGCACAGCTGCTCCGCGTTGTTTAGATTGAGATGCTGCCTCACGGTCCTGGTCACCAGGCCCCCTAGAGTGGGATAAAGGTGAAGGGATGGCAGAGACAAAGCCCTTGCCCAACATAAAGGTCCTCACTATTCACGGAGAAAGAAAACTGAGGCCCCCAGACAAAGGAGTCCTCCTGCTTCCAACAATGGGGCGACTTACTCCCCACCCAAGAAAAGGGAGCCATCTCAGAACAGTTCCCAGTTCCAGCCCACCCCTTCCCAGGAAGGGCAGGCCTGGGAGCTGCACTCACTCCAGCTGTCTGGCATGACCTTCAAGGCCAAGGGCACCAGGTCATCAAAGGAGGCATCCAGGATCATGGCACTAACATCTGGGTAGGACATGGCTGCCCACGTGGCTGGTACCAGGGCAGGGAAGAAGAGTAAGAACTGAGAAAGGCTCCTTTCTCCCCACCACCCATGCTCTCATCCCACTGACCCTATAGGCCAACCCCATTCCCCCTATGTTATCCCTTGTTTTTTTCTTAACCTACTTCACTTGGTTAGGGAACTATCTGGAGAGGATGGGGATAGAACACTGGAGATAGTGCACTGAAGATAATGGGCAGGAAACATTCACTTTCCCTGATCTCCCCACCCAGGACCTGGGTCTGCTTTTCCTTTTAATGACTGGGCACAAGAGGGGAAGGAAAGGTGAAGTGTATGCAAATAGGATAGCTTCTTCCAGGCCCACTCAGAGATTCTACTTCCTCTCTCTTCTTCCTTGAGCCTCCACCCCACCCCATTTCCCCACCTCTCCCGGGTGGGGCTGGGTGGTCATGAATGTGTCTACAGTGGGGGATGGGAGGGAGGCTGGTACCAGTGAAGCCGCCGATGGACCAGGCGTAGATGATGATGTCCTGGGGCTGGAAGCCTAGGCGGTGGATGGCAAACTGGACCACCACATCCATGGCATTAGCCTCATTCTGCGGGAATGGCACCCCCTGCAGGAGAAAGGGCAAAGTCAGGAGTGTGTCAGCACCAAAGGCCAGCTCACCTGTCCCTCCCAACGTGGACCCCTCCTGCAGCCACCTATGACAGGCAGAGAAGGTGTAGAAGGAAGGGATGGTAGGAGAGGTTGTTCTCTCCAGAAGACGGATGTGTACAATGAGATCTACCTCCTCCTCTCCTGCTAGCCCCGCACTGTGGGGATGGGGGCATGGCTCCCAATGCTGCCTTCACAACCTCCTAGACCCCAGCCCTCAGGTGAGTGGGACGCCTTCAAGAAATCCACAGCCCCTCTCCTCCCTCCAATGGCTGACCAGAGGGAAACAGACATAATTCAGGAAAAGGAAGGGATTCCTGAGATGGTCTCACCGTGCTTCCAGCAAAGCCTGGATGATTCCAGCCCAGGACTGAATATCCAGCTGTAACACAGGGGGAGGAGGGACTGAGACCTTGTGGCCCACAGCCCTTTCTCCATCCCTGGGGGAAGGAAGAGCAGAAGTACCCCCCAGCTTAGATGCAAATAACTCCAAGCCTTCCCAGAAATAGGAGATGACACCAGAGGTTCTGAGGCAGCACAGGGAGCAGCATGTGATTGTGTGGGGTGTGTGGTGGGGGAATGGAACAGAATGAAAAGCATAATAGCTAGGGACACAGGCCAGGGGAGGGATGTAAGGTTATCAAAGCAAATGGCGAGTGGACTTTTCCCTAAAGCTGAGAGACTCAAAACCTCACCCAGAGAAAGCAGAGGCCAGGGGAGGTCAGGTCAGTGTGGGAGGCAGGGACATTCCCTTTCAAAGGGCGGAGATAAGGAGGCTGAGTCACCGTCCTACCTTCCAGGGGCGTGGAGACGCAGCCCACCTCATAAAACCCAGCATTCCCCTCACAGCAGATCACCTAGGAAGGAGGCAGGAAGGAAGGGCTGGGGGGCCAAGTTGGGACTGAAAAACTCCCTTTGGGCAGGGAGGGCAGCCCATGAAGAGCTTTGCAGGGAAGAGGAAAGGGCAGGTTTCTGTTTTCTCCAAGGGGAATGGAAGCTTCTCATTCCACAGGGTCCATAAGAGGAGAAGCAAAGGGATTACAAATACTCCTCAGAGGCTGACCTGCTCGACCACCCAGCCATGTCTTTTCCTTGGAAGATTACCAGCTGGATCTCTTTCAGGAAGGGGACTATGGAGATGTTTTTCCTTTCTCGTTTTCGGGTCTGTTATCTTCTGTGACCATTGCTATTGTGTGGTATGCTGATTGCTCTCCCTATCCCTCTCTGAGCTCCAGTCTTATGGTCAGATAAACTGTAATGCCATGGCGCCCCAAGCTGAAACCCACGAATGGTGGGATTTGCATGAACTCTCATAACAGATGGGCAGAGCCAGGACTAGAACCCAGCTCCCTAGACTCCTGGCTTAGCGCTCTTTCCACGGCTGCTTCATGGAGGTAGGAGACTTTGAGGCCAGGCTGCCTGGGTCCAAATACCAGCTCTACCACTTACTGTGAGGTCCAGGAAAGGTTTTCTGTGCCCCAGTTTCATCTCCTGTAAAATGGGCTAATATAAGCAGTACCTATCTCACGGGATTCTTTTGAGAATTAAATATATATGCTTCATATATATATGAGAATTAAATATATATAAGTGTGAAGTGCTGTCAAAGTGGTAACTATTAATATTAGTTTCTCGTCCTTGAACGTCTCTCCTACTTCATCTGTTTCTCTATCACAGGGTTTCACTACATCACAAGGTCTTTAGCGTGGAGCTAGGACATGAGATTATCCCCAGTAGTGGTTCCTTCAGGGAGGTGCTATAGCATTGGGGTCCCCAGACCTCTACTGCCTTCCTCACACTCACCCCACCTCTGGGCTCTCTGCTCCCTCTTACCAGCTTCTGTCCCTGGGGCTCAGCTGTCCCCCGCCGGTCCACAAACATGGTGTCAATCTCATTGCCATCACAGGCCAGCAGCTTTGCCCGGCGCCCATTACACTGAGTACGGAAGACGCAATGGCCAAGATGCAAGGGTCAGGAGGCCACATCACAGGGGTGGGGCGGGGTGGGTGGGGGTGAGAGGGGAGGGCTTTAGGGGATGTGCGGGCAGGGAAGCCTCACCTCTTCCACCAGTCGGGCCTGGCCCTGCAGCAGCACAGGCATGAGGGCCTTCTGCAGCAGGTACACAGAGCCTGGATACAGCATCCGGCGCCCTAGGGTGTGCGCCACCAGGTAGCTGTGGGGAACACAGGTTAACAAACCCCAACCCTGTTGAGGCCTGGGGACTGTGCTGGGGACCATCCCAGCCCTAGCACTCACAGACTGTAAGGCCTGCTTTACCCCTGACCTTCACAGCTTTACTTTCCTCTTTCAAGCCTTAATGAAATATGTACCAGGCTAGTGTTTTGCAAACTTTTCTTACTGCAACCTTTGTAAGATAAACATTTTATATTGTGGCTCAGTGCACACATATCCTGTATGTACAGAATTCTGAGAGTTTTATGATGTAACTGTCTATACATAATAAGTAAATGCAAAGTTATCATCAGATTATGATTCTGTTAAAATATAAGTACAACATATTAAAGGTCCCCAAATAAATAATGCTTTAAAAAATGATGGTTATAATTCAAAACCTCAAATATGGCTTGCCTCCCTGACTAATTAGCACACTGTCAACAACCAACCACTAAGTCCACCCTGTTCCTTGGTATTCTAGAAGCTGCCTCCTAACTCCCAGCAAAAGAAAATTCCCAGTGTCTGTTCCACTATAAGATATAGGTGGTTATTTCCGTTCCTTCTGACATCATCAGTACCCACGACTGAGCTTTATTTGGGATTTACCATGTGCTCTCAAGCACCCAGGCAAGGCAGGAGCCCTTCAGAACATGTTACCTTACTTAATCTCCTCAGCAACCTTGCAGGGCAGGTTCATCACAGGTGCAGACACTGAGGCACACAGGGGCCCGGAGCCAAGGTGGAATAACAACAGGGCAGAGGGGCCACGATGGGTACACAGATGCTACCAGAGCCTGCCCTAGCTACAAGTGTGTGTCCTCCCCACCCCCACCCCACCCCCACTGCTCCTTTTCAGCCTCACTGAAGGAGCTTTTGTTCATATCCCAGTTCTTTACTTACTACATTTGAGACTCCAGACCTCTCTGAGCCTCTTTTCTTCAAACATAAATATGGATAAAAATGACTTTGCCATAAATGATCTACACAAACCATACAGCACTAGGCCCAATGAGTGACAGCTATTTTACAATGGAGCGCCCACTCCCAGAGCACTCCTGAAATGGCCCCTCCACCCCAGTGGGCCTCTCCTCGCTGCTGTTTCCCACCTGGTGATCTGACAAGGCAGCTTCTTAACCCGGTTGAGGAGGGTGTCTGCTGTCCCCCGGTGCAGGGGCTCTGGGCGAAGCAGGGCCACACCCCGGCGGGAAGGGCCCCCTCGAGACTCCTTCCTGAGGAAGGGAAAGATGCAGGGAAGGATAGGGTCAGGAGCAGCAAGCTGGATGTCTGAGGTCTGGAGAACAGTGGGGTCTAGGAACGACATAATGGCATTGGAAGGCAGGCACTGTGACCTGAGAGGGCATGGAGGTGGGAGGGCAGAGCAGAGATTTTCTGGAATGGTTCTAAGGGGAGAGATACAGCAAAAGAACTGGGGCCTCACCGGCTGCTGGGTTCTTCCCAGTGGAAGTCGACTGGCCAGCTCCGGAAGTCAAAGTTGTAGTTGGCAAGCTGCCTCTGCAGTGGGCACGAGAGGCAAAGGGGTACTGAGAACTCAGGGGAGGCTCTCCTACCCACCCTCAACAACACCTTCGTTATCCAGGGGTCTGATCCCCACACATCATGGGGAAACCAAGCGGAGGTCAATACCCTCCCAATTCTCAGATGGAAAATTCTAACAGGACCAGAAAATCAGGGGAGATGGTATGCCCCATCAGGTATCAGGACTGGCCTGTCTGCCCTCTTCCAAGCTAAGAACCTAACACTCTGCTTTTCTAAAAAACTAAGTCTGACCCATCCCCAGGAGGAGTGGCTGAAGGTGCTAGTGCTTTTGAGTGACGGGTAGTAGGGGTCGCTGGCTGGTCACGGTCTATTCCCCACCTGGGTCCCTTATAGGGTGCTGTCTTAGAAGCTTAGAAATCTCCCAGCAGATCACACTGACAGACCCAAGGTTGAGTGAGACAGAGAGGAGGGAAGTCACGCCCACAGTGGGCTCCTCTGCCATGTGGGGCCACCCGTTGAAGGAAGCTCTGACTTCCATCCTCACAACTACATCCCTTCCTCAACTCCTGCAGCCATGGATCAGTGTTGCCCTACAGCCCATCCGAACCTCGGGCCACCCCACTGAGCCAGTCCACATGCCTTTTTTTTTTTTTTTGAGGCAGGGTCTCGTGCTGTTGCCCAGGCTGGAATGCAGTTGGTGCAATCATAGCTCACTGCAGCCTCAAACTCCCAGGCCCAAGTGATCCTCCTACCTTAGCCTCTGGAGTAGCTGGGACTACAGACATGTGCTACCATGCCCAGCTAATTTTTAAAATTTTCTTTAGAGACAAGGTCTTACTATGTTGCCCAGGCTGGTCTCCAACTCCTGGGCTGAAGCGATCCTCCTGCCTTGGCTTCCGAAAGTGCTGGGATTATAGGCATGAACCACCTCACCAGCTCCACGTTTTTTGACGGCAGTGGGAGCTGTGTCTTTTTTTTTTTTTTTTTTTTTGAGATGGAGTCTCACTCTGTCGCCCAGGCTGGAGTGCAGTGGCACGATCTCGGATCACTGCAAGCTCTGCCTCCCGGCTTCACGCCATTCTCCCGCCTCAGCCTCCAAGTAGCTGGGACTACAGGTGCCTGCCACCACCATGCCCGGCTAATTTTTGTACCTTTAGCAGAGATGGGGTTTCACCATGTTAGCCAGGATGGTCTTGATCTCCTGACCTCGTGATCCACCCGCCTCGGCCTTCCAAAGTGCTGGGATTACAGGTGTGAGCCACCGCGCCCGGCCTAGCTGTGTCTTAATACTTGACTATATTCGTCCCCCACCCCCTGAGCTCCTAGCACTCTATTTTGAGGGTTTTTATTTTCTGCACAGAAATTTTTTGACATTTCAAAAATAATTTGACTAACAGAGAGCAATAGAAAAATTATACAAAAAGGTAAATGGCAAAACAAAACAAGATGACTAAAAGCAAATTTCAGGCAGGCTTTGCTCAGACCTGCTCTCAAATCTGGACTTAGCCACTTTCTTGCTCTATGACTCCGAATGGGTCACTTAACCTCTTTTTGCCTCTGTTTTCTCACATTTACAAATAAAGGTAATAATGCCACCTCACTCAGCTGTTGTGAGGATCAGAAAGGGTGTGTGCCAAATGCTTCAGCCAGTAGCATAGTACAGGGCATCATTACGCAGCTCCATAGTGTGGAGTAGCCAGGAATGTGATGATGGTGGTCATAGCTGTTTGATCCTAGAAACCTCCCATAACAGAAAAGAGCTCTATGGGGCCCCAAAGCCCATCCTCAAAGATAATCACAGTCCAGCACCAGCCGGCTTGGCATAATTCCCAAGACACTGAGCCCTAGCTTTTCTCCCTCCTGGCACCATGCTGTACTCCCAGGCATAGGAGTGGACACACCTGTCCACCTTGTCCCATCCACAAACAAGGATAGCATGGTATTCAATGCATACAACAAAATTAAACATTTATAGAACTGAGCTGCTGTGATACAGAGAAAACTACCTTCTAAGAAACATTGTGGGCTGGGTGCAGTGGCTCACACCTGTAATCCCAGCACTTTGGGAGGCCAAGGCAGGTGGATCACCTGAGGTCAGGAGTTTGAGACCAGCCTGACCAACACAGCTAAACCCCATCTCTACTAAAAATACAATATTAGCTGGGCGTGGTGGCGCATGCCTGTAATCCCAGCTACTTGGGAGGCTGAGGCAGGAGAATCGCTTGAACCCAGGAGGCGGAGGTTGCAGTGAGCTGGAATCATGCCATTGCACGCCAGCCTGGGCAACAAGAGCGAAACTCCATCTCAAAAGAAAAAAAAAGAAACACTGTGGGCCAGGCACAGTGGCTCACACCTATAATCCCAGCACTTTGGAAGGCCAAGGCAGGCAGATCGTCTGCAGTCAGGAGTTCAAGACTAGCCTGGCCAACATGATGAAACCCTGTCTCTGCTAAAAATACAAAAATTGGCCAGGCACGGTGGCTCACGCCTGTAATCCCAGCACTTTGGGAGGCCGAGGCAGGCGGATCACAAGGTCAGGAGATCAAGACCATCCTGGCTAACATGGTGAAACCCCGTCTCTACTAAAAATAAAAAAATTAGCCGGGCGTGGTGGCAGGCGCCTGTAGTCCCAGCTACTCAGGGGGCTGAGGCAGGACAATGGCATGAACCCGGGAGGCCGAGCTTGCAGTAAGCTGAGATGGCGCCACTGCACTCCAGCCTGGGCGACAGAGTGAGACTCCGTCTCAAAAAAAAAAAAAAAAAATTAACTGGGCGTGGTGGTGTGCACCTGTAATTCCAGCTACTCAGGAGGCTGAGGCATGAGCATTGTTTGAACCCGGGAGTTGGAGGTTGTAGTAAACTGAGATTGTACCACTATACTCCAGCCTGAGTAAGAGTGAGACTCTGTCTCAAAGAAGAAAAAAAAAAAAAGAGGCCAGGAGTGGTGGCTCACGCCTGTAATCCCAGCACTTTGGGAGGCTGGGGCAGGCAGATCGCCTGAGGTCATGAGTTGGAGACCAGCCTAGCCAACATGGTGAAACCCCGTCTCTACAAAAAATACAAAAATTAGAGGGTGTGGGTGGTGCGTGCCTGTAATCCTAGCTACTCAGGAAGCTGAGACAGGAGAATCACTTGAACCTGGGAGGTGGAGAGTGCAGTGAGCCGAGATCGTGCCATTGCACTCCAGCCTGGGCAACAAGAGCGAAACTCCATCTCAAAAAAAAAAAAAGAAAAAGAAAAAAGAAACATTGTGGAATGTTTCTAGTTTAGCCAGTTCTTACAGGTGAGGGAGGGGGAAGATTGTTCTAGCAGAATATTCCATTAGAAGTGGTAGGGAGGAAAAATTCCTCAGGTGGACAGTTCACTAATGGAGGTGAGAAGGGATACAGCAATGTGCAAGCAAACACCCAGTGTGGTGGGTGGTAAAACACACCTCCTCTTCCTGCAGAAGCCAGTGTCTGGTGCTCTGAGGGACAACTGAGAAAGCTGCTATTGGGTGCCTGTGTGGCACTTTTCCTAGGGCCTCTCACCTTGTTTTCTGAAGACTGGTTCCGATGTGTTGCTTCCAAGATGGTGATGAACTGCCGGTACTGGGGGTTGGTCCAGCGGCCAATGCCTGGTAGAAAAAGGACAGGAAACAGTGCTAGGAAAACTGGGAAGCAGAAAGCCTAGGTTTTAGGAAAAGAATTGGAGATGGGCTAGAAGAAGGCCCTGTAAGAAAAAGTGAAAGAAAAAGGAACTGAGGGCATAGGATGCGGAGAAATAGATGTGAGCCAACCCCCTTCCTCCAAATCCAGCAACTGGCTACAGGACGCTTCTTCTCCCTAGCTTCTGCAGTTTGTGTCTTTATAGACAATCCTTAACCTACCATCTTCCAGAATGTTCCTCTTCCTCAGTCTTTAAACACTGTCATATAACCTATTAAATGACACTATTAAACACTATCATATAATACTATTCTCCCTTGCGAATATCAAATTTCTCTATTTTTCACTGCCATTCTTCTCCAATGTTTGCTTTCTGCCTCTTTTCTGTATATTCTAGCCCCTTGCCATCTGGCTTCAGAGTCTCCGACTCCTGCCCATAATTACTTCCTCACTGAATTCCTGACTCTTCTATCCTCATTCTCTTCAACTGTACTACTCAGCATTCTCCCTGTCCCTCAAGATTCTTCCTGCCTCTGCTTCCTGGGCCCATCCTTGACTCCTTCCAGTTCCTGAACAGTTCCTCTCCTGCCTCCTTTCTGCTTTCCTTTCTGAAGCAGAAGCAACTCTCAGTGCTGACTCTCTCTCCTCTCTCTTTTCACTTACACAGTCAGTGATTGCATCCACTCTCCTTTCACTGCTGAGCCACCTCAAACCCTAACTTCTCTCCTCACTGACTTGGCAGGTGTCGTGTGTCAGACAGGCACCGTACTACACACGGGAGACTCAGCAGGAAATGAGATACACAGCTCCTGGCTCTCAGAGAGCTGGCATTCTGGTTGGGGTTAGGTACAGCCAGGAGAAGACAATAAACAACATTTCAGAGAGGGATAAGTGCTACAGAGAAAATACAACAAGAATGAACCAGAACTTTATGTGTCATCAATGGTATTCCCCCAAAACGATATGATGAGAGAATGATGTGTGCTGCAGAATGATTTGTACAACATTTATGCCAAAAATGTAAAATGTGCAAAATAATACATACTGCTTATAGATACCATATTTCATAGATTCTAAAATGTATATTTTTTAACCCTTGAAAACTCTGAAATTAGAATTCATTTTACAATTGATGGCAGCTTAGACTTGAGGAACTGAGGTATATGTTTCATAAAAGTATGTGCCAGAAAAAAAAAAAACCCACACCAAATGACAATTATTACTTCTGAGGAAAGAGGAAGATGGGACTGAAAGGATTCCAATGGGAACTCCAACCCTAACTGTGGTGCTTTAGTATTTTGTTGACAGAAAGCATTTAAAGCAAATATCACAAAACTATATATAAAAAAAAAATCACAAAACTATACATCAAAAAATTTAAAAAGGCTTTTATATTTTGTTCTCTGGACTTTTCTGTATTTTTTCTTTTTTCTTTTTTTTGAGACAGTTTTGCTCTTGTTGCCCAGGCGGGAGTGCAATGATGTGCTCTCGGCTCACTGCAACCTCCGCCTCCCGGGTTCAAGTGATTCTCCTGCCACAGCCTCCCAAATAGCTGGGATTACAAGCGCCCGCCACCATGCACAGCTAATTTTTTCTGTATTTTTTCTAAATTAAAAATAAATAAAATAAAAAACTAAGACAAAACTGAGCAGTGGGAGCTACTTTTAGACAGGGTGGTCAGGGAAGGCCTCTCTGAGGAGAGAGCCCAGCCCTGCAGAGATCAGGGGGCAGAACACCTCAGGCAGAAGGTCCTGGACCCAACTGCGACCATCCAGCCCTGACCCCACCACCCCCATGTTGAAGCATCGCCCATCACCTGGTTGTCATCTTATGTACCCACTAGGGGTAGGTGATCTGTCCTCTTTATTTTTTTAAATTGCGAGATACAACATATGTACATAAAACATATATTCAGTTTAAAAAATACAAAGCAAACATTCATGTGACTATCACCTAGGTCAACAAAGAGAACACAGCCACCTCTCAGCAGGGCTCTCCCCCACTCTGTTCTCCCCCACCCCAGGTAATCACTCTCCTAACTTTTGAGAAAACCATGCCCTTGCTGGGCGCGGTGGCTCAAGCCTGTAATCTCAGCACTTTGGGAGGCCGAGGCGGGTGGATCACGAGGTCAGGAGATTGAGACCATCCTGGCTAACACGGTGAAACCCCATCTCTACTAAAAAATACAAAAAAACCTAGCCGGGTGTGGTGGTGGGCGCCTGTAGTCCCAGCTACTCGGGAGGCTGAAGCAGGAGAATGGCGTGAACCCGGGAGGCGGAGCTTGCAGTGAGCCGAGATCGCGCCACTGCACTCCAGCCTGGGGGACAGAGCGAGACTCCGTCTCAAAAAAAAAAAAAAAAAAAAAGAAAACCATGCCCTTGTTGTCTTCGGTGTTCTACCTCAAACATGCACATCCCTTTTGAATTTTATATAAATGAAAACATACTGCATACATTATTTTGTGGTTAGCTTCTTCTATTTAACACAACATTTGAGAAATTCATCTGCATTGCTTTTGTTTATCTGGAGACAGAGTCTCGCTCTGTCACCCAGACTGGAGTGCAGTGGTGCTATCTTGGCTCACTGCAACCTCTGCCTCCCAGGTTCAAGCAGTTCTCATGCCTTAGCCTCCCAAGCAGTTAAGACTATAGGCATGTGCCACCATGCCCAGTTAATTTTTTGTATTTTATTTTTTCTGAGATGGAGCCTTGCTCTGTTGCCCAGGATGCAGTACAGTAGCGCAATCTTGGCTCACTGCAACCTCTGCCTCTTGGATTCAAGCAATTCTACTGCCTCAGCCTCCCGAATAGCTGGGATTACAGGTGCTCACCACCATACCTGGCTAATTTTTTTTTGTATGTTTAGTAGAGACGGGGTTTCACCATGTTGGACAGACTGGTCTTGAACTCCTGACCTCTGGTGATCTGCCTGCTTCAGCCTACCAAACTGCTAGGATTACAGGCATGAGCCACTGCACCTGGCTTCATCTGCGTTGTTGAGCGTAGCTACAGTTTGTTCATTTGCATTGCTATATAGTGTTCTCTTGCATGGCTATTGCATGGAACTTTTTTTTTTTTTTGAGACGGAGTCTTGCTCTGTTGCCCAGGATGGAGTGCAGTAGCGCAATCTCGTCTCACTGCAACCTTTGCCTCCCAGGTTCAAGCTATTCTCCTGCCTCAGCCTCCTAAGTAGCTGGGATTACAGGCACGTGCCACCATGCCCAGCTAATTTTTGTATTTTTGGTAGAGACGGGGTTTTACCATGTTGGTCAGGCTGGTCTCAAATTCCTGACCTCGTGATCCACTGGCCTCTGCCTCCCAAAGTGCTGGGATTACAGGCATGAGCCACCACACCCGGCCACACAGAACATATTTTATCCATCCTACTATTTGTAGCCACTGGAGTTGTTTCCAGCTTAGGATTATTACAAACAATGTTGTATGCTGTATTCTTGTACATCTATATTGTTTATACATGTGCAGGAGTTTTCCTAGTATGTATACATATATAGAATTGTTGTAGGGTATATGCATCTTTTCTAGATAAAAGCAGCCAGGCATAGTGGCTCACATCTATAATCCCAGTACTTCGGGAGGCTGAGGTGGGAGGATCACTTTGAGTTCAGGAGTTTGAGACCAGCCTGGACAACATGGTGAGACCCTATCTCTTAAAAAAAAAAAAGCAAACCTTTTTGTTACTTTTCAGTTATTTTTTCATATTTATAACCCAAGTCTTTTAAGGAAAAGATCATGCCTTAAACCATTCTCAATGATTCCCTCTCGGAGGCCCATCACTAAAATGTATTTGCACAAGGTACTTAATTTTTAACCAGTGACAGTGACAGATAAGATTCAAACCAGGTTTCCTCTCCACCTACCTCGGAGGCAGGCCACACCTGCCAGAAGTAGCAGCAATGTCCCAGCATAGTGAGAAAACGGCACCACTTTGGACAAACTCAAGTAACCTGGGAAGGGAGAGGGACAATGTGAGACCCTCTCCGCAATGTCCCTCAGCTCCTCTTCCCAGTTCAGCCCCAACCTCCACCCCACACTCCCTGTTTGGAACAGCCATACCCTAAGAGGAAGAAGATGCCTGATGGAAGAGGGAAGCCAAGCCATCTTCACAGGTCCCCTCTCCTCTTTAGGGAGCTGGCTCATCTGCCAACAACCTGCCCATTTGCTACCCCACCACCTTTGAAACCACACTGACCTTTCCTGTACAAGTAGAAGAAGGCGAAGGGAGAGGAGTAATAAGAGATGGACCAGAATACTGAAGCCTGCAGCAGAGAGACAGGGACAGGCAATCAATACACACACACACACACACCTGCCATTCCAGGCATATACTATACACTCTGAGCAAGATGGACAACCTGAGGGATATCATATCATATTTGGTGTATGACACCATGAATACAGTAGGTGCTCAGTATTTGTTGAAAAGTAGTGTGTCAATGTAATGGAGGCTGGGAAAATTTGGTACAGGCTCTATTTTCTTCCTCTGGAATTATGGAAGAATTATGTCTTCCATCTCCAGACATAATTCCATCACATTTAAAGGCAGTCTCTCTGTCTACTCAAGTTAATCAAGCCTTTTCAATTGGCCCTGCTCAGGACAGCCCCTGGCCTGGTCCCCAAGAGATGCGCAAACGTCACCACAGGAACTGTGCCAGAAAGAACAGCTGTCCCTGCAGCCAAAGAGGTTAGTTGCCAGGGAGGACAGGTCACTGGGGAACTGCAGGACTTAGCACCTGCAGATGGTCCCAAGAGTAAACATGTTTTCCTTACGGCTCAGGTTGCCCCCAGAGAAAGCAGTGCTACATACCAAAGGGGAGTGCCAAGTATGCACATTTAGAGTGTGCCTGTGTGTCTGTGTTGGAGAGGTCTGCTGCAGAGCCCAGGGCATCCCCCAACCCCAGGGCACTGTTGCTCCCAAGTTAGGGAGGGCTAAGTTCAAGAGGACAGGTGGGTCTGAAAGATGCAGAGTCCCAGATGCCAGGGTAGACATACCAGTGCCAGGATGCTGTCAGCATGTTTCTCCAGGGCACGGGGCTGATAGTACGTATCCTGCCAAAACAGATGGCCTCCTTAAGGACCCTGCCCACTGGCAGGTCCTTTCCCTTCCCTTTCAGAAGCCCTGCTGTGTGTCCTCTGGTTCTAGTCTCGTTGACTATCTCTCTTGAAACATCCCTGGCCCCCACAGAAACTCCTCTTCCTCACCCTCACTCTGAACCTAATTTCCCACCCCTGACCATGGGAACAAACACAGGGAGCTGGATTTGGAAGCAAAAGTGAAAGCAGCATTGGACGATTTTTGCTCCTTTTCCACAGCCTAGTTTCAAATGGATTGCAGGCGCGTGCATGTGGGGAGAAGGGTTAGTTTGAGAAGAAAGAAAAGACACCTAGACAATCTAAGAAGGAAAGAAAAGCATCAGAAATAAGAGTAGTTGACTAAGAAGAGAATGTGGGTAGGAGCGGGCAGTTTGTAGGAGACAGTAACACAATGAGACAACTGATAAAAAGGAAGAGAATATTTAGAACAGCCTACCACCACCCGCCAGCTCTCCAGAATACAATGACTCGGGTCTCCAGGCTAGGTTGGGCGGGGGTTGAGGGGAGGACCGACGGATACAGGATCTGTAAAAGTCATTCTGAAATTCAAGGCGAGGGTAAAGGGAAGATAAAAACAGAGCCGGGGGAGGCATGAAGAGGCACTGAAGAAGAGGAAACTGGGAGTCTGACAGCAAAATTCAACGGCTCCCCAGTCCGCGCAGGGTCTCTTCCCGGGACTCAAGACTCAACTGGGACCGGCACGAACCACGACACACAGGGTCGGGGGGACGCGGAGAGGAAAGAACAAAGAGTGGCAGTCGGAATGAGAAAGCGGTAAAGAGCGAAAAAGAAAGGAGGCGGCCAGTCCGTAGGCGTGACTTTAACTCAGGAAGCACACAGAGCGCAGATTTTGCGGATAACTGGCTTGACAAGCAGGCTCCCCTTATTTCCCATTATGGGCACTTCTGGGGAGCAAAAGGCCGTAAAGGGTTTGGACTGTACCACGTTCTTCGGTGGGGAGGAACTCGACTCACCCAGGAGCTGGAATGGGGGGCAGTGACTGCCGTTGGCGTCTCAGGGACGCTGGCCGGGGCCCTTTCAGAGTCCCTCTCCCGGTAGATTTTGTAGAGCCGGGGGCCTAGGACGCAGCTCAGCAGCTTCGCCATGGCCCCGGCTCGGGCCGCTGCTCTTCCAGCAGCAGGTCCCCCTGCCGGCCCCGCCCTCCCTGCCTCTGAGGTGTTGTGTGCCCTTGACGTCAGCCCGTACCGGCTCCGCCTCCGGGCGAGTTGCGACATTTTCAGTGCTTCCTGAGAAGAGTTTCGCGCAGTTGGAGCTACGGGTACAGCAGTGGTCCGAAACTAGTGGAAGACCACTAGAACGCGGAGAATCAGAAAATTACCGGGCATGGTTCAATAATTTTTTTCTGTCTCATTATTGGCAGACTCTAGAGCGACAGCGGAAACGAGGGGTGAGATTAGGAGTACTTGATAAGAGTAACCGAAAACATAAGGTGTCTAGGAATGTATCTAGTACAAGAAATGCAAGGTTTTATGAAGAAAACTATAAAAAGTTATTGAAAAGGCAAACTGGCCCGGCCCGGCGCAGTGGCTCACGCCTGTAGTCCTAGCACTTTGGGAGGCCGAGGCGGGGGGATCACTTGAGGCCAGGAGTTCGAGACCAGCCTGGCCAACATGGTGAAACCCCATCTCTACTAAAAATACAAAAATTAGCCTGGCATGGGTGGTGCGCGCCTGTAATCCCAGCTACTCGGGAGGCCGAGACGCGAGAATCGCTTGAACGCGGGAGGCAGAGGTTGCAGTGAGCCGAGATCTTCCCACTGCACTTCAGCCTTGGTGACAGAGCAAGACTCTGTCTCTAAATAAATAAATAAAGGTAAACTGGCCCAGCGCGGTGGCTCACGCCTGTAATTCCAACACTTTGGGTGGCCGAGGGATGATTGCTTGCGTCCAGGAGTTCCAGGCCATGGCTCATGCCTGTAATTCCAACACTTGGGGTGGCTGAGAGAGGATTGCTTGCGCCCTGGAGTTCCAAGCCAGCCCAGGCAACATAGTGAGACCCCATCTCTACACAAAATACCAAGGGGGAAAAAAAAAAGACCTAGCAGGGTGTGGTGGTGCCCACCTGTAGTCCCAGCTACTTGGGAGGCCAAGGTGGGAGGGTCGCTTGAGCCCGGGAGTTTGAGATCGCTCCATGCACTCCAGCCTGGGTGACAGAGCCAGACCCTGCCTCAAAATAATAACAATAATAATTGAAAAAATAAAAAAAGAAAGAGGTAAACGAAAAGCTTTTCAATAAATGGAAAGCTACACCATGGTCCTGGATACGAAAATTCAGCACAGTAAGATATGCGGAATATTTGTAAAAAGAAAATAAATGAATCATTACTGTTATGCATGAACTGGATCTTAAAACCATGATGCTGAGTGAAAATAGAAAGCCACAGAAGAATGTATACGTGATACTAGTATATTAGATTCAAAAACACATAAAATTTAATGATAAAGCAAGTGGAGAAGAAAGAGAAAATTCAGAATTGTGGTTACACAGCATAGAGGATCTCTGACTGAAACGGAATATTCTTTTTTTCTGTTTTTTTTTTTTTTTTTTTTTGAGACAGGGTCTAGCTCTTTCACCCAGGCTGGAGCACAGTGGCACAATCACGGCTCACTGCCCTGATCCTCCACCTGCTGGGCTCAACCATCTTTCTGCCTCAACCTCCTGAGTAGCTGGGACTATAGGCCCACACCACCATACTCGGCTAATTTTACAAGGTCTCACCATGTTGCCCAGGCTGGTCTCGAACTCCTGGGCTCAAGTGAACCTCCTGCTTTGGCCTCACAGAGTGCTGGGATTACAGGCATGAGCCACTGTGCCTGGCCTGGAATATTCTATTTCTTTTTCTTTTTTTTTTTTCGAGACCGAGTTTCGCTCTTATTGCCCAGGCTGGAGTGCAATGGCCCGATCTCGGCTCACCACAACCTCTGCCTCTGGGGTTCAAGCGATTCTCCTGCCTCAGCCTCCCAAGTAGCTGAGATTACAGGCATGTACCACCATGCCCTGCTAATTTTTTTATTTTTAGTAGAGATGGGGTTTCTCCATGTTGGTCAGGCTGGTCTTGAACTCCTGACCTCAGGTGATCCGCCTGTCTCATCCTCCCAAAGTGGTGGGATTACAGGCATGAGCAACCGAGTCCGGCCTGGAATATTCTATTTATTTATTTATTTATTTATTTATTATTTATTTATTTTTTTGAGACGGAGTCTCGCTCTGTCACCAGGCTGGAGTATAGTGGCATGATCTCTGCTCACCGCAGCCTCTGCCTCCTGAGTTCAAGCGATTCTCCTGCCTCAGCCTCCTGAGTAGCTGGGACTACAGGCATCCACCACCACACTCAGCTAATTTTTGTATTTTTAGTAGAGACAGGGTTTCACCATGTTGGCCAGGATAGTCTCGATCTCTTGACCTCGTGATCCGCCTGCCTCAGCCTCCCAAAGTGCTGGGATTACAGGCGTGAGCCACGGCGTCTGGCCTTTATTTTCAGAGTTGGGGTCTTGCTCTGTTGCCCAACCTCAAACTTCTGGCTTCAATCAACCCTCCCACCTTGGCCTCCAAAAGTGTTAGGATTGTAGACATGAGCCACCATGCCTGGCCAGGCTTCTTTTACTCTCATTATATTGTGAGATTCAACTTTGTTGCAAATCACTAGGTTTGTTCATTCTCATTGCTGTCCAGTCTTCTACTCTGTTAAGCATTTATCCATTATATAGTTGTACTTCATATAGTTTTTGGTATGTATGGAATATTTCATCAAAATAATTTTAAAAATAAATAAATTACACATTAAAACTGTAATAACTGCATGAAGATCTGCCTTAGGAGTTTTTGCCGTTCAGAAGGATGAATCAGCCCGTTAGCCTTGTCCCTGAGTAATAATTTAATACACTTATTAGGGTTTCAGGAGAGGTCCGGGGTATGCCAGACAACCACAGGGAAAGTCATTCCAAATCATTTACGGGACACTGACTCGATACACAGTCTTGTGCTGGGTTCTGTGGAGGACCAACATAAAAACTCAAACTCAGTTTCTTCACTCATAGCTGACATTTCTTTTCTTTTCTTTTCTTTTTCTTTTTTTTTTTTTTTTTTTTTTTTTTTGAGATGAAGTCTCGCTCTGTCTCCCAGGCTGGAGTGCAGTAGCACGATCTCGGCTCACTGCAACCTCCACCTCCCGGGTTCAAGCGATTCTGGTGCCTCTCAGCTTCCTAAGTAGCTGGGATTACAGGCACATGTCACCACGCCTGGCTAATTTTTGTATTTTTTGTAGAGACAGGGTTTCGCCATGTTGGCCACGCTGGTCTCGAACTCCTGACCTCAAGTGATCCACCCAACTCATGGCTGACCTTTCTTAGGAGTGAAAGAGACCTCAGAATGTACTTCCAGACTGACAAGAGCTAGACAGGCAGGACCACTTCTCTGCATGGTTTTTTGCATGGAAAGTCTTTATTTGAGCCCCTTAGCTGATGTGGAATCAGAAGAGCAAAAAGGTCATCTTCAGAGTGGCCTGGGCTGGGTCCTTTTCTCTCCAGGATAGAAAAGTGGTGGTCACTTTATCCCTAGTAGACATGCTGCTGGGCTTTATCGCCCCAGCATTCCCATCCCCTCCAGAGCCCCTTGTCACTCCAGACCAGCGAGTGTGGGCCTTTATCTGGACTCTGCTTCCTCCCTGGGGACACCAGGTCTTGGAGCAAGAGAACTTGGCAGGCTCTCCCCATGGCAGTCTTATTCCTCCTCCTGTTCCTATGTGGAACTCCCCAGGCTGCAGGTAAGGGGCAAGAGGTACGGGATTCCTTAGCTATTTGCAAGGTTGGGGAGGGACTACTGCTCTTTCTCCTAGGAGCCTGGCGAAGGCATCTGACTCAAGAAGATAGAATTACCCCAACCAACCTCCTCCTGCCTCTGACACTAGGGAAGACCCAGAGGCAACGAGGGTCCAGGTTATGCAGTTTCCTTTATAAAATAAGAAGAATGAGTAAATGCTTCCAGAAAAGTAGAAATGAGTAGAAGAGATGTGGGCATTTGCCAACTTTCAGCCTTTTCCCTCTTGCCCTCAGACCCCCTCACTGGCTGGGGGAGAGAGGAGGAAAGCCCTTACCCTCTTCTCTCCACCTGTCTTATTTTTGTAGCTGTCACTTGAGAAATGTGGTCACCAGCCAGGCCTGTGCTGGGGGACCCCAGAAGGGAAGGAAGCCAGGGTTGAAGATCAAATGGGGGGTTATTGATCTGATGGAGGTCTCTGGCCTCATACAACCCTCTTCCCACAGACAACATGCAGGCCATCTATGTGGCCTTGGGGGAGGCAGTAGAGCTGCCATGTCCCTCACCACCTACTCTACATGGGGACGAACACCTGTCATGGTTCTGCAGCCCTGCAGCAGGCTCCTTCACCACCCTGGTAGCCCAAGTCCAAGTGGGCAGGCCAGCCCCAGACCCTGGAAAACCAGGAAGGGAATCCAGGCTCAGACTGCTGGGGAACTATTCTTTGTGGTTGGAGGGATCCAAAGAGGAAGATGCCGGGCGGTACTGGTGCGCTGTGCTAGGTCAGCACCACAACTACCAGAACTGGAGGGTGTACGACGTCTTGGTGCTCAAAGGTGAGTGGGGGCATGCAGACCAGGGGCTACTGTGGCCCAGGAAGTCCAGGTGAAGAACTGAGGAATCCCTCTCTCCCCTACAGGATCCCAGTTATCTGCAAGGGCTGCAGATGGATCCCCCTGCAATGTCCTCCTGTGCTCTGTGGTCCCCAGCAGACGCATGGACTCTGTGACCTGGCAGGAAGGGAAGGGTCCCGTGAGGGGCCGTGTTCAGTCCTTCTGGGGCAGTGAGGCTGCCCTGCTCTTGGTGTGTCCTGGGGAGGGGCTTTCTGAGCCCAGGAGCCGAAGACCAAGAATCATCCGCTGCCTCATGACTCACAACAAAGGGGTCAGCTTTAGCCTGGCAGGTAAACTGAGGAAGGAGACGGAAAGGGATGTTCTTTCACTTCAGCCTCCCAAGTAGCTGGAATTACAGGCGCCCGCCACCATGCCTGGATAATTTTTTGTACTTTTAGTAGAGACGAGATTTCACCATTTTGGCCAGGCTGGTATCAACCTCCTGACTTCTAGTGATCTGCCTGCCTCAGTCTCCCAAAGTGCTGGGATTATAGGCATGAGCCACCGCACCTTTAAATTTTTTGTAGAGACAGGATCTTGCTATGTTGCCCAGTCTGGTCTCAAACTACTGGCCTCAAATGATCCTCCTATCTTGGTCTCCCAAAGTGCTGGGGTTACAGGCATGAGCCATCACATCTGGCTATTTTTTCTTGAAAGAAAGGGTGAATTACTATAAAGGGTGTGAGGGGAAAGTGTGGTTATGGCTGGTGGTCTGCTCTGTAGTTGGTTGCCCATGCGTGAGCAGGGGGCATTGCCATTCTCTACTTTTTATTTTATTTTATTTTATTTTATTATTATTAGGCCAGGCATGGTAGCTCAATCCTGTAATCCCAGCACTTTGGGAGGCCGAAGCAGGCGGATCACTTGAGGTTGGGAGTTCAAGACCAGCCTGACTAACATGGAGAAATTCTGTCTCTACTAAAAATACAAAATTAGCCGGGTATGGTGGCACATGCCTCTAACCCCAGCTACTCGGGAGGCTGAGGCAGGAGAATCACTTGAACCTGGGAGGTGGAGGGCGCAGTGAGCCAAGATCACGCCATTGCACTCCAGCCTGGGCAACAAGAGCGAAGCTCTATCTCAAAAAAAAAATTGTATTTTTAGTAGAGACGGGGTTTCACCATGTTGGCCAGGATGGCCTTGATCTCTTGACCTCATGATCTGCCTGCCTCAGTCTCCCAAAGTGTTAGGATTATAGGTGTGAGCCACCACGCCTGGCCTTTTTTTTTTTTTTTTTTTTTTTTTTGGGATGGAGACTTGTTCTGTTGGCCAGGCTGGAATGCAGTGGCACGATCTTGGCTCACTGCAACCTCTGCCTCTTGGGTTCAAGCTATTCTCCCATCTCAGCCTCCTGAGTAGCTGGACTACAGGTGCCTGCCACCACGCCTGGCTAACTTTTGTGTGTGTGTGTGTGTTTTTTTTTGTTTTTTTTTTGAGACAGAGTCTCTCTCTGTCGCCAGGCTGGAGTGCAGTGGCGCAATCCCGGCTCACTGCAACCTCTGACTCCCTGGTTCAAGTGATTCTCCTGCCTCAGCCTCTCGAGTAGCTAGGATTACAGGCATATGCCACCACGTCCAGCTAATTTTTGTATTTTTAGTGGAGCCGGGGTTTCACCATGTTGGCCAGGATAGTCTCAATCTCCTGACCTCGTGATCTGCCCGCCTTGGTCTCCCAAAGTGCTGGGATTACAGGTGTGAGCCACAGCGCCCGGCCTCTTTTTTGTGTTTTTAGTAGAGATGGGGTTTCACCATGTTGGTCAGGCTGGTCTCGACCTCCTGACCTCAGGTGATCCACCCACCTCGGCCTCCCAAAGTGCTGGGATTACAGGTGTGAACCACTGCGCCTGGCCTCAATTTTTATACTTTCAGTAGAGATGAGGTTTCATCATGTTGACCAGGCTGGTCTTGAACTCCTGACCTCAAGTGGTCTGCTCGCCTTGGCCTCCTAATGTGCTGGAATTACAGGCATGAGCCACTGTGCCTGGCCGCCATTCTCTATGGGTCAGGGTGAGAGGCCTGGAAAGGGGCAGAGTAGGGTGGAGGATATTGTGGGCAGGGAAGCTTACAAAGTCTTCTGTTGGAAGAGCCCACCAGACTGTGGAGGGGAAGCCTCTCTTTGGGGCACAGGGACAGGGCCCCTCACTACCTCCCTCCCATCCCTCTGGTCTGGCCCTTACTACAGCCTCCATCGATGCTTCTCCTGCCCTCTGTGCCCCTTCCACGGGCTGGGACATGCCTTGGATTCTGATGCTGCTGCTCACAATGGGCCAGGGAGTTGTCATCCTGGCCCTCAGCATCGTGCTCTGGAGGCAGAGGGTCCGTGGGGCTCCAGGCAGAGGTGAGTCCCTCCCTCCCCGGGGAAAGAAGAGGGCACATGGGTGGGAGGCAAAGGGCTAGGCTCACACCCCGCCTCTGTACCCCACCTCCTCTAGGGGAGGGGGCGAGGAACACGGCTCTAAGTTGTCTGCTGACTTCTCTTCTGTATCCCTGATGGCTCCTTCTCCCCAGATGCCTCGATTCCTCAGTTCAAACCCGAAATCCAGGTCTATGAGAACATCCATTTGGCCCGTCTTGGGTGAGGAACAGCTAGGGAACAGAGGCTTAAATCCTGGAGGGGACTGGGGATGGAGAGGAAACACGGGTTGGGTTGGGGATGGGCCCTCGTTCCTGAGGATGTGAAAAGTAGAGGTATCCTTAATCTGTCTCTCTGGAAAACCCCACAGCCCACCTGCCCACAAGCCCAGGTGATTTTGGTGACATCTGCTGGGAAGTGTGACCTGCTGTCTCGCTGGCCATCTGGCACCTGGAAGATTCCTCGACAACCTTAGCAAGGGGGGCGGGACTGAGAGTTCGACTTCACCATCCAGCTGGCCTCCAGCAGCCACCAAGCTGTGTATGGGGAGGGGTGGGGGACTGAAGGAAAGGAGGAGCATTATTCTGTGATGTAACCTACAAAAAGGTTTGGTCTCCTGTCTTGTAGCAGCAGTGGAGGGATGGCCCTGAGCCCATAGTACTGTGGGGTTGAGGGGAGCCTGAGGTTGCTGGTGGGGGCAAGGAGGATGGGTGTGCACAGGGAGGAGACAGGAATCTGGAGACTTGAGCAATGGTGAGGAATCCATTGCAGTGGAGCTGAAGGACAAATGGGGAAAACGGGGGAAGAGAGAGAAGGGAAGAGACTCAAGTCAGAGAAAGTGGAAAGAGATGGACAGAGGGAGAAAAATAGAAGCACAAAGTGGGAGGATGGAGGGACAGAGAAAATGGAAAGCCTCAACCCATCTCTAAATTAAGCCAGACCCCCACTACCCCATGTCTCATCCTCACAAAGAAGAGAGGGAACAGGCATATTTAATCAACCCCAGACTTCCTCACATGCAAGGGGAGGGAACTGAGTCAGGATAGAGATGCCTGTGCTCAGCTCCCACCCGGGGCCCCCTCCTTATCCTTCCTTATCCTAGGCACACACTCTTCCCTGTGGCGCCTTACCGGGGCATTCAGAGCATGTGAGCAGCTATCGCCACTCTGGCACTTCCTTCCTGCTGCCCTGAGGTCACACCCTATTTCTCGGGGGCAGAGGGAGTGTCTACTCAGGCTGGCAGGCCCAGTGGGGGTATGTTATTTATTGGGCCGGGGCCATGCTGGGATGTCTGTGAACCATGGGCGAGTCTGGGCTGGTGAAGCGAGGGAGGATATTGATGCTCCCAACTTGGCCATTCCCTAGTCTCAGGCAGAAATGAGCTGAGCTCCAGCCACACCCTCACAAGCAGCTCCACTGGGTGCCCTTTTGTGTCTCTGCTCAAGCTTGGGCCTTACTGGAAAAAAGCTTTCTCAGAAGTCTCACCTAAAGGCTTCAGGCTGCAGGGGCTTAAACTAAGCCATTGGCAAGAAAAAGGACGAAAATGACACAGATGGAGAATGAGGGGAGTGCCGTGGTCCAGGTTCCAGCTCCAGCCCAACCCACCAAGCAGCTACAGTTTGCTCTTAGAGCACACACACACAGACACACACACACACACACACACACACACACACACACACTGCAGTATCTGCAGTATTACTGGACTCCTAGATAGACCTTTTATTAAAGGTACTCTTCATAGTCCCCCAAGCCCTCCATCCTGAGTTCCCGACCTACCACATTAGTCTTTCCTAGCAAGACTCTCCTCCTTACCATACCTGATGCTCCTTTGATCCCCTTGCCTGAGATCCACAGTGTCATCAAAATGCCTGCCTTGCCAGTGACCTGGGCTGACACGGGGCATCAGCAATGGGCATCTAGAAAAGACAAAAGACGCAGAATAGGTGTTCTTTATGAGGTTGGACTCTGGGCAGGTGCCTCCCCAGGCCTTGTGAGGGGTCTGTGAGGGGTCTGCTGAGAGATCTGGGGTCTCTGTACAAAATTAGGTTCTCGGGCATGTCTCAAAGTGTCTGTGCAGGTGTTTCCAGGGCCGCAGTGATGGCGGGGGGTATCCTGGGTTGGGGGCTGCAGATCCACGGAAGCTAGTGGAGGAGGTGTCCTCTCCCAGCGAAGCTGGCCACAAAGAGGGGCAGGGAGGCGAGGAGGCTGGTGAGCTGCTGTGGGGAAGCGGCTATGTTGCACAGGTCCTGCTCGCAGCAGTGGTGCCACAGAGTGTAGGAGTGCAGCCAGTAGGTGGCATAGCCTGGCAGAGGGCACTGGGCCCTTGAGAGGCAGCTTTTTCACTCAGTGATCTCACTCTGGTCTGTGGGATGAAAGAGGCATGCTGAGGCGGGGGCCACAGGAAAGGCCGGATGGATGGAGGTAGGGAGCCTCCTGGAGAAGGGCCATTGGACCAGAGTCCTACCTGAAGTGCCAATACTGATGCCACAAGCTTCATCGTCCCGACACTCGGTGGGAACAGGGTGGCAGGGTTTGGTGAAGCCACAGATGTAGCAGCGGAGCCTTCCCCGGGCAGGGGACATGGTGAGACCTGTTGAGGCAGCAGAGATTAGGAGAGCAGGAGAGGCAAACCCTCCCTGTGGGGCAGGCAGAGGCCAGATCCGGAGAGGGATCACAGAGAGAGGTGACACATGAAGCAGAGAGAGGAAAGCTGTGGAATAAGGGAGGAAAGCTGACAGAAGTAGAAAAAATAGCTGGGCGCAGTGGCTCACGCCTGTAATCCCAGCACGTTGGGAGGCCGAGGCGGGCTGATCATGAGGTCAGAAGATTGAGACCATCCTGGCTAACACAGTGAAACCCCGTCTCTACTAAAAATACAAAAAATTAGCCGGGCATGGTGGCACATGCCTCTAGTCCCAGCTACTTGGGAGGCTGAGGCAGGAGAATCTCTTGAATCTGGGTGGCTGAGGTTGCAGTGAGCCGAGATCATGCCACTGCACTCCAGCCTGGGTGACAGAACGAGACTCTGTCTCAAAAAAAAAGAGGGAGACGATGCAGGAAAAGAAACAGAGATGGAGGCAAGAGGGGTACAGGGATTGAGAGATGCGCAGACATGAACAGAAGCCACAAGAATCAGAGACCAACATAAAAAGAGTGAGACAAAAAGCCAGACCCAGCAGCAGGGAAGTTGAGGGGGTCAGTGAAAAAGTTAAGTAAATGGCACCAGAGACAGATAGGAAAATAGAAATTGACATTGACCAAAGGGCCCAGCACAGAAGCAACACGTGAAATAAGGGATAGGGGAGACAGGGGCGGATCAAAGATGCAGCAAGGGGGAGACAGTTATTCTCAAATGCCTTGAAAGGAAACTCTTCCTTTCCCACCTCATCAGGCTGGCCTTCCCAGTGGCTGGTCTCCCTGAAGTCCCCCACTCCCCCAGCTCTCTTCTTGGCCTCTTCCAGCACCCACACCCCTCTCCTCCCCAGCCCTCAGGTTCCTCCACATGCCCTTGTCCCCACCCCCAGCCCCCTGACCACTGAAGGTTCCCCAGCCCACCCTTACCCAGTGCCCCACAGAGGAACAGCACGCAGAGGAAGATGCTGGAGGTGCCCATGGCCAGACACAGGCTCAGGAATCTGGGAGAGGTGATCTGCACCCCGAGATCCCGGGATTTGTAGAGTTGGAGCATTTGAGCAAGACAGTGAGGAACCAGTAAACAAACACACCTAGGGAGTGAATCTGGGGGGCGGAACCATGACCAGATTCACCAGCCTGACCCAGCAGGCAGCGGGGGCCCCCAGCCTGCCCCTGCAAGGAGTCTGCCCTTGCCTGGAGGGTCTCCTCTGCTCTCTCAGCATGTTGTCTCTGTAACTTAGCTTCCTCTCCTGCTCCTGAGTTGTGTCTGTCGCCTTCCCTCCTACTCCTCCCCCTCCCTCCCCATGTCTCAAGCTGCTCCCTGGCTCTCTCAGCTTCTCTCTGTCTTTGTTTTCTCTGTCTTTCCCCCTCAGTGCTTTCATGTCTCTCAAAGTCACCCTCCTAAACAGCCCCGGCGTGGATCTGTTTGAGTGTAGAATCAACAATACCCCCACCCACACACCCACATGCACACACAAAGCCCAGCTGTGTAAGGGCGGACCCCACCCAGCTTCAGATCCCTTTGATCCCCCCAAGCTTCAACATTCCTACCCTGTAATTATCCCTGCCAGCTTTACTACCTTGGAGGAAAGAAATAACCACGGGTGGGGCTGGAGGGCCTGCTGATGTGCTTGCACTGGGGAGAAATCACTAGAAAGGAAGGCATGGATGGGATTTGGGGTAGGGGGGTGGTGATACAGCCTGGAAGGCTGGGGTTGAAGAGACTGGGAAGGAGGAAGGCCCATCTGGGGAATCAGAGCCAGCATGTACCAGGAGGAGTAAGACTAGGAACAGGGAGTGAAGATAGGGGAGACACAGGTGCCCAGGAGAGCAGCTCTTTTCAAAAATATTGATCTCAGGACCTCTTTACACTTTTCAAAGTTACTTAAGACTCTGAAGAGCTTTTCTTTATGAGGTTATATCAATATTTACTACATTAAAAATTAAAACAGAAAATTTAAAGTAGGTATTTATTGATTTATTTAAACAATAAAAATAATAAAGTATTACATGCTAACAAAATACAGTTTTGTGAAAAATAACTATTATTTCTCCACAGCACAGTGAGAAGCTGAGCATTGCTTTACATTTTTGTGAATCTAGTGTCAGGCTTCGTGGGAGATGCCTGGGTTTTCCTATCTGCTTCTGCATTCAGTCTGTTGGGATATGTTGTTTTCGTTGAAGTCCAGTATATGAAGAAAATCTGACCTTACACAGATAGTTGCAAAAGGAGGACCCTCAAGGACCCTGTGAAAGGGTATCAGGGATCCTCAGGGGTTCTTGTTGGTCCACAGACTGCTGCTGAGGATAAAGGAGTTTGAGGACTCCAGAGGATGCTGAGAGCATGCTGTGGGGCCCCTCCCTGTCCCCACTGGGGCCCTTGGTGCCTGCTGGGGGAGACTCTTTCTTCCTTTTTTATAGCCCTATAAAGCTCAAGGCACGGGGGATATAAGGCAGGCAGAGCCGGGCTGGGGAGGGGGGTGGGCAGGAGGTAGAGGCGGTCCTGACACGGGCAGACTGCGATGAAACCCCAGTTTGTTGGGATCTTGCTCAGCTCCCTGCTAGGGGCTGCCTTGGGTAAGGAGGCGGCCAGCTAGCTTCTCACACAGGCCTTCTGCCAGCCGGCTCCACCGAGGGCCCAGGTCCAGCGCCTCTTTTCTCCTGCCAGGAAACCGAATGCGGTGCTACAACTGTGGTGGAAGCCCCAGCAGTTCTTGCAAAGAGGCCGTGACCACCTGTGGCGAGGGCAGACCCCAGCCAGGCCTGGAACAGATCAAGCTACCTGGAAACCGTGAGTCCTCAGTTTCTCCCTCTTCCAGCAGCCTTTCCCTGCCTCCAGCCCCATGTCAATCCTTCTGGCTTCCAGAACCCTCCAGGCTCAGTCTGGCTCTGGGCAGATGGTGCAGCTGTTAGAGGAGAGCAGTCTGTACCCCTTCTGGCTCCTGGCACGGAGCCCCTGAGAGGCCCACAGTCCTTGTGCCCCCACTTCCCCACCTCCTTATTCTCCTAAAAGAATCTCATAGGCCCATTAGCTCACAAATGAAGAGCTCTGGCCCTGAAAGGCCAAAGTTAAAACCAAACTTCAAATTTTCGGCATTAGTTAAGGACCAGGGAGGGGTGTGTGTGTGTGTGTGTGTGTGTGTGTGTGTGTGTGTGTACATGTTTTTAATATTTTATTTTAACATAATTTTGGATTGACAGAAAAGTTGCAGAAATACTCAACTTCTCCTAATGCTAACATCTTACATAACCATAGCACAATTATCAAAATCACAAAATAACTGATACAATACTACTAACTAATCTACAGACTTTATTTGATTTAGCAAGATCCTACATTGCATTTAGCTCTCATGTCTTCTTAGTCTCCTCTGATCTGTGCCAGTTCTGTTTTTCTTTGTCTTTCATGACCCTGACACATTTGAAGAGCCCTGATAAATTATTTTATACCTGGAGTTTAAAAAATTACTTTTAGGGCCAGTGCAGTCACTCGCACCTGTAATCCCAGCACTTTAGGAGGCCAAGGTGGGAGGACCACTTGAGCCCAAGAGTTGAGACCAGCCTGGGCAACATAGGGAGACCCTGTCTCTACAAAAAACAAACAAACAAACAAACAAACAGATTAAAAAATTAGTTGGGTGTGGTGGCACATGCTTGTAGTCCTAGCTACTCAGGGGGCTGAAGAGGGAGGATCGCTTGAGCCTGGGAGATTGAAGCTACAATGAGCCATGATCACGCCACTACACTCCAGCCTGGGGAACAAAATGAGACCCTGTCTCAAAAATAATAATAATAATAATTTTTAGGCTAGGCTTGGTGGCACACACTTGTAATCCCAGCACTTTGGGAGGCCAAGGCTGAAGAGTCACCTGAGGTCAGGAGTTTGACACCAGCCTGGGCAGCAAAGTGAGACCCCCATCTCTACAAAAAATGTTTTTAAAAAATTAGCCAGGCATAGTGGCACACACCTGTAATCTCAGTTTCCTGAGAGGCTGAGGCAGGAGGATTACTTGAGCCCAGGAGTTTGAGGCTATAGGGAGGTATGATTGCACCACCACACTCCAGCCTGAGTGAGAGAGCAAGATCTTTTCTCTAAAATTAAATAAAATCATTTTTAGATTAAACAAAAATTACGTGCCGGATGCAGTGGCTCACGCCTGTAATCCCAGCACTTTGGGAGGCCAAGGCGGGTGGATAACCTGAGGTCGGGAGTTCAAGACCAGCCTGATCAATGTGGAGAAATCTCGTCTCTACTAAAAATACAAAATTAGCCGGGTGTAGTGGTGCCCGCCTGTAATACCAGCTACTCGGGAACCTGAGGCAGGAGAATTGCTTGAACCCAAGAGGTGGAGGTCGCGGTGAGCCGAGATCACACCATTGCACTCCAGCTGGGCAATAAGAGTGAAACTCCGTCTCAAAAAAAAAAAAAAAATTACAGATACTTGAAATACTAAAAATTATTTTATAGAATGTCCCTCGATATTTATTTATCTGATATTTGCCATGATGAGATTGAGGTCATGCATTTTAAGCAAGAATACTGCAGAAGTGATGTTGCATCCTTCTTGCTGCATCACATCAGGAGTTTACAAGGTCAATGCATTAACTTTGATCACTTGGTTTCAGGGAGGTGTTTTTTGAGGGGGCTGAAAATCCCTTTGGGCTCCTTGAAATCACATCTGCTCTGCCCCAGAAGGCAAGTCCTGAAGCCAGGAGTCCAACACCCCAGTTTCATTCTCTCTCTCAGCCCCAGTGACCTTGATTCACCAACATCCAGCCTGCGTCGCAGCCCATCATTGCAATCAAGTGGAGACAGAGTCGGTGGGAGACGTGACTTATCCAGCCCACAGGGACTGCTACCTGGGAGACCTGTGCAACAGCGCCGTGGCAAGCCATGTGGCCCCTGCAGGCATTTTGGCTGCAGCAGCTACCGCCCTGACCTGTCTCTTGCCAGGACTGTGGAGCGGATAGGGGGAGTAGGAGTAGAGAAGGGAACAAGGGAGCAAGGGAACAAGGGACATCTGAACATCTAATGTGAGAAGAGAAACATCCTTCTGTGAGTCATTAAAATCTATGAACCACTCTACAGCTGACTGGAAAATTACATCTATCTTTGGTTGATGGGAGGGCTAAAAGCGTAATATGGGGCATCCAGGTTCTAGTTTGGGGGTTACCAAGCAACAGCGGGCTTAATTACAGTGGTGCACTCCTTAACCAACTAAACCCCAAAGGGCAATGGCTTATCTGCCTTCTGTGGCTCCTGGATCCTGTTGCTGGGTTGAATCTTCCTTAGCAATGAGATTCATTGAGTGGGGTTGCCAGGGTTTTGTGAGCCTGAGTCTGGGTTTGCTCCCCTATTTCCCATTTGCAAGTTGGCTCCCAATAGGACTATTTTGAATTGAGAAAAGAAATGTAAAAACTGTGATAGGTAAAAACTGCTTGATGCCCTACTTACTAACTAGGCTAGGTGAGGCCTTTGACTCTAACCTGAGAGAAACTGAAGAAACAGGGTCTCAGGCCCCATCTCCATGTACCTCTCCTATCCTTTCTGGAGAGCCCTCAAGCCAGGCCGCACCTTCTTCTTGGCAATACATCAGGGGTGTGGCCTAAATTTAGGATATGAGTTGTTGTGTGCCACCTGGAGACACTGGAAGGGAGGATGAAGACCTGAAAAACCTGTTTCTCCATTTTCCCCAGCCCAGCCTCCCAGGGAACCTCCCTGAAGGATTCCTGTGTAAGGGAGGGAGATTGAGAGTATTATTTCCTGGGAGGTGACCTGACCCTTAGGTCTTCTTATAATAAATGTACATTTTATCAGACTCAGACATTTATTACTCAAAATGGAAAGAGGTGAGTATGGGGGATGGGGTACATATGGGAGCCTGGGTTTGGGGAGTCAGCTCTGTACAGTGAGGTCATCAGGTCCTTGTGGGAGCCTTCACTGGGGACAACACAGAAGCCCCATTTCAGGCCCAGATCCCAATCCCTCCTCAAGTAGGGGACAGCAGAGTATAGGAAGCAAAGTGGGGAGCCCTTCTAGGAGCCAATGGAGGTCCTGGAAGGAAGTGGGAAGGGACCCAGAAAAAGGAGAGTGAAGGGTGTGAGGTGGGAAGGATGGATGAGGAGACCACTCGGAACAGTGTTTAATTAAAGAAATGGGAGCTAGGGAGAGACGATTCTGTAAAGCCAGGGGATACAGAGACACAGGGAGAGAGGCTCAGGCCAAGGCAGGTGGGAGGAGGGGCAGCCAATGGAATGAGTCTCAGTGCAGCAGCCAGAGGCCAAGGCCAGCCAAGGAGGTAAGGAAGACAAGGCCCAGGGCTGGAGTGGGCCGGGGTCCTGCGCTGTTGCAGTTGTCCTTGTTGCAGCAGGTGGTGTTATATGTCAGACCCAGCTTGCGGTTGGTTTGGTTGAAGGCCTCCTGACAGGGCTCTTCTGGTGTGCCACAGCGCAGATTGGAGAAAACCCACATCTTACCTAGGGGTGGGAATGGGCAGGGAATCGGCCAGGATGGGCACCTGGCATGCCTGTGTCCACCTCCCCACCCCATCCACCCACCTAGGCTTCCTTCCTTCCCAACTCTGTCCCTGGCCCTCCCCTTCTCTTTTCTTAGTCTGATCTTCCTTCTGCACATCCTTACCCACCACTCCCCCAGTCCTGGTTCTATCACTTGCTGGCCATGGACCTGTTACTGTCTCTGTTTTTTGTTTTTTTGTTTTTTCCAAGACAGAGTCTCACTCTCGCCCAGGCTGGAGTGCAGTGGTGCCATCTCAGCTCACTGCAACCTCCGCCTCCCAGGTTCAAGCGATTCTCCTGCCTCAGCCTCCCGAGTAGCTGGGATTACAGGCGCCCACTACCATGCCTGGCTAATTTTTGTATATTTAGTAGAAATGGGGTTTCACCATGTTGGCCAGGCTGGTCTTGAACTCCTGACCTCAAGTGATCCAACCACCTTGGCCTCCCAAAGTGCTGGGATTACAGGCATGAGCCACCATGCCCGGCTGTGTTACTGTCTCTTTTTGAGGCCGTTTTCTCAGTATAATAATAGCACCCACATCACAGGGTTGTCATGAACATTAATTGAAAAAAAGGCATGCAAAGACATAGGATGTTGCCTGGCACACAACCATCTTTGGCCAAATATTATCATTGCTATAATCCTCTGCTTCTCCATCTCAGTCTTAGACCCATTTGGGCCTCAGTCCTGGTCATAGAGGCTCCCACCTCCCTGTTCACCCCACTAAGGAAGGGGATGTTACCAAGGTATGCATGTGTTGTCAGGCATTGCTGTCCTGGCTCCAGGCGGCAGGACTGCCGGTCCACACAGCCCAGCACAGGGACCTTGTAGCAGGAGTGACAGCGAATGTCAGCTGGGAAGACACAAGTCAGGCTGAGGTGATGGGGTCTCTGACTTACCTGGGGATAAGCTGAGCTGGGGGCAGGGGTGGAGGGTGGAGAAGAGCCCATCCCGTAGGTGCTCCAACCTGTTTGGCTGTTTGGTCTAGCAAGCACAGAGCAGGTGAGTGATGCAGGGAAAATGGAAAGTGGGCGGCAGGTAAGGGTAGAGCTGTTGCTTTGTGAAAGGCCCACGCCCTACATATCTTCCATCACTCCACCCCGTTTGGAGGTGAGTCAAGAGGGACAGAACTATGAAGAAAAACATGGGGCTGGAGATAGATGGAATGTGAGGAAGATACCATGGGGAAAGAATGTGGATGGTGAAGGAGGAGATGGAAACTTGAAAGAAGGAGAAATAATAAAAATGAAAATCATGAGGGTTACAACACTGTCAGAAATGCCTTGGAACTTGAGGCTGGCGAGAAAGCCATCTGTGGCCAGCTTTAGCAATTTACAATTTACTCTTCACCTCCTGGAGCTGGCAAGAGTGTGGCAAGAGGAACCAGACCTGAATAGAATCCTCTCACCCCAGTAGCTCTTCAGCAGAAAGGAATGATACCTGAGAGACAGATCACCAGATTCCATCTTAGCACCTTATCAAAATGGAGAGGGTGGATACAGAAGGTGGCACCCCAAGTTTCCTGCTTCAGTTAATTCAAGGTTTGGGCAGGCAAGATTTGGTGACGCAGGGTCCGAGGGTGGAAGAGCCTGGTAAGTGTACCTCAGTGAAATCCACTTCACCCTGGAGGTAAGTGGCCCAGTTGTCCCCTCTTCAGAAGGCTCAAGAAAACGCTCTGTTTCCATGGAGGCTCTTAGATGTCACTGCAACCATCTAGAAAGTTTGTATCCCCTGTATGGGAGGAGGTATGCAACCCAGGAGGGGAGTAGGGGGTATCTAGGAAAGGCCATGGCTGAGAGACTGAACATGTGAGTCCCTGATGGAGTAGATGGGGAGGGTAGGTTACAAAAGGAGCCTGGGGCTGGATGCCTAGGTCTTCGAGAGGACACCTTACTGAGCACAGCAGATAGAGGAGAAGGCAGGTAAGCTAGACTCTGGAGAGTTGCATATTGAAGTGGGGCTGGTTGGGGAACTGGATACCAGAGTTTCCAAGGAGGAGACACCTTGGAGTGGGGAACAGGGGACCCAGAGCCCTGGCAGGTGAGAGAAATGGGTCTTTCTTGGAGGTGGGGAGGATGGATGGAGACCTGGCTTTTTGAGAAATAGAGCAAGGAGGCTGTCATAGGGAAGCCTGGTCTTGGTGGCACAGGAGAGCTGAGCCAGTTGGGGCTGGGGGTGTTGGGATCCCGAGTGGTGGGTAGGGCCGGGAAGTGGGTAGAGCAGGGTGTAAAGGTCCTGACCAGGCAAACCAGGTCTTTGGGGCCCCCAGGTGCTCACCTGAGACCCAGCAGAGCAGAACAGACAGGGTGAGCAGCATAAGGGCTTTCATGGCGAGGGTCCTGAGAATGGTGGCAACCACAGCAGCTGATAGAGTAGATTTTCAAGGATCCAGCTCTAGGAGTTGAGTGGCCTTTTTGGAATTTATAAACCCAAAGGCTCCTCCCTTCCCTGCCTCTGGTAGCCCCTCCCTTCTCACTTACTACGCAGCTGACCAGAGAAAAGACAAGGGGTGGGAAGGCACTGAGCAGGACTGAGTGGGGAGTAGGGATGGGAGAGAGGGATGGGGGAAGGCAGGTGCCACTAGTGGCCAATGCCATTGTGGTTCTTGGTTTCAGGCCAAGATGCCCTTCCTGGTCCCCAGCTAAGAGTCCTGCTGCTCAGTCCTCTGAATGAGCATCATCAAAGGCCTCTGTGATTTACAGTGTCCATGGTGGCAGCTTCTGCTGGTTCCTGGAAAATGGACAAAAGGATGTGGCCCAAATTAATTGCTGAATTTGGGTCCCTGGGTCCCTGCTGGGCATTGATAGGGGCATGCTGGTGGAAATTGGGGGAGGAATGGGTCAAATTAATCTCCATTCAGCCCCCACTCGGTCTTTCCAATGCCTGCTCAGCAATAAGTGACTCACTGATGGCTTCTGTGATGCCACAGCAGCAGAGGCAGGGGCTGGGGCTACTCATCCAGGAGAGCCACCACAGGTCTGCTAAGTAGGGCTGCCTCAGGCTCCCATGAAGGTTCTCAGGATGTCACCCGTGCTCCACTTGCGCTTGGTGTGGCCTTGTTGCTCCAGTCCAGCAGCAGCAATTGTCCTAGGTGTGGCTGTGTGCACCTGCTCCAAAGCACCTCCCCAGTCAAAACCTGCCAACTTGGGCAGGGTACCAAGCCAGGAGGAACAGCATGGGCACAGAGAGGTGAGGTAGAAGCTAAAATAAGAATAGAAATAGTAGGCCGGGTGTGGTGGCTCACACCTGTAATCTCAGCACTTTGGGAGGCCGAGGTGGGTGGATCACAAGGTCAAGAGATCGAGACCATCCTGGCCAACATGGTGAAACCCCATCTCTACTGAAAATACAAAAATTAGTCAGGTGTGGTGGCATGCACCTGTAGTTCCAGCTACTCAGGAGGCTGAGACAGGAGACTCACTTGAATCCAGGAGCCGGAGGCTGCAGTGAGTCGAGATTGCACTCCAGCCTGGCCACAGAGCAAGACTCTGACTCAAAAAAAAAAAAAAAAAAAAGAATAGAAATAGTAATAATAATGGCAAGCACTTACATAGTGATCCTATGTATTCTAAGCAGTTTACATGTATTACTTTATTTCGTTATCACAATCCCCTACAAAACAGGAGTTTTTTTTGTTGTTGTTTTTGAGACAGGGTCTGGCTGGCTCTGTCGCCCAGGCTGGAGTGCAATGGCCTGATCACAGTTCACTGCAACCTCGACCTCCTGAGCTCAAGCGATCCTCCCTCCTCAGCCTCCTAAGTAGCTGGGATTACAGGCGCACCTGAAAAGTTAAGCAGGCCAAAGCATTTGTGTAAATGGCCCGAGCACACATTTTAAGTGAGAACCATTTGAAGACTCCGAGTTTGCCTGCGAGGATTCCCAAAGGGATCTGGGCAGCTGGTGGCCCCGCCCCCTCTCTTATCGGAGCCCCCCAGCCCCTCCGTTCTCCCCACGCCTAACTTCCCTCCGGTCCCCCCCCAACCGGCCCCACGCCGCTGATTCGCTCGCAGCTTCTCCTCACCACATCCTAACCATGGCTGTGTTTCTGCAGCTGCTACCGCTGCTGCTCTCGAGGGCCCAAGGGAACCCTGGGGGTAAGCGATCCCTGGGAGAGTTGTGATAGACGCAGAGGGGCTGAAGCAAGATAAGGGCCGCCTAGTAGGGTGGGTTGTGTGTGGGAAGATCCAGGATGGCTGGAGTGCAGAACAGAGAAGAGAAAGAGGAGACGGGATGGAGGGTCGTCTTGCCCTGTGGACGTGCCCTAACCACAGCCTCCGGCCTCTCCTAGCTTCTCTGGACGGCCGCCCTGGGGACCGGGTGAATCTCTCCTGCGGAGGAGTCTCTCATCCCATCCGCTGGGTCTGGGCACCCAGCTTCCCGGCCTGCAAGGGCCTGTCCAAAGGACGCCGACCGATCCTGTGGGCCTCTTCGAGCGGGACCCCCACCGTGCCTCCCCTCCAGCCTTTCGTCGGCCGCCTACGCTCCCTGGACTCTGGTATCCGGCGGCTGGAGCTCCTCTTGAGCGCGGGGGACTCGGGCACTTTTTTCTGCAAGGGCCGCCACGAGGACGAGAGCCGTACAGTGCTTCACGTGCTGGGGGACAGGACCTATTGCAAGGCCCCCGGGCCTACCCATGGTAGGTGCAGGCCTGTGCGCACAAGGGTACTTAACTCCGACACATACCCGGAGGAGGGAAGAGGGCCTTGGCTGGGGGTTCTTGAGCGGGACTGCTGGCTGTCCCTCGTCAAACCCCTGACCTCAGCATCCCTCCCCGCCACGCCTTTCCCCCAGGGTCCGTGTATCCCCAGCTCCTGATCCCGCTGCTGGGCGCTGGGTTGGTGCTCGGACTGGGAGCTTTGGGCCTGGTCTGGTGGCTGCACAGGTGAGCAGGAGGGACCCGGCCTCGTTAAATGGGGAGTGACCAGAGGTGGAAGGGGCAGGACCAGAACCTTCGCAAAAGAAAGAGCTAGACCTAGAGCTCTGGTCCTGGCTTGGCGAAGAATGGGAGAGGTCAAAGGTGGGAGCGAGGCCGCTGACTGGTGAGTAGAGCCCCACCAGAGCAGATGAGCTGGAAGTGCAGCAGAGTTAGAGCCTGGGCTGGACTGTCGGTGGGGTAGAGTCTAAGTTGTTTCCGGTCTGAGCCTTCAAGTTGCTGGGCTGTCCTTGGCGTGGCGAGTCCCAGGAGAACCAGTGAGACAAGACTGGTGGTTCTCAAAGACTCATATGTCCCTTACAGGCGCCTGCCCCCGCAACCGATTCGACCACTCCCTAGATTTGGTGAGACTAATTCCACCCCATTTTCTTTCTCCTACATGCCCACTCCCCACCCCTCAATTCCTGAGTCTGAGCCCTTGCTGGGAGCAGACACGTTGGTCACCTTCTCTCCATCCTTCAGCTCTGTCCCCCCCACATAGCTCCACTTGTGAAAACCGAGCCCCAGAGGCCAGTAAAGGAGGAAGAGCCCAAGATTCCAGGGGACCTGGACCAGGAACCGGTAAGGGCATGGGGATGGGAAGGGGATAGCCAGAATCTCTGAGGAAAATGGACCAAAAAAAAAAAGGCCTGAACCCCAAGGAAGACTGTGGAGACCATCTTGTCTTCCTCCCCTTCCTCCTCCAGAGCCTGCTCTATGCGGATCTGGACCATCTAGCCCTCAGCAGGCCCCGCCGGCTGTCCACAGCGGACCCTGCTGATGCCTCCACCATCTATGCAGTTGTAGTTTGAAGGGAAGCCCTTACTCCAAACCTCCCAAGCTAGGGGATCCCAGCTCCCCATAATCCCTCTCCCCTCCTTGGTTCCTCACCTGGAAGAGGAAGGCACCATGGTATAGAAATAAGTGCTAGACTGGGAGTTGGGAGACCTGGGTTCCAGGCTGTCTCTGCCACTGGTCTTACTTCTAAACTTACTCCCATCTCTCCTATAACCTCCATGTCTCCCTCACCACCAGTGTCCTCTCTATACCCAATCAAGCCCTAGCTCCTTTTTTTTTTTTTTTTGAGACGGAGTCTCGCTCTGTTGCCCAGGCTGGAGTGCAGTGACACCATCTCCCTCACTGCAAGCTCCGCCTGCCGGGTTCACACCATTCTCCTGCCTCAGGCTCCTGAGTAGCTGGGACTACAGGCGCCCGCCACCACGCCCAGCTAATTTTTTGTATTTTTAGTAGAGACGGGGTTTCACTGTGTTAGCCAGGATGGTCTTGATCTGCTAACCTCGTGATCCACCCGCCCCGGCCTCCCAAAGTGCTAGGATTACAGGTGTGAGCCACCGCGCCCGGCCTGATTCTTTAAGCTGTTTTTCTTTGTTGCTGGTGTTTTCTTTTTGGACTCCTCTTCCTTGCTCCATATCCCTACAGTATTTCCCACCATTCTAGGTTTGTCCCTTTCTCTTCTTCTGGGACACTCTCATCAACAGTCAGTCCTCAGCCCCCTCCTCTGCAAATGACACTCAGAACTCTCTCTGGCTCAGATCTCAGATTTGGGATTAACAAACTTCCACTTAGACATTCTGCCTGACTGACCTCAGGCATTTCGCACTCTGAATGTCAAACCCAACTCATTGTCATCTCTGAAGCTGCTCACTTAATTCTCCTCTGTATTCTCTTTAACAACCCAGTTGCCCAACCCAGAAACTGGGAGTCACGCAGACCTCCTTTCTCTCTTACTCCCACACAATGAGCCATGAAGTCCAGTCTTTCTATCTTAACATCACTGTCAAACCCACACTGTATTCCATGCCCAGCGCTGCCACGTGAATGTACTCTGCTCACTTCCTTCCTGGATTACCCATAGCCCCACCTCATCCTCCTACCCTTGCTTTCCTCCCTGAAGTCAGAGAGATCCTACTCAAGAGATAACTGCTCCTGACAGCCCTTATTACAGAACTGAAGTACTCTCCTTAGCTTCAGCTCTGTGCCCACGTGCCTTGGCTTTGGATACAAGGTACTACAGCACTTTGTCCACTCTCCAGGCTTACCTGTGTCATTCCACATGCACATCTTAGAAAATGCCAGCCTTAGAGAATTCTCCCTAGCCCCAAAATGTCTTTGCCCAGTGCAATTCCTTCTTCCTGTATTACCCCTTTCCCTCCTTCACACTATCTGCCTGGCTAATTCTTATTTATCCTTAGTTCAAGTATGGCCTTTTCTGGGAAGGTGACCCTCCTTGGCCACCCCTTGCATATACTTTGATGCCCTAGGGCGCACCCCCTTTATTTCCCTCATAGAAACAGCCTTCTGTAAATTGTTCCATGACAACCTGTATTTCAATTTGTAAGAAATTTGCATGTACTGTGAGCTCCCCAACGTCAGGAGACTGACCCTTTTGATATCATTGCTAAGCCTCATTAAATGAATGAATGAAAATGAATGTCCCTGGAAGTGTCATTTCTTTTTCTTTATCAAATAGGGGTGGACTGGTAATCTACCAGTCTCTGAATCATCTAACATTTAGATAAATTCAGTGAGCAATCCACCCATACACTCTTTTCTCTGCCCTGGACACACTTCCCATGATAGAAATTCTGTCTTGTTCATCTTGTGCTCAAGTACCTATGACATGGTTGGGCAATGAGTTGATAAGTACCTAACAAGATTTTTGAATAAGAGGCCTTCTTCCCTGCACTGACCCCAAACTCAGGTTTCAGCCCTGCCCTATCCCTTTGCCCCAGTAAGACACCAGTCACAGCCCAGTCTAAAAGGTCAATTCTATTTTATTGGTTCTGAGAGGGAGGATTCACCCAGTGGATCCTTTTCCCTACACTCTCCCCTCCCCCAATATTGAGGCTCTCTCCCAACTACTGCCTATTCAGCATTCTCTATCTAACCCTCCTTCCCCTTCTACTTCCTATACTATCCTACCCCTGGCCAGCAGTACCCCAAGGCCAGGCCCTCAGCTGTGGGGGCGTGTGCTGAGCACCAAGCAGAGGGAGCTGAGCCCGGCGCCAGCCTTCTCCAGTTCTGAGCAGGACACAGGTACCAGGGTGACATCAGAGAGCTTCTGCAGTGCCTGCACAGGGAAGACATGGAGTGGGGAGAGGGGAGTGAGACCTCAGGCTGAGCCAGGCCACTCTTCCAGCCAGCTCAGAGTGGCCCCACCCAGGCTTCTAGAGAAGGTACCCTTCCTTCCTCCCACTAGGAAAGCCTGAAACTCTTTTCTCTGATGGTGCTTGGTGTTGGAGTTCCTGCCCTCTCTCACCTCCTGGCTGTTGGGCAGATCCCCACCTCCACGGTGCAGGAGGAAAGGGGGCACACCAGGCAACCCAGGACGAAGAAAGAGACAGTCAGCAGCTGCGTCATCTGGGAGGGTCAGGGAGGCATATGGGTGATCTGTCAGCACTGCCATTGCCTAGAGGAAAGAGGAAGTGTTCGAGTCTCAGAACCTCTCCACAGCTGTGTCTGCCTGCTCAACCACCACTAAGGGCTGGGGACGGACTGACATTTGTGGAAAATAATGACAGCAAGCACATAGAGCTTACGATATGTCAGACACTAAGTACTTTAGTTACCTTTGCTAATTTCCACCTTGGAATCACATGCAGTTATTTTCAACCCCCTACCTTCCCCAGCCCCTCCTATCTGTCCTACCCATCCTTAGAGTCACAGTTTAGGTGCCACCTTTGGGGTTTCCTGAAACTCCGGAAGAGCAAATTAATCACCCCTGTTCCCAGTCCTGCTGTTGTAACTTCTTATTTTCTCCTGTGTTCTTTCATGTAAGATGGACAGCCCATTGAGGGCAGGGGTTAGGGCTAATTTCCTAAGCCTCCCAGCTCCCGGCCTCCCGGGCCCAGAACTGCGCCCACTTTCGTTGGCCCCGCCCCCTCCTCACCCGGACAGCCTTTTGGGCAGCGTCGCTGCTGCCTGCCACAACAGTGCGAGGTCCCCCCATGCCGCAGAGACCGCGCAGGTGGGAGGGACCCGAGACTGGCACAGTGGAGACGGCGAAGTCCTAGGGAGAGCGAAGGGAGGTATTCAGGGGCGCGGGAGGGGTGATGGGGTATCTTCAAACATAGGCTGCTCTCTGCCTCTCATTTCCTCAGCGGGCGCCCAGGCCCTTCCGACCCCCACCTGCACCCCCTCCCTCCCTAGGCTGGTCCCGCTCCGCACCCGGAACGTGTCCGCCACGATCTCAGCTCCTCGGTGATTGGTCCATTTGGAGAGGCCTACGAAAAACTCCCGGCCTGAGTCCGGGAGGCCGCGGAGGTTTGAGGGCGGGAGTGAGTTAGAAACAAGGCTCCAGACGGCCGAGTCTCCCAAACTCTACTTCCCTGTGCCAAGACCTATGCCTCCCCCCAGCCTCACCGGTGAAGAGAACGTCAGTGCCATCCAGCGTCGCGTTCTCGTCTCCTATTTCCACAATTCGGAGCCCCAGGTCTTGCAGGGCTTTGCGGACTCCATCGACCTTAGGATAGGAGAAGAGGGCACGGAGCTGTGACACCCCCATCCTCAATTCTTCCCCAAAGCCCCGACATCCAGTTCCTTCTGCCTTTCCCCATACCACACCCGCGCCACGGCGCTCACCTCTGGCCTACGAGCGGGGCTCCAGGGCCGCGTGATTAGGGCCGTGTCCCCTTGGATCACGGCCGTGTCGCCAAGCAGCGGTCCCAGCGGCAATGACTCCTCAGGTGGCAGTTCTAGCAGCTGTAGCCCCAGTCGTTGCCTCAGTTTACCTCCCAGCACCCCGTGCTCCCTTTGAGCTTTGGCCAGATCCAGAGCGGGAAGGCCAGCCCCCGCACCTTCCCCCGACGCCAGGCTCTCTGGGACTCCCCGGATCAGGGCATGGGAGCAGCGGCCCAGCCCCTCCCCCGGCGTCCCCATCCCATCCACACAGACTCCCCCTCCAACCGCTCGGATTTCTTAGTTTTCTTGTTTCTTCACCTGTCTGGGAGAAGAAACAGAAAAGGAGGAGACAGAGAAAAAGACATGCAGACAAGGGCGTTGGGGGTGGTTAAGAGCGCCCAGGTCTTCCTCCTGCCATCTCTAGGCGTCCCTCCCACTCCGCCCCACCCACTCCAGACCTTCCGCTCCTGTCGACCTCACTCTACCCAGCACCCTCAGGGGTCAGATTCTTTAAGAGGAGCCTGAGGAACAAGGCTAGGGTCTCTAATCTCCAAAACACCTGTTGCCCCTGCTTGGGGGCTTGTGAGGTCCCTGTCGGGCGCCCCTCTTGGCAGCCACTAGGATGCGCTCACTCCCCAAAAATGCAGCAGCCCCGCCCCCTTAACCCTCAGCTGCTCGCTACCGCAGGGACTGGAAGTCCAGCCCGCGACCCGCAGGGGTTATGGGACAGAAGGAGAAAGCTGGAGAGGCAGGGGCTGGGGAATGGAAGTCCTGAATACCCGAACGAGAAGGGAGAGAGGTGGGTAGGAAGGGAGGAGTTCGAGCCTAAGGAGTTAAGCATCCTCTCTCCGCCCTGGCTGGTCACGCTGCCCCTAGCGCGACCTAGTATAAACCAGACCGAGTCCCGAAGGACTGGGAGAGGTCTAAAACGAAATGCGAGGGGCGGGGTAACAGGGGGCGTGGTTCCGGGGCGCTGGCACTACTCCCGGCTCCAGGACCCGGTTCCCCGTCTATGTCCCAAAGTCCACCCCGCCTAGCTCCGCGCCCAAATACCGGCTCCCCATACTCTCTGTCTGGTGCAGGCATGGGCCCGGCACCCCCAAACTCCGGCCCCCACACGGTTCAGGGCCCCCCACGCAAGACTCACCTCCAGCGGCCACCCCCACTCCTGTCGCGCTGTGATCTCGGCTGGGGCCCCACCCCCCGAGGACAGAGTTGGTGGAGAAGGGAGTCCCCGTCTTCAAGCCTCGGGGACTGGGAGCTCTGGCTTTTAGCGCGGGTCCTTGTGTAGGCGAGCTCATATACTACGATGGGGCAGGGGCGCGACGGTCTGGCGGCTCCGGGGCATTGTCTAAGCGGGACGGGGCGGGGCTTCTTCGGGCCACGCCCATTCCGCCCTGCTAAGCCTCGCCCATTACATCCAGACTGCGCCCCCCTTGCCAGAAATCGGCACCGCCCAGCGAGCGCTGCCCAGGCCCACCCAGATCTGGCCGGCCCTGGCGACGGGGCTGCAAACGCTTCGTAGACCTCAGAACAGCGCAACGGCGGACCGGCGGACCGGCACGAAACATAGCAGCCCCACCACAAACATTTCCCTTCTTAATTCCTGGCTTCTGCCCTGAGCTCAAGATCACTGACCCACCCCTCATTCCATGTCGCCCACACTTTAAATCCCCATTGCGTAAAAACACTTGATTTTTATTCTGTATTTTATTACTGAAATATGTTGTCCTACTCATCCCACCCCACAATAAAAATCTGACCCAGGCCCCCCATTTCTTTCCCTCATCCCCTCTTCCACCACACCATCCCGGAACAAGTGCTCCAGGATTCCCTGCCCACTGGCCATTTTGGAGTGTGTCCATTGGGTAGCAATGTGGAAACCACCAGGGCCTTTGTGGAGAAAATGGAGGGGGTTGAGGGAGTCCCAGGAGGGGCTTATTTGAGGGCCTTTGCCACTTGCTCATAGGCGAGCTCGATCTCCTCATCATCTGGACAGGTGGAAGCGAATTCTTCCCGGGCGTAGGCATTGCTCAAGTACCGATGCACTCCCCGGAAGGCCTCGGGGATGGTGAATCCCCGGTACTTCTTACACACCACCTGAGGATGGGGAGAGGAGAGGGACCAACATGTTAGACCCAGGGAAGCCACCTTGGCTTTCCCTTCTCCCCAGGCCGACATGATAAAACCAGCTCAACTCCTCACTGTCTTGTACTGTCGTTAGCCTTCCTTCTCACTTACTGAAATCCTGGCTTTTAATAACCAGCCATTTTTCCTGAGTTTTTAAAACTTGAGATATAATTTACTTATAAAATTCTCCTCTTGAATTTCCACAGTGACTTTTTCCCCCTATACCACTTCAGGCACTGACACAGGTGACTTTTGTCTCTATATTTTTCATCAGACTTTTTTTTTTTTGAGATGGAGTCTTGCTGTCACCCAGGCTGGAGTGCAATGGCGCGATCTTGGCTCACTGCAACCTCCGCCTCCCGGGTTCAAGTGATTCTCCTGCCTCAGCCTCCCAAATAGCTGTGATTACAGGTGCCCACCACCATGTGCGGCTAATTTTTGTAATTTTAGTAGAGATGGGGTTTCACCATGTTGGCCAGGCTGGTCTCGAACTCCTAACCTCAGGTGGTCCACCAGCCTTGGCCGCCCAAAGTGTTGGGATTATAGGCGTGAGCCACCACGCCCGGCCCATCTGACTTTTCATCATATATTCTTAACTTTCATGTGAATATTTTATTGTCTCAGATTTCAACCCTTTGAGAGCAAGGCCCAGTCACCATACACTTGTGTATCTTTCAATGCTTAGTACACAGATGTTCACTACATAGTTGTGTGGCAGACTGATGTCAGGCCCATGTTGCACAAACTAAACCATAGCTTTGAGACTATGACAAAAACATGGGAACCAGCAGTTTTGATCTTCCACAAGAGGAAGTGAAGACTGAAGTTATAAAGAAAGTTAAAGCTTTGACTTTAGGAAAAGCCTGCTCTGTCTAATCTGGGAATTTGGCAGTGATACCGAGACAGGAAGAGCATTCTTCAAAAGTAATACTGGGATGTATTCCTCTTTGCTAGTCTGTTTGCACCCATGACTTACATCATGGAATATAATTATCTCAAGCAGTGGTCTTGTTAGCAATGACTGCTGCAAAGGACTGGGGTGGGGTCTGCCATTGGTAGCAATTTATGAAAACCACCCTAAGAAAGAAATCGTCTTTAGAGTGGTTGTCAGGGGAAGCCCATGTGGGAGCTCCTTAAAGGGCCACTCCAGTGGTCATCCTCTCCTCCCGCAATAACCACACACCTGTACTATGTGTAACTTTGGCAACAGGTTGCAGTCAGCCAGGGTGAGCTCGTTGCCATCCAAAAACTTCCTCTGAGAGACACCTTCATCTTCAGCACTGGTTTCATCCACTTCTTCTGGGAGGGGGGATGTTAAGTAATTGTCTAAAACCTTCAGGGCTTTCAGGAGTCCCTTCTCCAGATCTGTGCAAGAGAGGGAACTGATTAGAACTTCAGGAAAAGATTGACATAGTCCGAAAAGGCCCGTTGGGGGTGGATACTAATGGTGAGTCCAAAATAATAATAGCTAACACTCATGTAGTTACTTTTCTATGTGTTATTCTAAGCACTTTACATTTTATTTTATGTTAGACGGAGTCTTGCTCCGTTGCCCAGGCTGGAGTGCAGTGGCATGATCCCGGCTCACTGCAACCTCTGCCTCCTAGATTCAAATGATTCTCCTGCCTCAGCCTCCTGAGTAGCTGGGATTACAGGTGCCTGCCACCACAACTGGCTAATTTTTGTATTTTTTTCAGTAGAGACCAGTCATGTTGGCCAGGCTGGTCTCCAACTCCTAACCTCAGGTGGTGCGCTAGCCTCGGCCTCCCAAAGTGAACACTTTACATTTTACAAACTCATTTATATCGCCGGGTGCAGTGGCTCACTCCTGTAATCCCAGCACTTTGGGAGGCCGAGGCAGGTGGATCACCTGAGGTCGGGAGTTCAAGACCAGCCTGGCCAACATGGTGAAACCCTGTCTCTACTAAAAATACAAAAATTAGCTGGGCGTGGTGATGCACGTCTGTAATCCCAGCTACTCAGGAGGCTGAGGCAGGAGAATTGCTTGAACCCGGCAGGCAGAGGTTGCAGTGAGCTGATTGCACCACTGCACTCCAGCCTGGGCGACAGAACGAGACTCCATCTCAAAAAAAAAGAAAAAAAAAAATTTATATCAACCCATGAAATAGGTATTGTCATCCTAATTTTGTGGATCTGGAAATGGACTTACAGAGAGGTGAAATGATTGCTCAAAATTATACGGCTAGTTGGATTTGTACTCAGGTAGTCTGGATCTAGAGTGATGACTGTTCTTAAGCATGACCCTATTCTGCCAGAAAACAGGCCAGCAGCCAACTAACGTCCTCAGTGGGGCAGAAGAGGCTAGGGAACAAATGAGAAAAGCTTAAAAGTCTTGGCCAATGAAAATGCAGGGAAATATAGAGGTAAAGCAAAAATGGGAAGCTGGGGGAAATTTACGAACATCTGCTTCATCTCCCTGATATCTGAACGTCCAGGTGCCCCTAATGTCTCCTACCCGCTGGGTCCTCTCTATTCCTCCCAGGACCCAGGCCTCTGACCCACAAGACTCACTGTCATTGAGTGCTGGGTTTGAATTCTTGATGTAGGCAGAAAATTTGGCAAATATGTCCAGCCCAGCTGTGTTGGACTCAGGGTTCAGAGCTGCCAGCTTGGGGTACCTGAAAGCCAATGGGAAAAATGAGGTAAGATGTCTTCCTGGGAGGAACCTCAGCTAGCTCTCCTGCCCCAGCCCCACCACCATCTCTGTTTTCCATTTCTGCAAACTGTCTGTTTCCCAGAATCTCCCTGCTCCACCTCTCCACTTTCTGAGTGCCCCTATACCTGGGAGGGCACAGCACTGCCTCCAGAAATTCCTCAATCTTGTTGGTGTCTGTGTGCACTTCAGTGCCATACAGCAGGAATGGGAGCTGCCCCCCTGGGCACAGCTTCTGCACTGTCTCGGTCCGCCTGGAGAAAGGATCAGGAATCAGGACTGGAAATGGGGGTCAGGAAGAACCAGAAAGGGGGAATGGAGGACGTGGGATAAGAAAGGGACTCCAGGGGGAGGGCAAAAATGTTCATGACAGAAGGACTCGGGTGGGTGTGTGTTTGCACACATGTGTACACCAGGGGTGTTTCAAGGAACATAAGCAGGCCTACCTTTTGGTGTCAACGGTGGTAACATTGAAGGTGACTCCCTTGAGCCACAGTACCATGAACAGTCTCTGGGAGAATGGGCAGTTCCCAATCTTGGCCCCATCACTGCCAGCCTGAAAAGTAACCCCAACCCAAGGTTATGCCTGATGCACCCCACCCATCCCTAGGCCAGTCCCTGCATTCCCACTCCCAGACCAGCTGTTTTCTGCCTAGTCATGACACATACACTGTCCCCTCACTATGGGCTCTTTGCCCTTGGGCCTGGGTCAAACCTAAGGCAGATCAATGGGAAACTGTTTTGCAAAGGCAGGCTTCTGGTTCCCCAGACACTGAGGACAGGTGGGAGGTAGGTAGAGGGAGGAGGTCCTGGAGAACTTGGGAGGATCTGAATCCTAGAGAGGGAAGGGTGTGGAACTTCAGTGAGGCCAGAGTTGTAGGCTAGAAGCCTGGATTTCTGGGTTCCTGAAGGGAGTAGAGTCTGAAGACAGGAGAGGTGGGTGGGGTTTGGGAGCCAGAGTTTTGGTTCTCTACACCTCCAATCCAAGGTGTCTTTGGGTGGGGAGTCTAGTCAAGGGGCCCTGGGCCTCGCGCTAGAGATGTGGAGGGCCCTACAGAGAGGGGCTGCCCTCTAATTAGCAAGTGGTGACCTCATTGGCCCAAGGGACACCTCCCCCTAAGCTGAGGGTGATTCATCTCTCTGTCTCCGGCTTCCTTCCTGTCAAGGATGTGGGGGAAGGGACAGTGAGGATGAGGCCTGGGCAGCTAAGGCTACCCCTAACCTGCTGCCAGGGTCTCCCAGCACAAGTCCTCTGACTGCAATAACCATCCTCTCACAGGACACAGGGCCGGAATCTCTGCGGCACAGCCTCACCCACGAGTAAAAATAGCCCCGGAGGCGAATGTGAGAGTGAGGTGGGGACCACACCTAAGGGGGCGGACCCAAGCAGGCTCCGACTTCCCTGGGCCCAGGGAGAGGGAATGGCTGCCCGAGAAACCCAAGCAGAAGGGAGAGGGAGACACAGGCAGAGACACACAAAGATGAGAGAAACAAAAGGGGGGAAGGGGAAAGAAAGGCGGCAGGAAAGTGGAGAGTGGGGAGACGTGCGTGCCAACGGAGAGACACAAACGGAGCGGGGAGAAGAGGACACTGTTAAGGAAGGGAGGGAGGGGCACAGCCAGGAGGTCCCAAGACTGGGAAATGAATGCAGCAGCGGTAGGGAGGGGAGCGGCCGCTGCAATCAGAGGGGGGCTGGGTGACACCGAGAAGCCTGCTGCCTGCAGTTTTGCTACCCAAATGCCATAGGACCATCTCTCCTTACCCACACCCGCAGAGAGAGGAGAGAGTTGGGGCAAGTCTTCTACTTCTCCAACCCCCAAATCCCAAAATGCCCTAACCGAGCTCTTCTCCTCCGTCTGATCTCTCTCCCACCCATCCTTGTGGTAGCTACGTTAAACTCACGTCTTCTTGCCACCTCCCCTTCTGTCCCTTTCCCCAGTCCTGGGGATATTCAATGCCACCCGATCACCTCTCCAGCTCTGCTTTTCAAACTCCGATCCCAGTCTCCTGTTTTGTTCCGCCCCTCCAAAGCTTCCCAATTTACTTGCTCTCACTCTCAGGCCTCCCTCAACACACCGTCTTCCCTGAAGCGTCTCCATCCACACACACACACACACACACACACACACACACACACACACACCTCTCCTACTGCACTACTCACCCTCAGATCTTGTAGGGACACATGTCCTAACTGAGGTTCCCCTCTGTCCCTTCTAAACCCTGCTGGGCCCCCACTGTCCCTTCACCAGCTCGCCCTCTAACCCCACCCCAGTCTCACTTTTGGGAATTCTCCTTTTTCTCCACTTCCCTTCCTTTAGTCTGCTAGAAACTTGCACTTTTACAAACTTTTCAGGGTTGATCCTAGAATTCTCATTACTTGCTAACAAGTTAATGTCTTCCCCTCTCAAAACCACCCCTCAACCAAAGAGTGCACGTGGGATTGGGGGTGGGAGTCAAGGAGGGAAGGGATTGGGGAGTTAAGGCTGGACCGGGGGAAAGGTGAGAGTTGGCTTCCAGGAATTTGGGTGGCTGAGGAGAGAAGTGTTCTTACCTTCACGAACAATTCGACCTGCGGTTGTTCTTCAGCCATGGTTGCGTCGGGGACCAGGAAGTGGCCGTCCCTGGGGGAACTGGGAGGGGCTGGGACCGGGGAAGGCGGGTCTCACACTCAGGGACTCTCTCCCCTAGACCCAGGGCTGTCCCTTCAGCACAACACAAGCTCAATCAGACCTACTTGCACCCAAACTAGGCCTCCCCACCAGCCCAACGCACCCCACACCCAGCTCCTCCAGCTCGGTCCTCTCCCGGGCTGGATCAGAGAGCCGCTGACTCACCGACCGGCCCCGCCCTGAACCTGGGGAGGGGACTGGAGGGGGGCGGGACTCGACGATGTAGGGAGTGAGTCCGGAAGGGGAATCCTCGGATCTCCCACAGGATGGGGATGGGGGTGTTAAGGAGGAGTCCTGAAAACCTCCTTGTTTCTCCGACCTCTCCTGAACACAGGACTCTTTTCTGCCTCAGTTTCCCTGCTTCATTAATCTGAGTACAACCCGACTGACCCTCATATAAAAAACTTGACACTAACAGCTTGGGCACACCCGTGAAGATTCAGGGATGGGGACTTCAAATGGAAAGGTGGTCGTTTAATCATTCTGCATTTCTTCCAGACTCCAATCCAAATTCTGGGTTGCTGGGACTGTGGTCTGAGAGAAGAACTCGGAAGTGGAAGGCTGGGACTGCAGATAGGAACCGTTAGCCATGCAGCCTGGGATTAGGGAAGGGGTGACGCCAGCACTCCCTGAGCTGCCCAGACTGGTGTCTCAGTAGGTCCTGTGCCCCCCGCAGTCTACTGTCTCCGGGCCCAGCTCAGCACTAGGACTTGCAGTCCTTGTGGCCTACACTTGGGATTGGGCATAGGAAATAGAGTTAGGGGCCGGGTGAGGTGGCTCACGCCTGTAATCCCAACACTTTAGGAGGCCAAGGGGGGTGGATCACCTGAGGTCAGGGAGTCAAGACCAGACTGGCCAACATGGTGAAACCCTGTCTCTACTAAAAATACAAAAATTTGCCAGGCGGGGTGGTGGGCACCTGTAATCCCAGCTACTTGGGAGGCTGAGGCAGGAGAATCAATTGAACCCGGGAGGTGAAGGTTGCAGTGAGCTGAGATGGTGCCATTGCACTCCAGCCTGGGCAATAAGAGCGAAACTCCATCTCAAAAAAAAAAAAAAAAAAAGAAGAAGAAGAAAAGAAAAAGAAAGTAGAGTTAGGGATGGGAAGGGAGATGACGAAGTCTTTTGCGAAGGAAACATAAAGCCGAGGCAAGGGGCTTTGTTGCAGGGAGGGGTCTGTTCCTGTAGCTTGGTCAGCTTTGTGCTTCCACTTATGTTTCCTATTGGGGCCCCTTCCTGTGCCCTTTGTCCTCGTCTCACTGACAGGTTGCCTTGGAGATGGGGCAGAGGGGTGGGATTATCATGGCCCGATCCTGAAGTATGTGTATAGGGGGTGGGGTAGGGGTGTTGTTAGCTGGTCCTGTCATGGGGATAAAGAAAGATCAGACAGAATAGTGGGAGTAGAGTCCTTGGGGACACCTAAATAAATAAGCAGGGAGGACATAGGAGGAGCAGCTCTCTCTCCAGTAACCTTGATTTCTATTAAACCTTTATGACCTGCTGAAAAAATAAACCCAGAATTCCAGCCTCCATATCCTGAATTTCTCTCCTGTCCAACCATCCCTTCTCTATCCTCCTCATCACCCTCTGTCCAACAAAAGACCTACAGTTCCAGAAAACCATGGTGGAGTGCAAGAACACAGAACTAAAACAGAGCTTGAAACTTAAAGAAAGGGAGAGACTTGGGGGAGGAGTGGGGTGGAGTGACGTGATGTGCTGCTGGAAACCAGCAGTTGGTGGTTTCCTCTTGTGCTTCCTCTTCTGTGGGTTTTCTCCTGCTTGTGGGAGGGCCTTTTTCTCTCCTCCCGACAGAAAGGCTATCTTTGGTGTTCGTTCCCTTGAACTGTAACATCCTGTAAGGGTATGATTCCATGCCTCTGTGTGGGTGTGAATTCCCTCATGGTGACCCTCAAAATCTGCACACAGGACCCCTTCCCATTGAGGGGAGGGGATCAAAACAACTCTACTTCTCAGGGTCCTCTCCTGTTCCAACTGGTCTGTGTCCAAGAGAAGCCTTAGGTAAATGGGGCCAGCTTGAAGATCAAACAGGTTTGGCAGCCTCTCCCGGCCTCTCTTTTCTCTCCTACAGCTTTATAGCTACAGCTGCCTTGATATCAATATTGACTTTGGCTGGCTGGCATGACTACCCACAGGGTATCGTGCCTTAATTTACCAGGTGACAGGCAACGCTGCCCTCTCCTGGAACCATCCAGCAGAGCCAGGGCTGTACCCCCAAATCCTGCAACAGAGGTTTCCCTCCATCTCACCTCCCTGTCCCTGCATTTCTCCTATCTCAGTAGCTCCTCTTTCCCTCTCTGGGCTTCTCTTTCCACTCCCTCCCCTTCCTGGGCTTGGTAAACTAGTCCCTAATCTCTTCACACCCCAGATTGGAAGGTGGGTCCCTCCCTGACACTCCCCAGAGCTGTCACCAACCTCCTCCAAGTTTCTATAGCTCCATTGCTCAACAGATTTGCCAGGGGTAACCATTAACCCAGCCCTTAACTCTGTTCCCCCACCTTTCTTGCTGGAGGGGATTTTCCAATTACTGGTTAGCACAGCTAGGTCATCTCACCCCCACCATCTTTCCTAACTTCTTGGGTTGGGGGGCTGGGGAGGAATCTCCCCATCTCAGGGTACTAGGAACAAAGCTGGGGAGGATGGTGCATTTAAAGGGATTATATATATATATATATATATTTTTTTTCTTTCTCCCTCATAACCCCACCCCCGCAACACACACACACACACACACACACACACACACACACACAGACGCACAAATAAGCTTTATGGAGCAGTGACTTCATTATGTTCACCGCTTTGAGTCCAACCCCTGGCCCAAAATAGGCACTAAATAGTTGCCGAATGCATGAATGATAGATACCTCTCTGTCTTCAGGGGTGTGTAGAAGTGCGAAGGGGTATGGGCATGTCCCAGTAGGGGTGTGAGTGTTCTGATCAGAACTACTTCTCTCTGCCAGAATTTGATGTAATTCGAATGCTTCCACCTCTGCTTGAAGGGTTTAAATAATAAATTAGGCCCTGTCGTGCCATTATGGGGGTGGTCATACCCTGTACCCAGGAAACAGGCACGGTAGGGCTGAGACAGAAGTCCTGCTTGTTTCCGCTTATTTATTTGAAACACCGCTCATTTAGGTCTTACTTTGTTTGCCAGGCACTGTTCTAAGCTCTGTATAAATATTAACTCAGAGGGTACAAATATTAACTTAAGAGTTGTTGCAGGAAAAAAAATAAGCGCCTCTGGCTCTTTAAGTTTGGCCTCCCCCTCAAAACCCCCGCAACGGTCCCAAACCCCTTCCAGGGACTGGGACTACGGACCCTGGTCCGACCTTCTCGCGGGCTTCCCACTGCGCCAATCAAATCCCAGAAACAGTGAGTGCTAGAGGCCCGGCTGCTAAGCAACGGCAGAGGGCGGGAAGTTTGAACGTTCTGGACCCGCCCCGAAGGCAAATAGGCCAATCAGCGTCCAGACTCTTCAGCTACGGCAGTCCGCTTCTCCTCCTCGCCCTGTCGGATCTCTAGGCTGGATCCGGGCCTCTCCAATCAACAGCGGTTAGGAGGGCGGGGCGCGTGCGCGCGCACCTCGCTCACGCGCCGGCGCGCTCCTTTTGCAGGCTCGTGGCGGTCGGTCAGCGGGGCGTTCTCCCACCTGTAGCGACTCAGGTTACTGAAAAGGCGGGAAAACGCTGCGATGGCGGCAGCTGGGGGAGGAGGAAGATAAGCGCGTGAGGCTGGGGTCCTGGCGCGTGGTTGGCAGAGGCAGAGACATAAGACGTGCACGACTCGCCCCACAGGGCCCTCAGACCCCTTCCTTCCAAAGGGTAACCTCCGCGTGACAGGAATGAGGGTGGGGCGCGTGGAGTTTCCCACAATCTGTACTTTAGTTAAATACCCGAGAATTCACCTCCTGTGTCCACAGCTCTCCACGCCCCTCAGCCCTGCCCCGCAGCCCTGTAGCAGAAGTACTTAGTGCTTTGCATTCTGCGCGCCACCCTACCCCGGCCTCCTCTGTGAATCGTTGCTTCCGAACCGCCCTCACTTTTTGCATCCGCAGAGCCTCCAAGCTCATGGCCTCCTTAGGAGCGAACCCAAGGAGGACACCGCAGGGACCGAGACCTGGGGCGGCCTCCTCCGGCTTCCCCAGCCCGGCCCCAGTGCCGGGCCCCAGGGAGGCCGAGGAGGAGGAAGTCGAGGAGGAGGAGGAGCTGGCCGAGGTCTCTGAGGGGAGTAGAAACTTGAATGGAGAGTTGATGGGAAGTTAGAATAAAAGAGGGTTGGGAGCCGGGCGCGGTGGCTCACACCTGTAATCTTAGCACTTTGGGAGACTGAGGCGGGCGGATCACCTGAGCTCAGGAGTTGGAGACCAGCCTGGGCAACATGGCGAAACCCCGTCTCTACTAAAAATATAAAAATTAGCCGAGCGTGGTGGCACGTGCCTGTTATCCCAGCTACTGGGAAGGCTGAGGCAGGAGAATCACTGTAACTCGGGAGGCGGAGGTTGCAATGAGCTGAGATTGCTCCACTGCACTTCAGCCTGGGCGACAGAGCAAGACTCCGTCTCAAAGAAAGAAAGAAAAAAAAAACAGGGTTGGGAAGAGCTGGGCAAGTCTCTTACCTCCTGAGTGGCTGTTTCACATTCACTAAATGGGGGTGATGATGCCTATCTCAGAGATTTGAGAAAATGATTAAATTATATAAGACATGGTAAACCCTACACTTATGAGTGATTCTAATAGTGATTTCCTTTCTTCCTTGCTGGACAGATCCATCTGTGTGTGCTGTGGAATTCAGGATACTTGGGCATTGCCTACTATGATACTAGTGACTCCACTATCCACTTCATGCCAGATGCCCCAGACCACGAGAGCCTCAAGCTTCTCCAGAGAGGTGGGGATGGAACCATGAATTCCTCTGCTCTCTGGGATTGCAGATGTGTTACACACACACACACACACACACACACACACACACACACACACACACATATTTTTTTTTTCTAGACAGAGTCTTGCTCTGTTACCCAGGCTCAAGTGCAGTGGCGCAATCTTGGCTCACTGCAGCCTCCACCTCCTGGGTTCAAGCAATTCTCCTGACTCAACCTCCCGAGTAGCTGGGACTACAGGCGTGTGCCACCACACCCAGCTAGTTTTTTGTGTGTGTTTTTAGCACAGACGGTGTTTCACCATGTTGGCCAGGGTGGTCTCAAACTCCTGACCTTGTGATCCGCCCACCTTGGCCTCCTAAAGTGCTGGGACTACAGGTGTGAGTCACCACGCCCAGCCATGTTTTACTTACATTAACTCACCTCACTGTCTAGCATATTTTGTGTTGCTGTAAGGAAATACCTGACTCTGAGTAATTTGTTAAAAAAAAAAAAAAAGTTTTATTTGGCTTATGGTTCTGGATGGTTGGAAAGCTCAAAATTGGGCATCTTCACTGGTGAGAGCCTCAGACTGCTTCAACTCATGGAAGAAGGGAAGGCAGGGTGTGTAGAGGTCACATGGCAGAGAAGAAGCAAGGGGGAGGGAGATGCCAGGCTCTTTTTGACAACCAGCTCTCTCAGGAACTAATAGAGTGAGAACCTCTCACTCATACCCACCAACACACTCCAGGAAGGGCATTAATCTGTTCATGAGCGATCCACTCCCATCACCCACACACCTCCTGCTAGGCCCTACCTCACAACACTATCACACTGGGGATTAAATTTCAACACGATATTTGGCAGGGACAAATCACATCCAAACTATAGCACTGACTCAATATATTTTACAGTTGCTTCACAGAGGCTCCCTCTTTTGTTTTTATGAATTCATTTCATTATTTAACAAATATTTGTGAGGCTGTTTTTTGGTTTGTTTGGTTGTTCTTTTTTGAGACAGTGTCTTGCTCCGTCACTCAGGCTGGAAGTGTAGTGGTGCCATCTTGGCTCACTGCAACCTCCGTCTCCCGGATTCAAGCAATTCTCCTGCCTCAGTCTCCCGAGTAGCTGGGATTACAAGAATCTGCCATCACGCCTGGCTAATTTTTATATTTTTAGTAGAGGCAGGGTTTCACCACGTTGGCTAGGCTTGTCTTGAGCTCCTGGCCTCCAGTGATCTGCCTGCCTTGGCCTCCCAAAGGGCAGGGATTATAGGCATGAGCCACTGTGCCTGGCCACAAATATATATGACGTATTTACAATGTTTCAGGTGCTTCAGATTCAGCCCTGGGCAAATCAGTCATGTCTGTTCTCCAGGGGTTTACAGCCTAGTGACAACATCCAGAACATCCCACTTCCCTCTCACCATCCCACCACTCTTAACTACTTTTCTAAATCTCAACTTCTACCTGTGTTCCCACTGTGCAGAGCACTCCCTACTCCTAGGGAGGAAATGTTTTTGAGAAGGAGAGGGGTAGGAAGAGGAGGGCTATGGGTTTTCTCTTAGTCAAAGACAAAGATCCTTTAACTCATTTGATCTCTGTTCTCCTTCCAAGTTCTGGATGAGATCAATCCCCAGTCTGTTGTTACGAGTGCCAAACAGGATGAGAATATGACTCGATTTCTGGGAAAGCTTGGTAAGGACTTGGTAAAGGATAGAGGGAAAATGGGGAAGGACTAATATATGGAATATTCCAGGGGGCTAGAATTGGGTGAGAGGGAGTGTCAGACAGAGGTAGAAGGACTGAGATGTAAAGAATGATAGCCTTTTCTTTCCTCCCCCACAGCCTCCCAGGAGCACAGAGAGCCTAAAAGACCTGAAATCATATTTTTGCCAAGTGTGGATTTTGGTATCTCCTTCCTTTTGCTTTGCCTAACTCCCTGTTCCGGTGTCCCATTCTTTCCCCCAACTCTACCTTCATCATCACAGATCTCCCCTCTGCCTTATGTCATCCTAAACCTTTGTGCTCCTCATGCCCTATGACCTGTCCCCCCAAGATCTCTCCTGCTCCCTACCCTTTAATAACCTGCAGCTTATTGGGAAGCCTCTGCTTAAGTCATGTCTAGGGATGAGGGCCTCCCCTGAGGAGTGGTGACACTTTTTGGACAGGGTTTTATTGTTGGAATTCTCCCCATTAAGTTAAAGCCTTTTATCACCAAACCAAAAGGCACTGCCTCAGTGACCCTTATTATGATCCATAAGGCACTTCTATAACTTTCCTAGGTTTACAATAAGAACAGGAGTGTACTATCCTAATTAGATATTAAGGCATTAGTGTTACTAGTTCTATTAATACCATTATTTTGACCAAAATCCTCAATTCCAGACAGATGTCTACTTTCCTCAGCCATTTATCTTTCTCAGGCTGTGCTTTCAGACAAGTATCTTTATATTATATGTAGAATAAAAAGAGAATTAGACTAAGAGTCTGAAAATTTGGTTCTTGCTCTAGCTTTCCATTAACTGCCTGTGTGAGCTTGGGCAAGTCAAATAATCTCTCTTGCTTCTATTGTCTCATTCTTAAAATGGGGTGAAAAAATTGAGCTACAAGACCGTTCCCTTTGCTTGCCTCCCTCAAATAGGTCTGGAGATAAGCAAACAACGCCTCCTTTCTGGAAACTACTCCTTCATCCCAGACGCCATGACTGCCACTGAGAAAATCCTCTTCCTCTCTTCCATTATTCCCTTTGACTGCCTCCTCACAGTGAGATTGGTCCTGGGGGATAAGGGCTGGGAGGCGGCACAAGTGCTAGGGCTGAATTCTGGGAGGTACTGGCCTAGCCCTGGAAAATAGTAACTTTCCCTGGTGCTCTGCAGCCCCCAGGAGATTTAAGATTTACCCCGATTCCACTGCTGATCCCCTCCCAGGTTCGAGCACTTGGAGGGCTGCTGAAGTTCCTGGGTCGAAGAAGAATCGGGGTTGAACTGGAAGACTATAATGTCAGCGTCCCCATCCTGGGCTTTAAGAAATTTATGTTGTAGGTGATTCACCCCAACCCCAACCAAAGTAATGTGGGATTGGGAGGCCTGAAAAGTAAAGTGGGGGTGGGGTGTGGATGTGGCTGTGACCCAGTGGGTCAAGTGCTCTAGGACACCCGGGAGAATCTAAGGGCTAATGAGACTTTGGGAAGAAGACTGGGACAATATTCAGAGAGGGGGACAAAGGAAGTGGAGTTGTGGAACGAACTCAGACTGCTTCCTGCTTTTTTGTTTTCTGTCCTCAGGACTCATCTGGTGAACATAGATCAAGACACTTACAGGTAAAGAGGTGGAGGCATGCTGCTGTCTCTGGGGAGGGAGAAGGATTAAGTTTAATGCCCCAATAATCCTAATGAGGCTCTAGTTTCCCTAATCCTGGGGCTATTAAGATCTCTCTCCTTGAAGGAAAGGGAAGGGGGGTTTTGAGGGAAAGAGAGGAAGAAAAGCATAAAGATACTAGCTTTCTTTTCTATAGGGAGAAACTGAGGCAAAGAAAAGTAAGGGACAAACCTTACATCAAGATATGATCTCGGCTGGGCGCGGTGGCTCATGCCTGTAATCCCCGCGCTTTGGGAGGCCAAGGCGGGTGGATCGCCTGAGGTCAGGAGTTTGAGACCTGACCAATATGGTAAAACCCCGTCTCTACTAAAAATATAAAAATTAGCTGGGTGTGTTGTGCGCCTGTAATCCCAGCCACTCAGGAGGCTGAGGCAGGATTGCTTGAATCCAGGAGGCAGAGGTTGCAGTGAGCTGAAATTGCACCACTGCACTCCAGCCTGGGCGACAGAGCGAGACTCCATCTCAAAAAAAAAAAAAAAAAAAAAAAGACGTGATCTCAGGAGGATATCCCCTGTCCCCATTCCATTTATCAGTCCTCAATTCTTATTCCCTTCAAAAGTCCAAGTTACCCCAAACTCCTCCATTTCTCCTCGACAGTGTTCTACAGATTTTTAAGAGTGAGTCTCACCCCTCAGTGTACAAAGTGGCCAGTGGACTGAAGGAGGGGCTCAGCCTCTTTGGTAGGTGTGCCCCATCCCTCATCTCACATTACAAAGACCTACCAGAAAAGCAATTGGCTCCAAAGATGTGTCCCAGCCTCCCTTCCCACTTCACTCCCATTGTCAGATATCTCTTTCATGCCAATCCAAATTTCTTACCTATTTGTACCCCCCGCCCCCCAAGCTTGAGCATCTTCCCATACTTTGTGGCTGTACAGTGTTGTTGCATATCAGCCATTACTTTACCAATTCTGTGTTCCTTCCCTGGGTTTGTATGAATGTTTCTACTAGTTGGGTACCTGTTAGGGACTTTGGGAGACCTTGTGTATAGAGAAGAGTTTTGTAACTGCATAACTGCCTATTTGATTTGTATAGAGTCTTTATCAGTTGTCTCTGGCTTTAGGGTATATTAGGGACATCTCCGCAAATATCCATATAGTTTCATATCTCAGTAAGTTGTGTCCAGGTTTTTTTTTTTTTTTTTTTTGATACAGAGTCTCGCTCTGTCGCCCAGGCTGGAGTGCAGTGGTGCAATATCAGCTCACTGCAAGCTCTGCCTCCTGGGTTCACACCATTCTGCTGCCTCAGCCTCCTGAGTAGCTAGGACTACAGGTGCCCACCACGATGCCTGGCTAATTTTTGTATTTTTAGTAGAGAACGGGTTTCACTGTGTTAGCCAGGATGATCTCGATCTCCTGACCTCGTGATCCGTCCACCTCGGCCTCCCAAAGTGCTGGGATTACAGGCGTGAGCCACCGCGCCTGGCCAGTTGTGTCCAGTTTTGTGTGTGTGTGTGTGTGTGTGTGTGTGTGTGTGAGACGAAGTCTCGCTCTTGTCCCCCAGGCTGGAGTGCAATGGTGCGATCTCGGCTCAATGCAACCTCTGCCTCCTGGGTTCAAGCGATTCTCCTGCCTCAGCCTCCTGAGTAACTGGGATTACAGGCACCTGCCACCACGCCCAGCTAATTTTTGTATTTTTAGTAGAGACGGGGTTTCACCATGTTGCCCAGGCTGGTCTTGAACTCCTGACCTCAGGGGATCCACTCGCCTCAGCCTCCCAAGGTGCTGGGATTACAGGCATGAGCGACCGCGCCCGGCCGTCCAGTTTTTTACATATGTGTGTTGGGCTCTTGAGTTTTTTGTTTGTTTGTTTGTTTTTTAGATGGAATCTTGCTGTGTCACCCAGGCTGGAGTGCAGTGGTACAATTTAGGCTCACTGCAACCTCCGCCTCTTGGGTTCAAGTGATTCTTCTGCCTCATCCTACCTCAGCCTCCTGAATAGCTGGAACTACAGGCCTGCACCACCATGCCCAGCTAATTTTTTTGTATTTTTAGTAGAGATGGTGTTTCGCCATGTTGCCCAGGCTGGTCTCAAACTCCTGAGCTCAAGTGATCCTCCTGCCTTGGCCTCCCAAAGTGCTGGGATTATAGGCATGAGCCACCCTGCCCGGCCAGCTATTGAGTTTTTGTATTTTTGGAGGGGCGGGAGGGCTCTTGAGTTTTTTGTGTTTTGTTTGTTTGTTTATTTGTTTCGTTTTGTTTTGAGACGGAGTCTTGCTCTGTCACCCAGGCTGGAGTGCAGTGGCGCGATCTCCGCTCACTGCAAGCTCTGCCTCCCGGGTTCATGCCATTCTGCTTCAGCCTCCCGAGTAGCTGGGACTACAGGTGCCTGCCACCATGCCCGGCTAATTTTTTGTATTTTTAGTAGAGACTGCGTTTCACCATGTTAGCCAGGATGGTCTCGATCTCCTGACCACGTGATCCGTCTGCCTCGGCCTCCCAGAGTGCTGGGATTACAGGCGTGAGCCACCGTGCCTGGCCAGTTCTTGAGTTTTAACTAGGTCTGCTTTGTGTATTTTTCTGGCTAAGTGTCCCTGTGAGTGTCCATCCCTTCCCCCATCTCCATGTACGGTAATCCCAGCTCATATTTGTGGCCAGGCACCAGCTTTGGCTGCCTTTGTGCCCTCCCAGGCCAGCTTCCTCAACAACCAGCACCTCTGACCTGGATGCCTCAGCTTAGACACATAAACACATTCCATTCCCTGTCCCTGCCTTGTAACAAGTTCACTCCCTGCCTTATCCCTCACAGGAATCCTCAACAGATGCCACTGTAAGTGGGGAGAGAAGCTGCTCAGGTGAGTGGGTCCCACACATACTACACACTAATGCATGAATTCCATATGCACACTACATACTAAAGCCTACTAATGGCAGTATACAGATTCTCACATACACCACCCCACCTAGTAGTAGTAAAGCAACTGCCCTTTACTGAGCACTGGCTAACTGCATTTCATCCTTATAACAGCTTTGTGTAGTAGCTGATATGCATCTCATTTTTTGTTGTCAGCGCAGGTACACATATACCCATTGATGATACACAGACTTGCACACATACAAGCAGCAGGAAAAAACACAAAATGTAAGGCCGGGCACAGTGGCTCACACCTGTAATCCCAGCACTTTGGGGGGCCAAGGTGGGTGAATCACTTGAGGTCAGGAGTTTGAGACCAGCTGGCCAACATGGTAAAGCCCCATCTCTACTAAAATGCAAAAATTAGCCAAGCGTGTTGGTAGGTGCCTGTAATTCCAGCTACTCAGGAGACTAAGGCAGGAGAATCGCTTGAACCCAGGAGGTGGAGGTTGCAGTGAGCCAAGATTGTGCACTGCACTTCAGCCTGGGCAACAGAGTGAGACTCCGTCTCAAAAAAAAAAAAAAATGCTAATGTAACACATGGCTATGTTAGCATGGTTATCTTTAGTTATAGAAAACACACTTCACATTTCTGTGATGACTCTCAAATTTGTGTCTCTAGTTTTGAACTCCGTATGTGAATGTTAATTGCATATCACCACCTGCAGTTTTCACAGGCAGCTCAAACTCAGAGCATCCAAACTGATGCCCACCAGATCTGTTCCTCTTCCTGCATTCCCTTTGCTGGTTAATGGCATTGCTGGCAGTACACCTTCTCAAGCCATGAACCTTGGATTGATGCTAGAAACAAAAAACCTGTCATTCCAAAACAGAGATCTAAGCATGTCACTCCTTTTTTTTTTTTTTTTTTTTTGTGACTGAGTTTCGCTCTTGTTGCCCAGGCTGGAGTACAATGGCACGATCTCTGCTCACTGCAACCTCCACTTCCCGGGTTCAAGCAATTCTTCTGCCTCAGCCTCCCAAGTAGCTGGGATTACAGGCGCCCACCACCACACCTGGCTAATTTTTGTATTTTCAGTAGAGGCGGGGTTTCACCATGTTGGTCAGGCTGGTCTCGAACTCCTGGTGATCCGCCCACCTCGGCCTCCCAAAGTGCTGGGATTACAGGCATGAGTCACTGCGCCTGGCCGTCACTCCACTTTTTAAATAGCCTAAGTAGAAAGAAAATAACATAAACCTTAGGAGGTTTTCCCATTACCTTCAGGATTAAGATTAGCATCTTAAGCAGTATAATGATGTTCAGGGTCCATCACGTTTACCCCAGTTTTAATTTCCAGACTCACCTTCCAAAGCCCCTTCTAAGTCCTTTCCTACTGGATCTACCTTATATTCTAGTCATTTAGGGCCACTTGCCATTATGGAAACATGTCATGCCTGTGTTTATGCTGCTCCTTCTGGAAAGTCTTTTTTTTTTTTTTTTTGAGACGGAGTCTCCCTCTGTCACCCAGGCTGGAGTGCAGTGGCGCGGTCTTTGCTCACTGCAACCTCCACCTCCCAGGTTCAAGCAATTCTCCTGCCTCAGCCTCCGGAGTAGCTGGGATTACAGGGACCCACCACCATGCCTGGCTAATTTTTGTATTTTTAGTAGAGATGGGATTTCACCATGTTGGCCACGCTGGTCTTGAACTGCTGACCTCGTGATCTGCCCACCTCGGCCTCCCAAAGTGCTGGGATTACAGGCATAAGCCACTGTGCCCGGCCTGGAAAGTCTTTTCCTTGTTCTGTACCTATCAAAATCTTACATCCAGGTCAGGCGCGGTGGCTCACGCCTGTAGTCTCAGCATTTTGGGAGGCTGAGGTGGGTGGATGATTTGAGGTCAGGAGTTCAAGACCAGCCTGGCCAACTTGGTGAAACTTCACGTCTACCGAAAATACAAAAATTAGCCCAGCATCATGGCGCATGCCTCTAGTACCAGCTACTCAGGAGGCTGAGGCAGGAGAATTGCTTGAACTCGGGAGGTAGAGGTTGAAGTGAGCCCAGATTGCCCCACTGCACTCCAGCCTGGGCAACAGAGTGAGATTCTGTCTTAAAAAAAAAAAAAAGTGCATCCTCTTCAAGGTGCAATCCAACTGTTACCCTTTGGCTTTTACAGGTACCTGTAAGGAGTTGATGTGCACCTTCTTTGTGCTCACATAGTGCTTGTTTATGTTTTTCTAGTTGCACTGTCACATCATGTTAGAATTAGCAGTCAGTGAATCTGCTTGCCTCCATAGCTATGAACTCTATCTAGTAGCTATACCTGTTACCTCAGTGTCTGACACATGGTCTTGTACATAGTAGCACTCAATGTGTGAACACAACGCAAATGTAAACGCACTGGTGACATCATCTCTAAACAGAGTGGAAACCTTTGCTAGCCTCAGGTGCACAATCCTTCCCCTACCTCACCTCCCGCTGCAATATGTATCTTGTAGGAGTTAATTTAGGATAATCTCTGAGGTCATCTCCAGGTAATCAGCATCTCCAGGAATCGGCAGGGTAATTTAATTACCCACACATTCTTCAGTGCTTCAGGTGCAGATCTTTAATCTCAGCCACAGATGGGAGGGAGAGAATTCTCAGTGGAGAAGAGAGCTGGATTTAAGGTCGGGGAGGAATGCGTATTCCCCAAATGGAATCAGACAGGGCATGAGATCATATAACTTGAAGAATCATCATATAATCTAATGAACTAAGGACAGGTGACATATTTATTAATATTTCTGTATACGAATTTATTTTAATTTATTAGGAAATACCTCTAACGTACAAAAAGATGTAAATAATAATATAGGGCCAGATGTGGTGGCTCACGCCTATAATCCCAGCATTTGGGAGGCTGAGGCAGGAGGATTGCTTGAGGCCAGGAGTTCAAGAACTAAAAGCTGTACAGGCACCAAGAATATGACTGAATGTCACAGTATGCTCTAAAGGGCACTGTCCTAGGAGTCTGGAGACATGATTTTGAGACTTAGCTGTTCTCATTGGCGGTATGACTTTGGGCAAGTTGCTTATCTTTTAACGGTTTCATTTTCTCAGTTGTTAAATTTACAGTTTGGTTTAACTAAAGTCTCTCCCAGTACGAGCAGGGCGTGAGTCAGAGATACCTAAGTGTTTAGTGCAGCGCATGTGCTTTCTAAAGTGGGGATGGCTATTTACAGACTGGCCTACACTGTTCTGGTGGGAGCCCTCAGTGACCAAGGAGCAGAGGTACCTGAAACCCACCCTTGAAGCCATCTGGATGCTCCGCTTCATTCAAATCTGGGGTGTTCTAACCCAAAGTAACTGGCCACAGACTGCAATGTAAGATACAAATCTTCAGGACCTAGTGTGTGCACATGTTGGCTCTTATATAAGATGGCATCCTTAGTACTTGTTCTATGTAGAAAAGAATTTGTGGGCTCACAAGTCCCTACAGAGTCTCACACTCTCATGGCCAATAAGTATACAGGGATACCCGGAATTAGACAAACACAGATGAGACATTTATTTCTGTATATGAATTTATTTTATTTATTTATTTATTTTTTGAGACAGAGTCTCACTCTGTCACCCATCCTGGAGTGCAGTGGCCTGGCTCATTGCAAGCTCCACCTCCCGGGTTTACACCATTCTGCCTCACCCTCCCGAGTAGCTGGGACTATAGGTGCCCGCCAACACGCCCGGCTAATTTTGTTGTGTTTTTAGTAGAGACGGGGTTTCACCGCGTTAGCCAGGATGGTCTTGATCTCCTGACCTCGTGACCCGCCCTCCTTGGCCTGCCAAAGTGCTGGGATTACAGGCGTGAGCCACCGCACCTGGCCTGAATTTATTTTCATTTATTAGGAAATACCTCCAACACACAAAAAGATGTAAATAATTAGCCGGGCGTGGTGGCTCATGACTGTAATCCCAGCACTTTGGGAGGCCGAGGCAGGTGGAACACCAGAGGTCCGGAGTTTGAGACCAGGCTGGCCAACATGGTGAAACCTCATCTCTACTAAAAATACAAAAATTAGCCGGGAGTGGTGGTGCACCCCTGTAATCCCAGCTACTCCAGAGGCTGAGACACGAGAATCGCTTGAACCTGGGAGGCGGAGGTTGCAGTGAGCTGAGATCGCACCACTGCACTCCAGCCTGGACAACAGAGCAAGACTCTGTCTCAGAAAAAAAAAAAAAGATGTAAATAATAATACTATCGGGCCAGGTGCAGTGGCTTATGCTTGTAATCCCAGCACTTTGGGAGGCCATGGCAGGAGGACTGCTTGAGGCCAGGAGCTTGAGAACAGCCTGGGCAACATAGCAAGACCTCGTCTCTATAAAAACTATTAATAGTAATACAAATGGCCAGGCGCAGTAGCTCATGCCTGTAATTCCAGCACTTTAGGAGGCTGAGGCAGGCAGATCACCTGAGGTCACGATTTTGAGACCAGCCTGGCCAACACAGCGAAACCCTATCTCTACTAAAAATACAAAATTTAGCTGGGCATGGTGGCACACACCTGTAGTTCCAGCTGCTGGGGAGGCTGAGGCAGGAGAATCACTTAAGCCTGTGAGGCAGAGGTTGCAGTGACCCGAGATCCCGCCACTGTACCCTAGCCTGGGCGACAGAGCAAGACTCCATCTCAAAAATAATAATAATAATACAAATATCTATATATCCATCAGCCAATTTAAGAATAAGACATGCCGGGCGCGGTGGCTCATGCCTGTAATCCCAGCACTTTGGGAGGCCGAGGCGGGTGGATCACAAGGTCAGGAGTTCAAGACCAGCCTGGCCAAGATGGTGAAACCCCGTCTCTACTAAAAATACAAAAATTAGCTGAGCACAGTGGCGGGTGCCTGTAATTCCAGAACCTGGGAGGTGGAGGTTGCAGTAAGCCAAGATTGTGCTACTGCACTCTAGCCTGGGCGACAGAGCAAGACTCTATATAAAAAATAAAATAAAAAAAAAGAATAAGACACTATTGGCCGGGTATGGTGACTCACGCCTGTAATCCCAGCACTTTGGGAGCCGAGGCGGGCAGATCACGAGGTCAAGAGATCGAGATCATTCTGGCCAACATAGTGAAACCCTGACTCTACTAAAAATACAACAATTAGCTGGGCATGGTGGCGCATACCTGCAGTCCCAGCTACTCGGGAGGCTGAGGCACGAAAATCACTTGAACCCGGGAGGTGGAGGTTGCAGTGAGCCGAGATCGCATCACTGCACTCCAGCCTGGCGACAAAGCGAGACTCTGTCTCAAAAAAAAAAAAAAAACGAAAGAATAAGACGTTGTTGAAGCCCCTTAAATGTCCCTCCCCAATCCTTTTTTCTCTGCAGTGTTGACCATTATTATGAATTAAAGCTTATCATCCCTAATGGGACAGTTATGTTTTCACAGGAAGAATATGAAAAGATGAATGTCTGTTGCTGTTACCCAGAGACACTTTCACAGCTAAAAAGACATACAAACTCATACTGACTCACCGTCTCTTACTCAGCCTCAGAGTGAGCTGCAGTGTTGGCACACAAATACCTCAACACACTGCTCTCCTTCTAAAATATTGACAAGCTCCGTTACTTATATACATGGAATGACACACGGTCTTATCCGTTGAAACTGTGATATGTAGACACAATTATGCTCACATCTAGCAATTTTCAGTAGATACATGTAAACACACCTGAATGGGTAGGACACTGCACTTGCCACTACATTCCCATAGCACATCGTGGATACATATTGCCACAATCCCCAGGGACTGCAAGCACACTTTTTGGCAAACTGAGATCAAGATGATAGATGTAACTTGTAGTACCCCCACCCAAACCCTCACTTCCAGGCTATGGTTCACACGTCCGACTCATGACCTGGGGGAGCTCAGTTCTCGTCTGGACGTCATTCAGTTTTTTCTGCTGCCCCAGAATCTGGACATGGCTCAGATGCTGCATCGGCTCCTGGGTCACATCAAGAACGTGCCTGTGAGCCCAGGGTGGAGGGCAGGGAGGTGGGGAAGGAGGTTGAGGGCTGATACTGGGCAGTGGGCTTCTTGAGGGGCATTAGAGTGAGGGAAGAGAAAACAGCGGCTGTAACCTTGTCTGACTGTAGCTGATTCTGAAACGCATGAAGTTGTCCCACACCAAGGTCAGCGACTGGCAGGTTCTCTACAAGGTAAGGCCTTCCTTCTTGAATCCCAAAAGTCCAGGTAAAGGCCCTCAGCCTGTATTCCAGACTGTCTGTACCCTAGACATGCTGTCCAATTTTATTCTACCCTCTTTTTTTTTTTTTTGGAGACAGCCTCGCTCTGTCGCCCAGGCTGAAGTGCCATGGGGCGATCTTGGCTCACTGCAACCTCCGCCTCCTGGGTTCAAGCAATTCTGCCTCAGCCTCCCGAGAAGTTGGGATTACAAGCGCCCGCCACCATGCCTGGCAAATTTTTGTATTTTTAGTAGAGACAGGATTTCACCATGTTGGCCAGGCTGGTCTTGAACTCCTGACTTCAGGTGATCCACCTGCCTCAGCCTCCCAAGGTGCTGGGATTACAGGTGTGAACCACCAGGCCCGGCCTCCCTCTTTTTTTTTTTAACTTTGTATTCAGGAAAATGTAAAAAATATTTAGAATAATATAATTAACCCCCATGTACCCACCATGCAGTTTCAACACTTTAACTTACGCCAATTTTTTTTTATTTCTTTTTCTTTTTTTTTTTAGACAGAGTCTTGCTCTGTCGCCCAGGCTGGATTGCAGTGGTGCGATCTCGGCTCACTGCAACCTCTGCCTCCCAAGTTCAAGTGATTCTCCTACCTCAGCCTCCCAAATAGCTGGGATTACAGGTGCCCACCACCACACTGGAGTGATTTTTGTATTTTTAGTAGAGATGGGATTTCACCATGTTGGCCAGGCTGGTCTCAAATTCCTGGCCTCAAGTGATCTGCCCATCTCGGCCTCCCAAAGTGCTAGGATTATAGGTGGGAGCCACCGTGCCCAGCCTAGTATGTGTCATCTATATCTTTTTCTACTTTCCCCTCTTGGATTATTTTGTGGGTTTTGTTGTCGTTTGTTTGTTTTTTTAAATAAGGTCCTGCTTTGTCACCCATACTAGAGCAGAGTGGTGCAGTCATATTTCATTGCAGCCTCTAACTTCTGGGCTCAAGCAATCCTCCCACCTTAGCCTCCAGAGTAACTGGGACTATAAGCCTGAGATGCTGCACCTGGCTTTCTTGGATTATTTTGAAGCAAGTCCCAGCCATTATATCATTTCATCCATAAATATTTCAGTGTAATTTCTTTTTTCTTTTTTTTTTTTTTTTTGAGATGGAGTCTCACTCTGTCACCAGGCTGGAGTGCAGTGGCATGATCTCGGCTCACTGCAACCTCCGCCTCCCAGGTTCAAGCGATTCTCCTGCCTCAGCCTCCCATGTAGCTGGGATAACAGGCACATGCCACCATGCCCAAGTTTTTTTTTTGTATTTTTAGTAGAGACAGGGTTTCACCATGTTGGCCAGGATGGTCTTGATCTCCTGACCTCGTGATCCACCCGCCTCGGCCTCCCAGAGTGCTGGGATTACAGGCGTGAGCCACCTCACCCGGCCAATATTTCAGGGTAATTTCTAAAAGAAAATTATTTTTTAAAAAGAATAACAGTATTGTTATCTTACTTTAAAAATTGTATTATTTGGTATCATCAAATATCTGAAATTTTTCTTTTTTGAGACAGGGTCTCACTCTGTCACCCAGGCTTGAGTGCAATGGCACAATTGTAGCTCACTGCAGCCTCAAACTGTTGGGCTCAAGCGATCCTCCCCCCTCAGCCTCCTGAGTAGCAGGGACCACAGGTGATGGCCATCACACCGAACTAAGTTTTTATTTTTTGCTTGCATTTATTTATTTATTTATTTATTTATTTATTTATTTATTTTTGAGACGGGATTTTGCTCTTGTAGCCCAGGCTGGAGTGCAATGGTGTGATCTCGGCTCACCGCAACCTCCACCTCCTGGGTTCAAGTGATTCTCTTGCCTCAGCCTCCCAAGTAGCTGGGATTACAGGTGCGTGCCACCACGCCCAGCTAATTTTGTATTTTTAGTAGAGACAGGGTTTCTCCCTGTTGGTCGGGCTGGTCTCGAACTCCCGACCTCAGATGATCTGCCTGCCCCGGCCTCCCAAAGTGCTGGGATTACAGGCGTGAGCCATTGCACCTGACCAATTTTTTATTTTTTGTAGAGACAGGATCTCACTATGTTGCTCAAGGTGGTCTCAAACTCCTGAGCTCAAGTGATCCTCCTGCTTGGGCCTCCCAAAGTGCTGAGACTATTGGTGTGAGCCACGATGCCCAGTCAGATGATGGCCCTAGTCCTTTTTAATCTACCGGTTCCTTCTCTATCTTTTCTCTCTTGTTCTTTCTTTCTTTTTCTCTTTTTCTTCTCCTGGCAATTTGTTGAAGAAACTAGATTATTATTTGTCTTATAGTGTTTTCCATTAGCCTGGATTTTGCTGTTTGCATTTCCTAGATGTTTTTGGCACATTTCTCTCTCTTCTATAGTTTCTGTAAATTAATATTTAGTTCTAGAAGCATGATTAGGTTCAGAGTTTTTTTTTTTTCAATACTGTTTTAGAAGTAGAGGAACATAATGTCTGATATGTCCGATTGTCTCTCTTTTTCTGATGTTGGCAAATGTTCTGATGTTTAATACCTAAATCTATTATTCATTTATTTATTTATTTATTTAGTTTGAGGTGAGTCTCCCTCTGTCGCCAGGCTGAAGTGCAGTGGCACGATCTTGGCTCACTGCAACCTCCGCCTCCTGAGTTCAAGTGATTCTCCTGCCTCAGCCTCCTGAGTAGCTGGGACTTACAGGCGCACACCACCACGCCCAGCTAATTTTTGTATTTTTAGTAGAGACGGGATTTCACCATGTTGGCCAGGATGGTCTTGATCTCTTGACCTCAGGTGATCCACCCGCCTCAGCCTCCCAAAGTGCTGGGATTACAGGCGTGAACCACTACACCCAGCCATCTATTAATTCTTTAGCAATTACAAAGTAGTAGCATTTAAATCTCTGATTCTTTCTTCATTTATTAGCCAGAAATTTCTGTAAAGAGAAACTTCCTTTTATGTACTATTTGGTTGCCAAGTGATAGAAATCATATAGAAATACAGAAAATTGCTTGATATTTCCCCCACTCTTTTTTTTTTGAGACAGAGTCTTGCTCTGTCACCAGGCTGGAGTGCAGTGGCACAATCTTGGCTCACTGCAACCTCCACCTCCCGGGTTGGGTTTCAAGTGATTCTCCTGCCTCAGCCTCCCGAGTAGCTGGGACTATAGGCGTGTGCCACCATGCCTGGCTAATTTTTGTATTTTTAGTAGAGACAGGGTTTCACCATGATGGCCAGGATGGTCTTGATCTCTTGACCTCGTGATCCACCCGCCTCGGCCTCCCAAAGTGCTGGGATTACAGGTGTGAGCCACCATGCCCAGCCCTTTTTTTTTTCCCCAATATGGAACGCTTCTTGAATTTGTGTCATCCGTGCCCAGTGGCCGTGCTAATCCCTGTAACCTTCGAAATTTCAGTATATGTGCTGCAGAAATGAGCACCCCCCACCTTTATTTACTAGCTATCAATATGGTAAATTAGTTCCCTAACATTCTCCAAGATAGCCATGAGATTTTTTTGTTTTTTGTTTGTTTGTTTGTTTGTTTGTTTGAGATGGAGTCTTGCACTGTTGCCCAGGCAGGAGTGCAGTGGCGCGATCTCGGCTCACTGCAAGCTCTGCCTCCCGGGTTCGCGCCATTCTCCTACCTCAGCCTCCTGAGTGCCTGGGACTACAGGCGCCCGCCACCACGCCTGGCTAATTTTTTGTACTTTTAGTAGAGACAGGGTTTCACCCTCTTAACCAGGATGGTCTCAATCTCCTGACCTCGTGATCCACCCGCCTCAGCCTCCCAAAGTGCTGGGATTACAGGTGTGAGCCACCGCGCCCGGCCCTGATAGCCGATGAGGTTTTTTTGTCATTGTTCTTCTTGTATCATTACAGACTCATGGCCTTTTATAGCTATATTTCTCTTTCTCCCGACTCTGTACAAACTCCTTTGTTTTAGAGTTTGCACAACCCTCTATCAAAGCACCTACCACCTCACTTTTAAATCTTCTGCATGTATTTCTGTCTTCCTTCCTAGACTGTGAGCACATCTGGGACAGGGACCATATCTTTTTTTGTTTATTTGTTTTGTTTTGAGACAGAGTCTCGCTCTGTCGGCCAGGCTGGAGTGCAATGGCGTGATCTGGCTATAACCTCCACCTCCCGGGTTCAAGAGATTCTCCTGCCTCAGCCTCCCAAGTAGCTGGAATTACATGTGCATGCCACCAAGCCCAGTTAATTTTTGTATTTTGAGTAGAGACAGGGTTTCACCATGTTGGTGAGGCTGATCTCGAACTCCTGACCTCAGGTGATCTACCCACCTCAGCCTCCCAAAGTGCTGGGATTACAGGCATGAGCCACTGTGCCTGGCCAGGACCATATCTTAATTGTCTTTGTAGTTTCAGTGTTTGGTACAGTGCCTCTCACTGTTTCTTTTTGCCTTTGAGATCTTCCCTCTTTGTTACTGTGATCTTCCCTACTGGTCTTTGTTCTTCTGAGTCTGTCCCTATCACCACCTCAACCCGAGCTGGATGTGGCCTGTCCTCCTTTTTGTGTTTCTCTCACAGACTGTGTACAGTGCCCTGGGCCTGAGGGATGCCTGCCGCTCCCTGCCGCAGTCCATCCAGCTCTTTCGGGACATTGCCCAAGAGTTCTCTGATGACCTGCACCATATCGCCAGCCTCATTGGGAAAGTAGTGAGTAGAAGGAAAAAGGGAGTGCACCCAGGGAGGTCAGGGAGAGAGAATGCAGTGTGCAAGATGGGGAAACATGGAAGATATTGAGGTCAATTGGATAAAGAATGGGATGGTGGGAGGAGGCAGCAGAACTTCAGGGAAGTATCTGGAGGGTGAGAGTTAAAGGAGGACTGCAGGGAGAATTGGGGCCCAAGGAGAGCTGAGGAACAGGACAGAGGGTGCCAGGTCCTAAGAAACAGTACTTATCTCCTCAGGTGGACTTTGAGGGCAGCCTTGCTGAAAATCGCTTCACAGTCCTCCCCAACATAGATCCTGAAATTGATGAGAGTGAGTGTTGGGTGTGGATGGGCCTGTGAGCCCTGCGCAGTGATGGAGTACCATCCTTGGCAGGTGGTCACCACAGCTGGGGATCTTCATAGCAACCAGGGCAGGAGACTCACTTTTGATAACCACGTGTCTTCCACCCTCGTAGAAAAGCGAAGACTGATGGGACTTCCCAGTTTCCTTACTGAGGTTGCCCGCAAGGAGCTGGAGAATCTGGACTCCCGTATTCCTTCATGCAGTGTCATCTACATCCCTCTGGTGAGGGCAGGAGAGTGGGTGTAGCCTTCAGATGTCTTTTGGGGGAGATATTAGGCTTATGAAAGACATACTGGTAGATAAGAAAACTTGTGGGGCAGCCTGAAGAACATGAACACTTTTTTGTGGGGATACAGGGATCTTTTAAGCTCCCTCTAGGGTGGGGAGGTGTCCAGTAAGTCTCCAAGCAGGAGAGTAGAGTATCTCCTCTTTACTCTCCCCAGATTGGCTTCCTTCTTTCTATTCCCCGCCTGCCTTCCATGGTAGAGGCCAGTGACTTTGAGATTAATGGACTGGACTTCATGGTAAGACCCTCAACCTCTGTAAGGTGAGTGATGAGGAAAATGAGTCAGCAGCTGAGGAAGAGCGTTACTCTACAGCAGCACTGCCCAATATGGGATCTCTCCTCTGTAGTTTTACTCTGAGCTTTACCAGCACTGAGACAAAGGAAAGAGAAGTCAGAGTTAGGGGCTGGAGGTGGGGTTAGAAAGATGGGGAAGGAGAGGAGGACCAAGAGATGCAAAGTCCACAGCTTTGAACCCCTGTACCCAGTTTCTCTCAGAGGAGAAGCTGCACTATCGTAGTGCCCGAACCAAGGAGCTGGATGCATTGCTGGGGGACCTGCACTGCGAGATCCGGGGTGAGGAAAAGCCAGAGGTTATATGCATTGTAAGATGTTTAAAAAAAGCAGCAGCCAGGGGAAGGAGGGGAGTGGGCAACTTGGGGATGCTTCCAACAGGCCCCTCCTCTTCCTGCTCTCTGTCTCGCTCACTCTGACTCTATCTTTTCCTCTGAATGTCTTGAGGTCTCAGATTGTATCTGCAACCTGTTTCCAGATCCCCCTAGGGGCCTCTGCCTCTCCTTCACTTTCCCCTGGAACTGACCTCCAGCTCCCTTCCTCACCCACTCCCAGACCAGGAGACGCTGCTGATGTACCAGCTACAGTGCCAGGTGCTGGCACGAGCAGCTGTCTTAACCCGAGTATTGGACCTTGCCTCCCGCCTGGACGTCCTGCTGGCTCTTGCCAGTGCTGCCCGGGACTATGGCTACTCAAGGCCGCGTTACTCCCCACAAGTCCTTGGGGTACGAATCCAGAATGGCAGGTAAGAATAGAGGCGGGTGGAGGAATAGACATGAGGGGCCCAAAGGCTACATCTTCTGGGGGTTCATCTATCTTGATCCACAAGCCATGCGAGGTGCCTCTCCGCCCACTGCAGACATCCTCTGATGGAACTCTGTGCCCGAACCTTTGTGCCCAACTCCACAGAATGTGGTGGGGACAAAGGGAGGGTCAAAGTCATCACTGGACCCAACTCATCAGGGAAGAGCATATACCTCAAACAGGTGAGGAGAAGCCCTGCAGCCTGGGCCTCTGGCGTCTCCTGCATCTACTCCACCCCTACTTGCCAGCCAACTCAGGCTCCTGCAGCTCTTCTCCCATTTTCTGACCCCGCTCTTCATGAAAGGACCATCACCCACATCCCTGTGCTTCCACCTCACATGTTCTTATTCTCCACTGGAGAGCCATGCTCTAATGGAACTTTCCGTGGCCCAAATTCCTTCACCTGCCTCTGAGTAGGTACACACCACTCCCAAGTATGTCTCTGCCCACGTCCCGTGCCTCTTCACTGATTCTAAATTAGCCCACAGGGCTATGGTCAGGATTCGGGGAGGAGAGACAGAGTCAGTGTGTCTGTTACCTATTTCTCCTGTTTCACCCTGTCCATTTCTCTTTGATGTGCCATTCATGCCTTGAGCCTCACTTTCACCTCAGCCCACGGCACCAGGCCCCAGGCCCTGTCTCCTTCCCTATTCAGGTAGGCTTGATCACATTCATGGCCCTGGTAGGCAGCTTTGTGCCAGCAGAGGAGGCCGAAATTGGGGCAGTAGACGCCATCTTCACACGAATTCATAGCTGCGAATCCATCTCCCTTGGCCTCTCCACCTTCATGATCGACCTCAACCAGGTCAAAGGGAACAAAGGGAGGTGGGATTGAGGAAGGGGATAATGGGAAAGGAACCCCTGAAAATGCTCATAACAGGAAAGCATGCCCTCTGCTGCATGCCCTTTATACTAAAAGTGGGGAGCACTAAGGTCAGAGATAAGAAGAATCAATACCATAAACATTTCTTGAACCCTTGTTTCATGTGAGTCACTGTTGGCAAAGAGGATGAACAAAGCGTGCACCTCACCATTCAAGAACTTGCAGTGCAGTAGGGAGGGCATGTATACAGCTTTATTCACAGGCCAACTGTGGTCAGTGCGTTACGGGCTTCCAATACTAACTTTCCCTTGTCCACCTTATACCCAGCAGGTGGCGAAAGCAGTGAACAATGCCACTGCACAGTCGCTGGTCCTTATTGATGAATTTGGAAAGGGAACCAACACGGTGAGGGGAGAAACTGATGAGGGGAGAAACTAAGGAGGGGAAAATGGAGGAGGATGAAGGAGCATGACAGTGAGGCTGGGCCTCTGGAATGGAATAGGGCTGTGTGGGCAGAAAAGAAATAGAACACGAGACAGGGAAAGGCAGTGCAAGTGCAGAGGGGCATATGGGGTCCCCATGGCTCCGAATGCTAACCTCTGCCCTCTTTGCAGGTGGATGGGCTCGCGCTTCTGGCCGCTGTGCTCCGACACTGGCTGGCACGTGGACCCACATGCCCCCACATCTTTGTGGCCACCAACTTTCTGAGCCTTGTTCAGCTACAACTGCTGCCACAAGGGCCCCTGGTGCAGTATTTGGTGAGGAGACCAATCTAGCTCCTCGGGGACCCCCAGGCTGGGCATTTCCCAGAGGTGGGGATTGGCTCCTCTATCAGAACAAGGGCTCCCTCAGCACAGAGACCACATCCCTTCCCTTTTCTCCCTCCCCACAGGATTGGCCAAGGGTTTCAGGACAGGAAGGAGGTGATTGATGATACACTGTCTTTTATTCTCTTTTAAGACCATGGAGACCTGTGAGGATGGCAACGATCTTGTCTTCTTCTATCAGGTTTGCGAAGGTGTTGCGAAGGCCAGCCATGCCTCCCACACAGCTGCCCAGGCTGGGCTTCCTGACAAGCTTGTGGCTCGTGGCAAGGAGGTGATGAGATCCAAATGTGCAACCACCTCCACATCAGAGCTCCCTTTCATTCCTAGTCCTACTGGGCCTGGGTCTAGGTCCACAGGATTTCTGACCCTTATTTCCCCTTCTCTTCCCCACTCCCCTTACTCCTCCCACCTTCTTGCTTGTTCCTAGGTCTCAGACTTGATCCGCAGTGGAAAACCCATCAAGCCTGTCAAGGATTTGCTAAAGAAGAACCAAATGGAAAAGTGCGTATATGGCCCCAGTGTCTTTACCCTCTCTGCATCTTCTCCTGCAACTCTTCTCCCCTTTTCAGGGACTCAGCCTTCCTCCAGCACTTTGCCCTTCAGAAACCCACCATTTCTTTCTGAAATCCCTAAATCTTCAAGATCCCAGGTTTTCTGTGCCACAGCCTCTCCCCTCTGCCCAGGGATTTGGTTGTCCATTCTGCCATAAATCTTGCGATTTTCTCTCTTCTTCAGTTGCCAGACATTAGTGGATAAGTTTATGAAACTGGATTTGGAAGATCCTAACCTGGACTTGAACGTTTTCATGAGCCAGGAAGTGCTGCCTGCTGCCACCAGCATCCTCTGAGAGTCCTTCCAGTGTCCTCCCCAGCCTCCTGAGACTCCGGTGGGCTGCCATGCCCTCTTTGTTTCCTTATCTCCCTCAGACGCAGAGTTTTTAGTTTCTCTAGAAATTTTGTTTCATATTAGGAATAAAGTTTATTTTGAAGAAAGATATTGTTTCTTTAGTCTCAAAACAAGAGACTAGGAAAGATCCAAAACACAGAGCAGGAGTCCACAGGGGAACCTGCCCTGCCTCAGTAAAAATACAGTGTTGTTGCTGTAGGAAGACTCCCGGATTCTACCCCAGGATACTTCATGAGAACGAACCCCTTCAGAGAGGCCCTACAAAACAGATTAGAGGGAAGACAGAGGGGTCCAAGGGAGATGGTCTCTCTTCTCAAGTAGGAACACCCCAGCCTCAGACAGACACAGCAGGAAGGGGCCTGAGAGGCTGACAGAGGCAGGATGGGTGCAAGGCAGGGGTGGAGGGGAGGGACCAGCCCGGGCTGCACCAGTGGGAGTGGCTCCACCCTTCCCACCTCAGAGCCATGGGGAGCCAGGGCTCTGGCGGGGTGCCCTTGGTGCAGGCTCCCTACACAGTCCTGCTGCTGCCGCTGGGGACAAGCCGCCAAGACCCAGGGGCCCAGAGCTTCTTCCTTTGGGTGAGTATCAGCCCAACAAGAGGTCCCAGGGGAACTCTCTCAATAGATCTGCCCTTTATATTTCCATTCAACTTGAGGGCCCACAGTGTTCCCGCCTGCCTCCCCTTGCCCTCCAGGTCCTCAGTGGCCAGTCTGGGTTCACACTCAGTGACCACACAGTGAACCCAACTAGGGGTGGAGAGAAAGGGCCATAACCCAGAGCCCTACTGTGGCGTGAGAGTCAGCCTCTGTGATTGCCTTTCCCAGCTACGCAGGATGCAGGCTCTGGAGAGAGAACAGGATGCCCTGTGGCAGGGTCTGGAGCTGCTACAGCATGGCCAGGCCTGGTTTGAAGACCATCTGAGGGAGGCACAGCGACAGCAGCTGCATCTAGGGGCCCTTGGTGAGGTATGGGGGCTGCCCCTCTGTGTGAATGGGGGGAGGACCAGGGAGGGAGGAACAGGGAATGTGTAGACACAGCCTGAGACCACTCTGGAGAGGGGAGAGTTAATGGTCAGGGATCATGAGTTGGAGGCAGCATCGTAATGACAGGATGCCACCAAGTGTTAAGTTGGTGTTCATTGTTGGGGCTGGAGGAAGCTGGTCTGCATTCCATTCAGAGGGATTTGGATCACTCCATGGAGATGAGGGTGTGGCCTGGATTATTCCAATGGGGCAGGGATGGACAGGGAGGCTCCATGAAGAGTAGTGAAAGGGGGTATTGTGCTATTTGAGGGAGATGGAGGAACTGATGTGCTAAAGAGATGGAGGTGGAGAGTACTGGATTTTCCCACCTGCCTGGGAGGGTACTGGGACGAGGGGATCCAGATGAGAGGGATGGCCTGTGGTGACAGGAATAGAGTGGCAGACGACCTCAGGTTTTCACCATGTTGTCAGCCTCCAACTCCTCCTCTAGAATTTTCTAACAGATTTACACTCAGAGCCTGGTCGCCCCCCGTTAGCCCAGATTCAAAAGGTGAACATCTGTTTGCAGAATCTGATTCATGAGAAGGTGAGTTTATTGTTTTCAGTTTAGACTTTTGGGAAGTTGGACTAGAGAGGGGAGTTGTTGGGGTCAGTGCTGGCTTAACAGAAAACACAGCGAATTTCCCCTCCAGTTCTCCCCAAGTCCACTGAACAAGGCTAGTTCCTGCACCACCCAGGATTCAAAGGAAAGACGAAGGGAGCAGAACTTGTGGCAGCAACAGGTAAACTTCAAGAAGGAGGGCAGGAGCCCCACCCTACAGGGCTGGGAGGAGCCCAGAGGCCCCATCTGTTTCTCCTCCAGGAGTTGTCAAGGCAGCAGAAAGGAGTCACCCAGCCAAAGGAGGAGATGGCTCAGCGGGGCTGCACCAAGGGGCCAAGAGGCCCTACCCGTGTCTAAACCCTCCTCTCACTCCCCTAAGCCTGGTGAAAGAGTCAGAAGCCCCAGGCTCCTTTTTCTGTTTCTTAACTCAACAGCTAAAAAATGGCTCCAGGTAGTGAGTCAATGAAGTTCAGACATGTTGGTGTAAAGTTTCTCCTCTGCTCCTGAAAACTTCATCTTCTTGGTGTCTCATGTCCTCATTCTCCCCTATATGACATGCAAAAACGATCTTTCTTTGAAATCCCTCTGGGAAGAAGCATGTTTATTGAAACTGTCCTTCAGCCTTAAATACAAAAATAAAACTGAAACTGCTCCAGAAAGCAGCTTTCTCCAAAAATGTCTTTGGTTTGTTTCTCATAGGGTTAGGAAAAGTGCATTGTGGGAATATCCATTGCCCTCTATCCCAGTCTTGCAGGGTGTTTTGTTTTGTTTTGTTTCTGAGATAGGGTCTCACTGTCGCTCAGGCTGTAGTGCAGTGGTTCGACCACAACTCACTGCAGCCTCAACCTCCTGGGCTCAAGTGATCCTCCTGCCTCAGCCTCCCAGAGTGCTGGGATTACAGGCGTGAGCCACTGCACCCAGCCCCAGTCTCGAAGTTTCTAAGAAAGGAAAGGGATGTGATGGAGAAAGAAAACCTTCATTGGCTGGGCACGGTGGCTCACGCCTGTAATCCCAGCACTTTGGGAGGCCGAGGCAGGCAGATCACCTGAGGTCAGGAGTTTGAGACCAGCCTGGCCAACATAGTGAAACCCTGTCTCTACTAAAAATACAAAAAATTAGCCGGGCGTGGTGGCGGGCACCTGTGATCCCAGCTACTTGGGAGGCTGAGGCAGGAGAATCGCTTGAACCTAGGAGGCAGAGGTTGCAGCGAGCCGAGATTGCGCCGCTGCACTCCAGCCTGGGCAATGAGCAAAACTACATCTCAAAAAAAAAACAACAACAACAAAAAAGAGAAAACCTTCATCCCAGCTAGGAGAGGTAAGGTCCTAAGACCTATGTGACAAATGTGTCCCAGGTCTTCTTACCAATGGGGCAGGTTGAAAATAGTGCTGGAGACCCATCCCTTTAGAGCCCGTTGTGTCACCAGGAGGCCAGGCCTAGCAGAAGCAGCACCCCTCCAACTGTGCCCCACCAGGGGCTGCCCGCAGCCAGCCCTGCCCCAGCCCTGCCTTGAGTCACCAATGTGAAGGGGGAAAAGGCAGGGGTGGCCGTGGTGAGGATCGGGTCAGATGAGCCGGTAGGGGTGGTGTGCCGGTCCTGTGGGGAAAAGGAAGAGAATGACAGGGTGTGCTAGAGCTGTACTCAAATTAAACCTACACCACCCTCCCCGGCCTTGCCCACCCTGTGATGGAAAGTAGTGGTTCCTCACCTGCGGGGCTGGGGCCGATACCAGGAGCCGGAGGAAAGCATGAGTCGGGGGTACTGGGTTGGCTTCTCGTCCCCCTGCAGTCACAGTCACCATCACCACGGAATCCGGGGCCGCTGAATCTGGGACCTCCAGCCACAGGCGGCCCCAGGCCGACTCATTCAGTTCCAGGTGAGCCCTGGAGAGAGGATATAGGCGTCGCTAAAGCTCCAGGCTGCCCAGAGCCTAGAGTCGGGACGCCTGCAGGGGCACGGGAGCGGAGAGGAGGATTCTGAGGGCCAGTCGGAGGGGGACAGGGGCAGGGCTTGGGATAAGCATTGGCCGGGCAAGATGCCAGAGGGAGCTGGAGGGTTCATGAGCCTCACCTGGAGAGGTTGGAGGTGAGGGAGAAGCTGGGGTTGACGAAAGTCCTAAGGTCAAGATCCTGAGGGCCCGAGAAGCTGGCGATGCGGAGACTGAGCGGGACTTTGCTGCCCGGGGCCAAGAAACCCGAGGGGCCACTAAGCTGCAGAGAAGGGTTCTTCAGGGAAGGGGCCGCTCTAACTCTCTCCAGCCCCAGCCGCACTTTCCCCTGGCGTCTCACCTCCAGAAGGACAGGGACTACAGTGCTAGGCTGAGGGGCAGCCCTGTGCAGGCGCCGCCCCGCTGCGTCCTGGCCAATCAGCTCCAGGGAGAAGGGTCTAGGGGTGGACAGCAGCGTGGGCGACAGCGAGGCTGCGAGGAGACCTCGCTCCGGAGGTCCCACGGGCTCCAAGGGCACCTGGCCTAGTTCGGCACCCTCTGGGACCCCTCGAAGGATGACGTGGGAGAAATGCGGCTGAGGATCCCCAGGATTGGCTCTGGAACCCAACCCTGTCACTTCTACCAGCAGCTGGGTCTGAAGACCTGGGACAGGGGCGAGGAGGGGAGAACATTGTGAGATTCGGAGACACAGGGAGAAAAGAATTAATGGCCTTCAAAATAGGGGTTCCCTCTGGGGAGTATGGATGGGAAAATAGGTTACCTTCGAGGGGTATTGATGGGGAGCATCAGGAGGGAGTTCTGGGGTGCTGGAAATGTTCTATATCCTGAACTGGGTGTATTATATGAAATCCATCAAACTGTACACTTTAGTGCACATTATGTAAATTATAACTCAATATAAAAGTTATGCATATGCACAGATGTATGTATACATATATACATTATATATATAATATATATATTATATATTATATATTTTATATATATATATAAAACTGGGGGTTAGGTGGGTGGGGGCTCAGGGAATAAATGTACCTGCAACTGGCTGAGTCAGGGGGTAGAGGCCAGGGTGGGGTCCATCCTCCATGGGGATCCCAAAGTGGAAGAGGAAGTCCAGGGAGGTCTGGGCTGGGAAAGGGCAAAGGCAGTCAGAGCCCTTCCTGAAAGGAATGTGACTGATCGTGTTCTCTGAGGCCTGCAGTCTCTGCTTCCCCTTCCCAGGAACACCTCCCTCCTTACCTTGCACTCTCACCCCAGGGGTGTCCTCAGCTGTGACCTGGATCTCCCAGGTTCCTGTCTGTGGAGGGTCATCCATGGTCACCATCCAGAACTGCCCAAAGCGGCGAGTGTGACCTAGAGGACCCCCGCCTTCCTCCTGGCCCTGGGAGACCCCTGGGGTCAGGGAAGAGATTGTCACATGAAGCACTTGCTCTCCTTGAGTACATCCCCTCGATTGTCTATTCCCCGGTCCCCTCTCTTCCCTCTACCTTCAGAGGTACCTGCAGGGTTCTTGATCCAGAAGCTGCTGATGTCTCCGTGGATCCGGACTGTGATCTTCTGGAGCAGCCCATCCACGCTGAACACAAGTGGCTGCCCAGGCACCACAACAGGAGGGTCCAGGGGAAGAGTCACCTTGAGGGATTGGCAGGACCAGAAAATGGGGAAGAAGATGAGGTATGGGATGAGGAACAAAGAAGAAAGGGGAGATAGAAAGAAACCACGTCATTGGGCCGGGCGCAGTTGGTCACGCCTGTAATCCCAGCACTTTGGGAGGCTGAGGCGGGTGGATCACAAGGTCAAGAGTTCGAGACCAGCCTGGCCAACACAGTGAAACTACATCTCTACTAAAAAAAAAAAAATACAAAAAATTAGCCAGGTGTGGTGGTGGGCTCCTGTAATCCCAGCTACTTGGGAGGCTGGAGCAGGAGAATCGCTTGAACCCAACAGGCAGAGGCTGCAGTGAGCCAAGATTGTACCATTGCACTCCAGCCTGGGCGACAGTGCAAGACTCTGTCTCAAAAAAAAAAAAAAAAAAAAAAAGAAAGAAAAAGAAAAAAGAAAGAAACCACGTCAAACAGGCAGAAAGGGATACCAGTAAGAGAGGGGCACGGGGCCAGGGATGAAGTTATTATGGTCAGAGACAAAGTTGGAGGCAAGGGATTCAGGATGAGACAATCACATCTTGTGCCCCATTAAAAGATGATAGGCCAGGCGTGGTGGCTCATGTCTGTAATCCCAGCACCTGGGAGACCAAGGCAGGAGGATCACTTGAGGCCAGGGGTTCAAGAACAGCTTAGTCAATATAGCAAGACTCTGTCTCTGCAAAATACAAGCCACCTCCCCAAAAAGATGGTAGGACTTCCTGTGGTAACCCTGGAGGCAGAATACTGGAAGCCAAGTGGGGAGAGGTTTACTGATATAAAAGGACAATGCAGGCCAGGCGTGGTGGCTCGCGCCTGTAATCCCAGCACTGTGGGAGGCCAAGGTAGGCGGATCACTTGCGGTCAGGAGTACGAAACCAGCCTGGCCAAAAAAACGGTGAAACCCCGGCTCTACTAAAAAAATACAAAAATTAGCCAGGCCTGGTGGTGGGCACTGGTAACTCTAGCGACTTGGGAGGCTGAGGCAGGAGAATCCCTTGAACCCGGGAGGTGGAGGTTGCAATGAGCCGAGATTGTGCCACTGCACTCCAACCTGGGTGACCATAAGACTCCATCTCAAAAAAAAAAAAAGAAGTGGCTAGTCATGGATCTAAGAGGAAGAGAAACTTCCTTTCCTGCCCCGTGACTGGAAGAACAACACAGCAGTGAGAGTGATTCCCCTTTCTCCTATAAGAAGAGAGGTGCAGCCTGACCACCCTTCAGTTCCTAAGTGAGGGCCCTGGCCCCCACTTACCAGGGCAGCCATGCTCTCCCCAACAATGGCTGCCACGTCTCGAATGTGCTGGTCTTTGGTGAAGATCACCTCTCCTCCTGAGGCCAGGGCCACTGCTTTGTATGGCTCAAAACGCAGAGGGGACAAGATCTCACGCCGAGCTCGACCCTGAACCCTTGATGTATCTTCAGTCACCAGGAATGTTACCTGTACCCAGAAGAGAGCTCAGTGATTGGGGTGTCCAAGTGCCATCCACTATTATGAATGAGAATCCCTGTGCTCAAGCTTTCTCCAGAGCTGATGGTTTGTGATAAGGTCTCTGCCTGCCTTCTGGCTGCTGGGGTGGGGAATCCCAATGACAGAACCCCCTGCCTTCAGTTAGTAGTTGGCCACCCCCTTGTAACTGTCACAGTGGATTTTTGGCGACTAGAGCCCCAGTTCTTCACATTGTTTATTAGGCAGGGTCAAATAAAAATTCAGCGTTATTAAGGGTAGGGCCTCTTACGTATATCATTAAAGGTATCAGGAAATGTTCCACTCATTGTCTGCTTCTCCCACCATATACCAAGGCTTGTTGGGCCACCATAGTGTGGTGCAACCCTCGTTATGAGATTGTCATCACAGGGTCTCTCACATCCCTGGGAGGCTAACACTGGGTCTCCCACTAGCTCTGCTCACCCGGCAGCGCCGCTCCTGAGTCAGGGATTCCACCTGGTTGGTGAGAAAGGCATCCTTGGGGGAGGCATCCGTGAAGACAAAGATATCTGAGAGTGGAGGTGTGTGCAGCAGGGCCAGCTGGCAGGGAAGGCAACGACCAGTGTTAACAATGGCAGTAGGAGGGGAATGGGTAGAGCCACGGAGGATGAAGCAGAAGGGAATATGGCCCGGGAACCCTACAGTGAAGCTAGTGGATCTAGGTGCTGAAGGTGGTGGGGAGCCCCAGGAGGGATCTAGCTCCCCCTGGTGGTGGGGCCAGGAAACGGGGAAGAAGGGAGGGGCCAGACCTGCAGGGCTGACAGGCACATCTCAGGCTCGTCTCCACCCCCCAAGGCATGGATCTCATTAAGCTGTTGCCAGAAGCTGTCAGGGTCACTGGTTGTAAAGACAGGGCCGAACCCTGGGAAGGGGAAAGGAGGTTAAGATAAGTGAGGAAAGAGCTCCCCTCATTCTTACCCAGAGCCACCTCCCCAGTTGAGGGGCCTGGTGTGCTTCTGGAGCCGACAGGTATTGAAATAACAATACTCCATTATAAGACTCATACTTGGCCGGGTGCGGTGGCTCACACCTGTAATCCCAGCATTTTGGGAGGCCAAGGTGGGTGGATCATGAGGTCAAGAGATCAAAACCATCCTGGCCAACATGGTGAAACCTCGTCTCTACTAAAAAATATAAAAATTAGCTGGGCATGGTGATGCATGCCCGTAGCCTCCCCAGTAGCCTCCCCAGAGGCTCCCCAGTAGCCTCCCCAGCTACTGGGGAGGCTGAGGCAGGAGAATCACTTGAACCCGGGAGGCAGAGGTTGCAGTGAGCCGAGATCGTGCCGCTGCACTCCAGTCTGGCGACAGACTCCATCTCAAAAAAAAAAAAAAAAAGTCATACTTGTCAGTGCAGGGCGGGGCAGGGCGGGGCAGGGCAGGGCAGACCTAGGTGTCCCTGGTGGGAAGGTGGCCTCCACTCCCTGAAAAAAATGGTGGCATTTCCTGTAGGCCTTTATTGGCTACATGTGCGTATATAAAAAAAAAAATGGTCACACCTATTATCCCAGCACTTTGAGAGGCTGAAGTGGGAGGATCACTTGAGCCCAGGAGCTCGAGATCAGCCTGGGTAACATAGTGAGACCCCATCTCTACAAAAAAATACAAAAATTAGCCAGATATGGTGGTGCTCATCTGTAGTCCCAGCTACTCAGGAGGCTGTGGCAGGAGGATTGCTTGAATCGAGGCTGCAGTGAGGCATGATTGTACCATTGCACTCCAACCTGGGTGACAGAGTGAGACTCTCCCTCTCTCTCTCTCAAAAAAAAAAAAAAAGAAAGAAAAGAAAAAAAAAAACTGGGTTTCCTCATAAGAAAAGAGACCGAATAGCACTTACCTCAGAGGTTTATTGGGAGGACTAAATGAGTTGATTTTGCAAATCTTAAGATAGTGCTTTGACACATAAGTGCTAAGTTCTTAGTTATACCTTTATTTATATCTTCATCAAACATAATAAGTCTATTAAATGCCAGCCACTGTAGGATGTATGCAGGCAAATAAGACTCAAATTTAGGCAACTCTCAGTCCAGTAGGCATTTTATTTGATCATCATTTCAACTCTGGGAGTTAGGCAGGATGAGGGAGGTGTCAGGCCTCTGAGCCCAAGCTAACCAATCATATCCCCTGTGACTGGCACTTATACATCCAGATGGCCTGAAGCAACTGAAGATCCACAAAAGAAGTGAAAATAGCCTTAACTGATGACATTCCAACATCCTGCCCCACCCTGATGTGATAACTGATACCCATTTTACAGATGATGAAATCGAGGCAAAGAAAGTTTACATGACCAGCCTAAAGACACACAGTCAGACTCAAGCCAGAGAGTCTAACTTCTAATCAATGGAAAAGGAATACAATGTAGCTAGTTATCTCAGATGCTTCCCAGAAGCCTGGCCCCAACAACCCCATCTTGATACCAATCTCTGTCTATAGGAAATGGAGAGAATTGAAAATGGCGGCCGGGCACGGTGGCTCACACCTGTAATCCCAGCACTTTGGGAGGCCGAGGCGGGCGGATCACGAGGTCAGGAGATGGAGACCATCCTGGTTAACACGGTGAAACTCCGTCTCTACTAAAAATACAAAAATTAGCCGGGCGTGGTGGCGGGCGCCTGTAGTCCCAGCTACTCAGGAGGCTGAGACAGGAGAATGGCGTGAACCCGGGAGACGGAGCTTGTAGTGAGCCGAGATCGCGCCATGGCACTCCAGCCTGGGCGACAGAGCGAGACTCCGTCTCAAAAAAAAAAAAAAAAAAAAAAAAAAGAAAATGGTTTATTAGCATGAAAGCCTAAGAAAGCAGAGGCCACGTGCCAAAGCATGAATCATGCATTAAACTCATGGAAAGTGCTGCCATTTTAGAAAGAGTGGGAGGCAAGTCTGCTAGTTATCTTTTTTTTTTTTTTTAGAGACAGGGTCTCACTGCGTCACCCAGGCCGCTCTGGAGTGCAGTAGTGCCATCACGGCTCACTGCAACCTCAGTCTCCTGGGCTCAAGTGATCCTCCTGCCTCAGCTTCCCAAGTAGCTGGGACTATAGGCATGTGCCACCACACCCACACATAATTTTTATTAATTTTTTTGTAGAGACCTGTGTTTCTCTGTGTTGCCCAGGTTGGTCTTGAAATCCTGGGCTCAAACGATCCACCCACCTCTGCCTCCCAAAGTGCTGGGATTACAGGTGTGAGCCACCCCACCCAGGTTGCTGCTAATTTTCTGTATGCACACAGTAGAGGCTCACTCGGGACTACAGGAAGTGCCACCCCGAGCCCACTTCCTCACCACAGGCCTTTATCCCTTACCTTTTTATCTTTTCTTTTTTTTTTCTTTCTTTTCTTTTTTTTTTTTTTTTTTTTTTTTTTTTGTGACAGAGCTTTTTGCTCTTGTTGCCCAGGCTGGAGTGCAAAGGCACGATCTCGGGGCTCACCGCAACCTCTGCCTCCTGGGTTCAAGCGATTCTCCTGCCTCAGCCTCCCGAGTAGCTGGGATTATAGGTGCCCACCACCACGCCCGGCTAATTTTGTATTTTTAGTAGAGACGGGGTTTCTCCATATTAGTCAGGCTGGTCTCAAACTCCCGACCTCAGGTGATCCACCTGCCTCAGCCTCCCAAAGTGCTGGGATTACAGGCGTGAGCCACCACGCCCAGTCTATCCCTTACCTTGAATTTTCCTCCCCTCTACTGTCCTAGCCAGACCACACTTACCTGGGTCATGAAAAGGCACCAGGACATAGTGGACAGGCTCCATGGGGCTGCCTCTCCGCTGCTCCACAAGGTGGCGAGCCTGGATTTTGGCAGCGTTGATCTCCTCACCCATGCTGCCCGTGGTGTCCAGGACAAAGCTCAGGCTGGAGGCTGGGGTGATGTCCAGCAGCCTGGGGAGCAAGCCAGAGACACAGTGAAGGGCCTGCACGTTTGTCCCCAGCGCCTGGTTTCTCCCTTCCCGCAGGAGCGCCTCCCCATGAAGGGGTCCATCCCCAGGAGGCCACTCACCTGGAGAAATCCCTGTCTCCCAGGCGGCTTCGCAGAAGGCTGAAGGCCTGGATGGAGGCTAGAAGGGCCAGTTTTGCAGCCTGGAGGTGCAGCATGTGGTGAGGGGAGAAGCCTGGGGATGTGCTGTCCTTGTTGATGCCTCCCCTCGGTGGCTGGGAGCTGCTCCGGTCAAAATGGCCCCCGTGGCTACATTTCCCTGGGTTGGGGAAAGGGATCTGGAGAGTGGAGGTCAAAAACCCACTGCCTCCTAAGAAAATGAGGCCCTTTCAGGCCTGGCCTGACCCTCTCACCCCTCAGCAAGGGTTCAGCAAGAAATGATGACGGGGTTGGCGCGGTGGCTCACGCCTGGAATCCCAGCGCTTTGGGAGGCCGAGGCCGGCAGATCATCTGAGATCAGGAGTTCAAGACCAGCCTGGCCAACATGGTGAAGCTCTGTTTCTACTAAAACTATAAAAATTAGCCAGGTGTGGTGGCGCGTGCTTGTAATCCCAGCTACTTAGGAGGCTGAGGAAGGAAAATAGCTTGATCCCAAGAGGCGGAGGTTGCAGTGAACCGAGATCACGCCACTGCACTCCAGCCTGGGTGGCAGAGCAAGACTCGGTCTCAAAAAATAAATAAATAAATAAATGATGGCTGGGCACGGTGGCTCACACCAGTAATCCCAGCATTTTGGGAGGCTGAGGTGGGTGGATCACCTGAAGTCAGGAGTTTGAGACAAGCCTGGCCAACATGATGAAACCCTGTCTCTACTAAAAGTACAAAATTAGCCGGGCGTGGTGGCACATGCCCGTAATCCCAGCTACTCGGGAGGCTGAGGCAGGAGAATCGCTTGAACCTGGGAGGCGGAGGTTGCAGTGAGCCGAGATCGTGCCACTGTACTCCAGCCTGGGCAAAAAGAACAAAACTCCATCTCAAAAAAAAAAAAAAAAAAAAAGGATAAAAAGGATGGTGCTTTGTGGAGGGGAATTCTGGAGTAAATCTTAGGGCGTGGTGGTCAGTCACCACAGCACATGGTGGATCCCCTGATCCCTCCAGCCAGTCCCCCAAAACTGCCTATGACAAGGGAGAAATCCTATCAGCGGAGGAAGAAGTTGCTCCCCTACCTCAACCCCACCACAGCCTCCTCAGGGGACTTTCCTCCACCCACCCTGTTCCCAGCATCCTCTCCTCCTAGGAGGAGATGCCATAGCAAAGGCATACGGGCCTACAGGACAGAGATCCTGTAAGGGAATGACTTTCTCCCCTTACTTCTGGGGAACTTTCTTGTCTGGTACCTGGAGGTTTCGGGGGATGAGTTCCAAAGTAGCCAGAGGTGAGGAGTGTGAAGCCCAGCCAATTCCTGGGGCAGCTCAACTCCTCGCAATCGGAGCAGGTAGGATCGGCCACTGGGAAGAGAGGGCAGGGCTAGAACCCAAGATTCTGCCACCCCCAGCCTTTATCCCCACCCACCCAAACCTTTTCAGCTTCTCCTCCCAGCTGGGATGAGGCGAACACCCAGAAGTTCCCTAGCAAAGCTTTCTGAACTAAAACCTAGGATCATGGGCCCGCAGTGAGCCTGAATGTTTGAAACTAGGGCTGTGCTGGAAAACACAGCACAGGCTGGGTGCGGTGGCTCACGACTGTAATCCCAGCACTTTAGGAGGCTAAGGCGGGCAGAGCAGCCTGCGCCACACAGTGAGACCTCATCTCTAAAAAATAAATACATAAATAAATAATAAGAAAAAAACAAACACAGTACGTGTAGGGACCAATCCTATGGGGATTATGCCCTCTGTGAGTTGTGGACAGGAGGCAGCTTCCAGGTGAGAGGGTGAGGGGGCTGTGAGAGAAGGCCCCATGGGAGTCAGTGCGGGGAGGAAGCCACACTTAAGACGGGACTGAGGTCTGGAGACCTGGTCCTAGCTACTTTTCCCTGTGTGACCTTGGGGAAGCTGCTTAACTGAGCCAGGCGTTGCTTGGACTGGGGGACCTCAGTCCTTGTGGAGATTAAGTAACATCATACCCTCTGGGACTTCAGAATGTGACACAGTGGCTGGGTGGACTGAGGTGGCCCTGTGGACTCCTGCCTCACCACCAGGGTCACAGCCATACCTTGTGCCAGGTTCTGGAGCTCCTGCCTTGGCCAGAGGAGGTGAGGGTGTGGCTGCTGCTCGCCCAGCTCCACCCAGTTGCTATGACTGTAGAAATCCTGGTCCGGAGGACAGGAGAAGGGGAGTGAGGCACTAGTCTGGCCTTTCTCACCATCTCCAGCACTAATATGCCACTCCTTTGAGTTCCCCATCCCGAAAGTCCCCTCCCACCCCTACTGCTCCCACCAGACACCCCAAGTCCCCTCCACTGCCCTCTCTCCATTGCTCAGAGCAGAGCTTTGCCCAGGTGGAAACTGTCCCAGCATCTCTTCCCAGCTCAGAGTCTAACCCAAGGCCTCTCTCGGCCTGCAGAGTCCTGCTGCGTGTGCTGCTCCCTCAGCTCTCTGACCTCGCAGCCTTCCTCTCTCACCCTCACTTCTCTCCAGCCACAGCGCCCTCCTTGCTGTTCCTACAGGAAGCACTGCCAGCTTGGAGGTGGGGAACTGGGACACAGCCTCGGGGCACCGCGTGCCAGTGCCCACCCCTTCCAGAGTGGAGGAGACATGATCAAGAAGGCACCATAGGACGCGCTCCATCCCGGACAGGCACGGAAGTGAAGACCCCTCTGACCATCAACCCAACCCTGTTCTCACCTGCAGGGCATGAAGTGCAGCCCCGAGGCGCTGGCGAGCCAGGGTGTGGTCAAGGGCCCTGGCTGCCACCACGGTCTCCCGCAGAGCCCCTACCAGGCGCGCGCGTCCCTGACCCAGTCGCTCAGCATCAAAGTGCAGGTCGGGGTCATTCCTGGAAGTTGGCAGGAAGTCCTGGGCTGCATTGGCACGAGACACCTCACCTAAGGCTGCTCGGAACCGCCGAGAAGAACCAGGTCCAAAGTAGGCGGCAAAGAGGTCATCAGCAAGGAGTGTTCGACCCTGGGGAGAATAGCGGGCGACGGGGCTCCAGGGAGGCCCTTTGGATTGACTGTTGCCCACCTTATCTCAGCAACTGACACTCAAGGCTGGGTATGAGGGTCCTGAGCCCCACAAAGGAGGGACAGTCCCGGACCTTTCTAAGGAGGGGGACTCCTAATTTCAGGACCAAGACTACTGGGTATTATTGCTGCAGGGGTGGGGCCATGGGTGTCTCTTCTCTTGGCAACCAGAGCCCTCAAGGAGTAGAGGCCCCATGGAATTGGGGACTCTGGCAGGGGTGTGACAGGACCCTGGGATGCTCACCAGGAAGTCCTCAAGACGAAGAGGGGGGCGGCCTGGGGGTGGCTGCTCCAGGAAGAGCTGCAGGGTGACGTTGAGCGCTGCCTCCTCAGTTAGGTCTTGGTGGGTGATGGAGCCAGGGGCAGCCAGCAGGCTCCAGATGTTGGGGAAGAAGGCAGATGTGGGGGGCAGCAACAGCTGCAGCAGAAGCAACGCTGAGGGGCCCGGGTGGGATTGGGGGACCTCCGTGGGGAGCATGGCTGAGACATGGACCTGGGAGACAGAAGGCTCTCAAGGGAGGAGGAAGCAGCCGCGATTCCAGGGCAGGCCGGCTCTGCGGGTCTCCATGGGAACCTGCTTTACCTCAAAAGTCGTGTCTGCTCCAGCCTGGCTTCCCCACCCTCTCGCTGTCACCCAGACAACCTGAGGGCCTCATCGGACCATTAGGGACATACACACCTGCCAGGAGAGGGGTCCAAGGTTCCTCCCCCACGCCCCCCTCCCCAGTCCCTGGCTGCGTCCCCAGCCCTGCCGCAGAAACACTCCCCATGCTCAGGAAGCCTGAGTCCTCTCAGGCCCTCCCCTACCTGGTTGCTGGGTCTCCTGGGCAGGGCTGGCCCGGGCTTGACGTCACAGGGCACTTAGGTCAGAGTTATAATTAACCGAGGCTCAGCAGAGGGGGAGGAAGGCCTCAACAGGGTGGGGGAGGACAGGCAACCCCTGGCCCTTTCGCTCCTGCCTGCCCAAAGCCACAGGCAGCAGCCCACGCCAGGGCGGGCCTCCCTTGGCTGCAGTGCGGAGGTGAGTGAGAGCTGGGGAGGAGGAAGGGAGTAAGCAGCGTGACTCAGGCCTGGCACAGTGCCAGGGACAGACCCAGATAGACGCACCCCTCTGCCCTCCAGAACCAGGGCCTCACTCCCACCCTGCAGCCCCCAAGGATTCAGGCACCCAGCCCCTCTGCTCCCCTCTCTGCCCCCACCACAGACGACAAGAGGATTTTGTGGGAAAATATTTTATTGCTGCCATCCCCATGGTGAGCCGCTGGGGGTGAGGGGTGAAGCTGGGTGGTGGATCACAGCATCTTCTGGAATAGGGCGATGGCCTCATCCACCTTCCTGAGCTCTGCTTCTGTCTGTTGGAGCTGGAGTGGAACCAGGGGGTGGGTGAGGACCCAGGTCCAAGTGAAGAGACCCCCAAACACCCAGGACAACAAAGTTGGAAAGATGAGCGAGGACCATGGGAGGTCAGTAGCTCAGAGGAGGCGTGAACCTGGCTGGCCTGGCTCCCCACCCATTCCCACCAGCACCCCCACTTCCACCACCACCTCTTGGGTCTTGCCTTTTTCCACCAAGTGGTGAGTCCCCAAGAACAAAGGAACCTCAGAGCCTACGTGTTCCCCATTCAGTGTCCCCACCTAAGCAGGAGAGCACAGTCTCCCAGGCCGGTCACTTCATTTGTCAGATGATGATGATGATATTGCCCCCCTCCCAGGGCTCTTGGGAGAACCAAGTGAGATTAACCACGTCCACTCAAGGCTCTCTAGCTCTTGGCCTCCATGACTGGTTTTCTCTGTGTCTGTGCAGTTTACTCCACTGCTTCTCTCTGGCGGAACCCAGGAGGCAGGGGACAAACAAGACTGGCCTTCCAGGGTCAGCCCAGTAGGCTTGAAAGTAAGTGGTGGGAGGCCCAGGGCTCCCCGACTACATGTGGACCCCAAGCCCAGCCCCAGGCATGCAGGTTTCCACATTTTGGGCAGCTGGGTGGGGTACGAAGGGTCTGGCTGGGAGATAGGATGCCTGGTTCTAGGTCAGCCTCCGTCTCCCACCTGTTGTGTGACCCTGGGTTGTGCCCAGCCCCCAGCTGCTCCCCATGTGTAAGGGGAGGGCCTTCTATGGTCCCTGCTCAAAGCGCCTGGGCTCCATGCTCCCCAGTGGATTCCCCAGGGTTGGGTACAGAGTCCAGCTTCCAGACCAGGATTGGTTTTTGTTTTGTTTTGTTTTTTTTCCAGACAGGGTCTTCTCTCTGTTGCCCAGGCTCAAGTGCAGTGGCATGATCTCGGCTCACTGCAGTCTTGACCTCCCAGGCTCAAGCAATCCGCCCACCTCAGCCCCCCGAGTAGCTGGGACCCCAAGTGTGTGCCACTATGGCCAGCTAATTTTTGTATTTTTGTTGTAGAGATGGGATTTCACCATGTTGGCTGGTCTCAAACCCCTGGGCTCAAGTGATCCACCCACCTTGGCCTCCCAAATTTCTGGGATTACAGGTGTGAGCCACTGAGCCAGGCTGTTTTGTTTTTTAAGGCTAGTGGGAGTGGAGAAGGAACAAAGAAATCTGTAACTGGTTACGATCAATTAGTTGTCAACACCACTGCACTCGGACCAGCCCAGACCAGGGTTTTGATGGAGGAAGGGGATGGTGTGGGAAATGCCCACCCAGGCCACACACCTTGGCTTCATCTGCCTCCTGGACTTCGAGCGGCACCTTGACAGGATAGCCCGAGGCAGCACGGCGTTCCCGCAGACGCTGGGCCTGCCGCTGGGCCTCAACTCGCTTGGCTTGCAGCTTGCCCAGCTCCCGTGCAGGGTCCACCAGCCCCTGAAGCTGCAGGTGGATGGAGCAGCGATCAGAAGCCAGAGCCACAGCGCAACCCTGGGGGGCGGGAGCCCCCAGGGCCAGAACAGCCACCACACCTGCGCTGGCCAGGGCCTGCACGTAGCCCGACACCGCCGATGCCAGGGCGCCCGTGGCCTCATCCGCCACTTCCAGGAAACCTGCCAGGGAGGGAGAAAGGTGAGGCCTAGCTCCATGGAGACAGGAAACCAAGCAGTCACTGCCGGACACTGGGTCCCAGAGTAGGCTGAGGGGACAGTGGGATGGGGCGGACATGGGGGCCTGAGGCTCACAGTCAGGCCGGATCCGGGTGAGGTTGTAGTCGGCCCGCAGGGAGCGCACGGCTCGCGTGATGCTTAGCGCCAGCTCAAGGGCGGCTTCTGCCTCGGGGTCCTTCCAGGAGCACTGTGGGGTGGAGGAGGGGGTGAGGGGGCCTGGAGGGCAGGTCAGACTCCCCTCTCCAGGCCATGCCATACCTCTGAGGGCTCCGGGTAGGGGGTAACACAGAGGCTAGGGGGAGCTTGCGGCATCCTCCGGGGCAGCCTCTGGAACAGCTCCTCCGTCACGAAGGGCATGAAGGGTGAGAGCAGCCGCAGGCCAACGTCCAGGCAAGTGTACAGGGTCTGGCGGGCACACTCAGCTGCCACCTGGTCCACCCCATTCAGTACAGGTTTCAGGCACTCCTAGGGGACGAGAGGTACAGGGCTCACGGCTGGAGGTCTAGCCTTGAGCCCTCGCTGTGCCTGTGAGGACTGGGAAGGGGATGGGTTGGCTTAGGTCTCAAGGCCAACTCTGGCAAAACTGAGCCCAGGGCTCTGCTGCCCACCTGCCCCCACCATCCCCTGCCCCGCTGTGCTCCTTCTCACCAAGTAGACATCACAGAGCTCATAGAGCCAGAAGCTGTACTGGGCAGTGGTGACGGCCGGGAAGTCGTAGGCCTGGAAGCCTTGATTGCTGAGCCTCACAGCCTCTGTCAGGCGGCTGCGGATCCAGCGGTCCACCAGGCTCTCATGGCCTCCGGGCTTGGGGAGAGAGGGTGTATCAGCCGGCGGGCCAGGGGAGGGTGCCAGAACCCCATGGGGGCAGGAGTCATGGGCAAATCTTCATCCAGAGTCTGATGAGTCCAAAGCAACCACCTATGTGCCAGGATCTGGGAAGAAGTGACAGGCCCCAGCCCCCAATGCGCTGGGCTTTCCCTTTAACTGTCTGTCTCTGTGTCTATCTGTCCCCCCAGCTACATGGAGGCTGCTCCGGACAGGGGTACAGCCTGTGTGAGTGCTGCCAGCTTTGCTGCCCACCAGGCCCTTACCTGGGAGGTGGGTGAGGGCACAAAACCCTTCCCAAGGCCACGAAGGGCAAACTTGGTGGCATTCCAGAGCTTGTTGCAGAAGTGGCGGTAACCCAGTATCCGGTTCACATCCAGGTTGATGTCACGACCTGGGTCGGGGGTGAGATGTGAGTCCTCATCACCCTCTTCCCAGCCCATGCCCACCAGAGGCTCAGGGTGGAGAAGAGGGATGGGCCTCACAGAAGGAGGAAGGAGTGGCTGGGAGGGACGCTTTGGGGGCCATACCCTGGGACATGTAGGCACATAATCCAAACCGGAGAGCATCGGTGCCACATTCAGGAATCCCCGCTGGGAAGTCAGCTTTCTACAGGGAAGAGGCAGGGGGAGGAGCGTCCTCAGCCAGCCCCATCCACGCTGTGCTCCTGCTTAGCCCAGCCCAACCCTCCATACCTGCCCTTCTTTGGCCTTCTCCACCTCGCTGGGATCCAGGTTGCTGTTCAGCAGCTGGTTGTGGAGGCCCTGAGGGTGGAGTGGGAGCAGTCAGGTGGCTGTGACCACAGCCCCACGGCCCTTCCTGGCTGGCCCAGCACCCAGCCCACCTGCAGGGAGATTCCATAGATGACGTCCAGGGGATCGATGACATTGCCTAGAGACTTGCTCATCTTCCGGCCGTGAGCATCTCGCACGATGGCATGGAGGTAGACCTGCAGAGCAGGTGGGGAGGCCCATGAGACTCAGTCCTCTCCTTCCCCGGCCTCAGTGCCCCGACCAGGACTGTGTCTGGTCTACCCCACTGTGAACCTCAGGTCCCACTGAGTGTCCCCAAGAGCTCGTTGAGCGCCTTTATGTGAATCAGAAGCACTCCTTCCTCTGGGAAGATGAAGCCCTGGGCACAGGAATCACTGAGCAGGGCCCAGGCTGGATTTCAACCCCACACCAGCCCCCGGGTCAGGCCTGCCCACAGCTAACCCCATGCCCCAGCCACGCGGGGTCTGCGCTGCAGCACAGGACGGTAGGAGAGGAGGCTGGGGGCGATGGGAGGGTCTCGGCTGTCTCCGCACCTCTCTAAAGGGCAGCCTGCCCGTGAGCTTCAGGCCCAGCATGACCATCCGGGCCACCCAGAAGAAGAGGATGTCATGACCGGTCTCCAGCAGTGTCCCGGGGTAGAACACACTCAGGTCTTCTGACTGAGGGCAGACCAGGGTGTGAAGGGGAGCCAACACCCACCCTCCAGTCCCCTGTCCCGCCAAGCCCCGGCCCCAGGAACACACCTGGTTGGGCCAGCCCAAAATGGATAAGGGGAAGAGGCCAGAGGAGAACCAGGTATCCAATACATCCTCATCTGAGAGAGGCCAAAGGTCAGAGGTCAGAGGGAGTGGAGCTCTGCCCCCCACAACTCCCTCCAGACCCTCAAAGCCCCGCCTTGCCTTGCTGGAGACTGATCTTGTCAGGGGACACTCCGAACTCCTTGGCTGCCTTCTCCCGGGCCTCCGCCTCATTGCGTCCACTCACCCAGTACCGCCCATCAGGGTCCTGCCACAGGTGCAGTGATTACCCAAGGGGGTGTGTCTGCTTCTGGCTCACCCTGCCCCTCCCCCCACCAAGGACCCAGTAAACCCACCACTCCAGCAGGGTGTCCCAGCAGCTAGCTCTGGCCCTCTGCTCACCTCCCCAGGGGGCACCGCTGGGTCACTGACAGTGACAAAGTAGGCTGGGATGCGATGGCCCCACCACAGCTGCCTGGAAATGCACCACTCCCTGCAAATGTCGGGGAGGAGAAATCAGGGAGGGCCTGATGGAGCCTGGCCCGAGTGAGCCCTGCTCAGCCCTCGGCAAGCCCCTCCCACACTGAGGACCCTACACACCGGATGTTGTCCATCCAGGCATGCCATGTGCGCTGATGGGCCTCAGGCAGGATGCGGAGGTCACCCCGAGTCACAGCGGCGCTGGCAGCCTGGGCCATCTCCCCGCAGCGAACGTACCACTGCGGCCGCAGCAGAGGCTCTACCACGTCCTTCGACCGGCTGGGGGTACACGTAGGTGAGAAGGCCAGGCGGTAAAACCCTGAGGAGCCCTCCATCTTCCTCCCGTCCCAGGCCCCCACCCTCACTTGCAAAGTGGCACCACCATGGGGTTGTCCTCAATGCCACGGAACAGTCCCCGCTCCTTCAGCGCCACCAGCACCGCTTTCCTGGCCTCAAACCTGGGCAGGCCCTGGGTAGGAATGAGGCCTCATCATGGCGATGCCCAGCCATCCCTCCATCTCCCTGACCCGGGCACTCTTGCCTCAGGCAGCCTCACCAGGAAAGGCGGAGGCACATTGATGAGGGCCCCCCGGGAGTCCATGATGCTGATGGCCTCCAGCCCGTGCCGCTGCCCAACTTCATAGTCATTTTGGTCATGTGCGGGGGTGATCTTCACAGCACCTGGGTGTACATCAGGATGCCCAGGTCATGAGGGACTCCACGGAGTTCCTTCCTACACTCACCTCTTTTGCTGAAGGATGTAGCTCCGAGACCACTCCTGGCCCCCACTTGTCTAATACAGTCCCTTGAGAACCACCCCAAGCTCTGTCTATTTGGCTGAAGCTTATTTTCTTTTTCTCTGAGAGAAGATGGACAGCTAGGGTGCAGCTCCAGTCTTTTCCTCTCCCCACAGGACCAGCCCCTTGCCCACCTGTGCCAAAGTCCATGTCCACAAATTCATCGAAGACAATGGGAAGGCTCCGAGACAGGAATGGGTGGATCACGTTCTTCCCCTTCAGGTGCTGGGGGCGGAAAGATACCAAAAACGCATGAAGCAGGGCCAGACGCCGTGATTCCCACCTGTAATCCCAGAACTTTGGGAGGCTGAGGTGGGCAGATCACTTGAGGCCGGGAGTTGGAGACCAGCCTGGCCAACATGGGGAAACCTAGTCTCTACTAAAAATACAAAAAAAAAATTAGCCAGGTGTGGTGACGCGTGCCTGTAATCTCAGCTACTCAAGAGGCTGAGGCACAAGTACTGCTTGAACCCGGGAGGTGGAGGTTGCAGTGAGCCAAGATGGTGCCACTGCACTCTAGCCTGGGCGATAGAGTGAGACCCTCTCTCAAAAATAAATAAATAAATAAAAGCATGAAGGGGCCTGGTGCCATGGCTCACATCTCTAACCCCCACACTTTGGGAGGCTGGGGCAGGAGGCTTCCTTGAGGCCAGGAGTTCAAGATCAGCATGGTTAACAGAGTGAGACCTTGTCTCTATTTAACTTTTTTTTTTTTTTTGAGACGGAGTCTCGCTCTGTCACCAAGGCTGGAGTGCAGCAGAGTGATCTCAGCTCACTGCAACCTCCGCATCCCAGGTTCAAGCGATTCTCCTGCCTCAGCCTCCTGAGTAGCTGAGATTACAGGCACCCGCCACTACAACTGGCTAATTTTTTGTATTTTTAGTAGAGATGGGGTTTCACTATGTTGGCCAGGCTAGTCTCGAACTCGTGACCTTATGATTCACCTGCCTCAGCCTCCCAAAGCGCTGGGATTACAGGCATGAGCCACCGTGCCTGGCTATTTAACTTTTTAAAAATGCACGAAGGGCTGGGCCCAAGTCCTTCCTTTCCAGGGCCCTGACTATCCCAACACTTGAACTCCCCCAAACAGTCCCCAATAGCTCTACCCTCAGAGCTGGGAAAGAAGCTGAAGACCAGTTTCTAACCCAGTTTCCTCTCCTCAGCCAGGGGCCTAAGTCCAACCCCTCCACCCCATAAGGATGGGAGCCCTTTTTGGCCAGAACTCCTTCCCTAACTGTGGACAGTCCCCCACCTGGTATCTGGTATCTTTGGGGTGCACAGCTACAGCCACATCTCCCAGCATTGTCTCGATCCGAGTTGTTGCCACCACCACCTCCTCGTCGCTATCTGGGGTGACAGAAGGCCTTGTGGTCTTGGCCTTGGCCCCTTCCTGCCACTCCCAGCCCAGGATCCTGGTGCCCCTGGCTCCTACCTGAGCCTTGGACCTTATAGGCAAAGGACACGAGGACCCCGAACTCCACCTTCTCCTTGTAGCCAGGCACGGAGAGCAGGGTGCGACCTGTCAGCTCCTTCTTATCCACCTGTAAAATGGGTATTTAGAGGCGTGGCCCAGGGGCCAGGGCCAGGGCCAGGGTAGATTGGAGATGGAGACAGGCCAGGTTGGGGGGCGCACCTCAATGTCAGAGATGGCGGAGTTGAGGGTGCAGGACCAGTTAACAAGGCGGGTACTGCGATAGATGATGCCTTCCTCGTGAAGCCGGACAAAGGCCTCTGTCACAGCTGCTGAGAGTTTCTGGGGTGGAGGAGGGAGAAGTCAGAGAGATGGGCCTTGTGCCTGGAGGCCCAGGCAGACACCCAGGGCTCCAGTGAGGCCTTGCCCATACAGAGTCCCACTGGCCAGCACAAAGACCCCTCTGAGGGGAGTACTTTCCTTCTTTCCTTGAGGGGGAGAGAGGACTAAGGGAACACAAGAGCAGGCAACAAGCCTTGTAATGCTGCAGATGGCGAGGAAGACAATCAGCTGGGGACAAGTACTGGTGCAGAGGACACTGGGAGTTCAGGCTCCATGGGAGACGGGGTCCTGATCATGTGCCATCTGGAGGAATCTGGAGCTCCCAGAGCCAAGACAGGGAACATGAAGGGCCATGATATGGAAAGGGCCATGGCGAGGGGTGGGAAGTGGCATTTGCAGCTGAGCCCTCCATGGTGTTTTACATGGGCCAGCTCCTGAGAGAGGGCCACAACACCTCTGCTTTCTCCTGTGGGGGTCCCACCCTGGGGAGACTCCTACTCCTGCCCCAGCTTTGACACTCCTCCCACGCACAGGGTCCATGGTGAAACAGGCTCGATCCCAGTCCAAGGAGCTGCCAAGCTTCTTCAACTGGTGGTAAATCCGGTCACCTTTCCTGGAAGCAGACAGGCTGAGGTCAGCACTCGTGCCTGGGCTAGAGGGAGACATCAGGTGGCTGACTGGGCAGTGTGGAGATCACCCATCCCCCTGAAATTTACCTGGGCCCTAGAGCCAACTGACTCTGCCTCTGTGGGAGGGTCTGACCCTGTGGCCAAGGGGTTACAGGTGACAGAGGTCTTCTGGATAGGGGACAGGGAGGCAGGGCTGCGATGCCCACAGGGATGCTGCATACTCACTCCTCCTTCCACTTCCAGACTTCCTGTAGAAAGGCCTCGCGGCCCAGCTGGTGCCGGCTCAGTCCCTGCTCACGCCATAGCTTCTTCTCCACCACCACCTGGGTGGCAATACCTGCATGGTCACAGCCAGGGTTCCACAGGGTGGTCTCCCCACGCATGCGGTGCCTGTTAGGGGGCATGGAGGACCAGAGGGTGAGCCAGGCCAGTGGGGCCTGGCACCAAAGAAAGCAGAGGCTTCAGGCAAGGAGTCAGTGGACTAAATAAAGAAGCAGGGAGGCCGGACGCGGTGGCTCACGCCTGTAATCCCAGAACTTTGGGAGGCTGAGGTGGGTGGATCACCTCAGGTGGGGGAGTTCGAGATGAGCCTGGCCAACATGGTAAAACCCCGTCTCTACTAAAAATACAAAATTAGCTGGGCATGGTGGCATGCGCCTGTAATCCCAGCACTTTGGGAAGCCGAGGTGGGTGGATCACCTGAGGTGGGGACTTCAAGATAAGCCTGGCCAATATGGTAAAACCCTGTCTGTATTAAAAATACAAAATTAGCTGGGCGTGGTGGCATGTGCCTGTAATCCCAGCTACTTGGAAGGCTGAGGCAGGAGAATTGCTTGAACCCGGGAAGCAGAGGTTGCAGCAAGCTGGGATCATGCCATTGCACTCCAGCCTGGGTGACAGAGTGAGACTCCGTCTCCAAAAAACAAACAAAAAAAAAAAGAAAGAAGCAGGGGTGGAGCTGGAACCCTTGTGATTCTAAAGCTAGTCAAGGAGAAAAGATTTGAAGGAAGAGCCAAGGCAATATGGAAAAAGAACAAAGACAGGCATGCGTGGTGGCTCACACCTGTAACCCCAGGACTTTGGGAGGCCAAGGCGAGTGGATCACTTGAGGACAGGAGTTCGAGACCAGCCTGACCAACATGGCAAGACCCTGTCTCTACCAAAAATATAAAAATTAGCCAGGATGGTGGTGCATACCTGTAATCCCAGCTACTTGGGAGGCTGAAGCACGAGAATCGCTTGAAGCTGGGAGGGGGAGGTTGCAGTGAGTTGAAATTGTGCCACTGCACTCCAGCCCGGATGACAGAGTGAGACTCTGTCTCAAAAAAAAAAAAAAAAAAAAAAAAAAAGAACGAAGAGGAGGCTCCTGCCAAACAGGATAGCAAAAGTTCTAATTGTTAAAATAAGTTACTAAACAGGAACAAAATAGTACCTGGAAACAGATACAAGCAAATTTAGTGTTTGTGAAAGTTGGCACTTCCTATCAGTAAAATAAGGATAAACTATTCAAAATGTTTGAAACAACTAGCTAATTATTTGGAAAAAATCTCCCCCTTACCAATAGTCACAAAAAGAAACTTTAGATAGATTAAAGAATTCAAGCCAGGCACAGTGGCTCAAGCCTATAACCCCAACACTTTGGGAGGCCAAGGTGAGAGGACTGCTTGAGCCCAGGAGTTGCAGACTAGCCTGGGCAACATAGTGAGACCTAGTCTCTGCAAAAAAAAAAAAAAAAAAGCCAGGCATGGTGGCGTGCACCTTTGTTCCCAGCTACTTGGGTGGCTGAGGTTGAGGCTGCACCAAGCTATGATTGTGCTGTGATCATGCCGATGCACTCCAATCTGGCCAACACAGTGAGAGAGACTCTGTCTCAAAAATAAATAAATAAACAAATAAATAAAAATAAAAAGTTGATATAACTCTATTCCATTAAAGTAATGGGAGTGTCTCACATTTTATTTAAACCACGTTCACTGGAAAAAAAATGTGGCTACCTTAAGAGTTTTATAAGAAGTATGTGGCCAGGCACAGTGGCTCACACCTGTAATCCCAGCACTTTGGGAGGCCGAGGCAGGCGGCTTACTTCAGGTTAGGAGTTCAAGACCAGCTTGGCCAACATGGCAAAACTCTGTCTACTAAAAATGCAAAAGAATTAGCTGGGCGTGGTGGTGCGTGCCTGTAGTCCCAGCTACTCAGGAGACTGAGACACAAGAATCGCTTGAACCCAAGTGGTTGAGGTTGCAGTGAGACGAGATCGCGTCACTGCACTCCAGCCTGGGCGACAGAGCGAGACTCTGTCTCAATTAAAAAAAAAAAAGTAGTCATTCTGTTTTCATGTAAACAAACTTGGAGGCCAGGTATGGTGGTTCATGCCTGTAGTCCCAGCACTTTGGGAGACTGAGGCAGGAGGATTGCTTGAGCCCAGAAGTTCAAGACCAGCCTGGGCAACATAGCGAGACCCTCTCTTGATTTTATTAAAAAATTGAAAAACAGGGCCGGGCGTGGTGGCTCACGCCTATAATCCCAGCACTTTGGGACGCCGAGGTACGCGAATCACGAGGTCAGGAGATCGAGACCATCTTGGCTAACACGGTGAAACCCCGTCTCTACTAAAAATACAAAAAAAATTAGCCAGGCGTGGTGGTGGGCTCCTATAGTCCCAGCTACTCAGGAGGCTGAGGCAGGAGAATGGTGTGAACCTGGGAGGAGGAGCTTGCAGTGAGCAGAGACTGCGCCACTGCACTCCAGCCTGGGTGACAGAGCAAGACCCCATTTCCAAAGAAAAAAAAAAAATTGAAAAATTGAAAAAACAAAAACGCAAACACAAACGCAAACAACTTGGCCATTGTATGTTATGTGTATTTAACAGAACTGTTGGCTGGACGAAGTGGCTCATGCCTGTCATCCTAGCACTTTGGGAGACCGAAGCGGGAGGATCACAAGGTCAGGAGCTCGAAACAAGCCTGACCAACATGGTGAAACCCCGTCTCTACTAAAAATACAAAAATTAGCCAGGTGTGGTGGCATGCGCCTGTAATCCCAGCTACTCAGAAGGCTGAGGCAGGAGAATCGCTTGAGCTCAGGAGGCAGAGGTTGCAGTAAGCGCGCATCACTGCACTCCAGCCTGGGAAACCGAGAGAGACTCTGTCTCAAAAAAACAAAAAAAACAAAAAAAAAAACAGGCCAGGCGCGGTGGGTCACGCCTGTAATCCCAGCACTTTGGGAGGCCGAGGTGAGCAGATCATGAGGTCAAGAGATCGAGACCATCCTGGCCGACAGGGTGAAACCCTGTCTCTACTAAAAAAAATACAAAAAATTAGCCAGGCGTGGTGGCGGGCGCCTGTAGTCCCAGCTACTCAGGAGGCTGAGGCAGGAGTATGCTGTGAACCTGGGAAGCAGAGCTTGCAGTGAGCCAAGATTGCGCCACCGCACTCCAGCCTGGGCGACAGAGAGAGACTCTGTCTCAAAATAATAATAATAATAATAAAAATAAAAAAATAAAACATATAACTGTTTTCCTAGCTCTCAGTTACTTGCAAAATGCACAATCAAACATTATATTCCCAGTGCTCAGAGCAGAGGTGGCACATAGTTGGGCCCAGTAAATATTTTTTGACCACATTAATTTAGTACATAAGACACCAGAAAAAATTCTCAAAATTTAAATATAATAAACCCTGGTTTCCAAAAATGGTAAAGTTATTTTAAAATACTTTTTAAAAAGATTTGTCACCTAGAATATTACTTTGTATTTATCACTAATTAAAATATTAACAGTGAAAACAAATAGTAACAGAAAACAGGAGAAACATTTACAATTAACAGGAAAACTACCACACAATAATACAACAAAAACATTTACAATATTTAACAAAAAAATTGATACCCAGAACAGGTAAAGAATTCTCAAAAAAAAAATTAAAAAGAAAAAGAACGAAGAATCAATAGAAAAACGGGGAAAAGATAGATACAGACAATTCACATATGGGTAAACCTGACTGGCCAAAAAACATGAAAATAGGCACAACTTCAATAGCAATCAGAAAGGTACAAAGTAAAACAACAGAGGTATTTTTTTGCCCATCAGATTGGCAAAACTAATTAGGCAACCCTAATGCTCAGGCTTAGCAAGGGTGGGGAAATGAACACTCTCACAGCAATTCCTGGAGGTATCAATCAGCAAAGCCATTCTGCAGGGCAACTTGGCAGCTTCCGTTTGTACTTAATATAGGTGTGCCCCTGCCGACCTAGCAGTTTCACTTCTTGATAGCTACACCAGCGAAACCCTTCCACACATGCTTCAGCAAGCATATAGAGCAGGGGTATCCAATCTTTTGGCTTCCCTGGGCCACATGGAAGAATTGTCTTGGGCCACAGATAAAATACACTAACACTGGCTGGGAGCAGTGGCTCACGCCTGTAATCCCAGCACTTTGGGAGTCCGAGGCGGGCGGATCACGAGGTCAGGAGATCGAGACCATCCTGGCTAACATGGTGAAACCCCGTCTCTACTAAAAATACAAAAAAAAAATTAGCCGGGCGTGGTGGTGGGCACCTGTAGTCCTAGCTACTTGGGAGGCTGAGGCAGGAGAATGGCGTTAACGTGGGAGGCGGAGTTTGGAGCTTGCAGTGAGCCGAGACTGTGCCACTGCACTCCAGCCTGGGTGACAGTGCAAGACCCGTCTCAAAAAATAAATAAATAAATAAATAATAAAAATAAATTTAAAAAAATACACTAACACTAACGATAGCTGATGAGCTAAAAAAAAAAAATCGCAAAAAAATTCTTAAATGTTTAAACAAAGTTTACAAATTTGTGTTAGGCTGCATTCAAAGCCGTCCTGGGCCGCATGTGGCCCACAGGCTGCAGGTTGGACAAACTTGATATACAGGGATGTGCATTAGAGTAAGGTTTTCAACAGAAAAAAAACAAAAAACAAAAAACAGAATGAATCATTAATTAAAAAGTGACTCCAGGCCGGGAGCAGTGGCTCACGCCTGTAATCCCAGCACTTTGGGAGGCCGAGGCAGGCAGATCACCTGAGGTCAGGAGTTTGAGACCAGCCTGGCCAACATGGTGAAACCCCATCTCTACTAAAAATACAAAAATTAGCCAGGCGCGGTGGCAGGTGCCTGTAATGCCAGCTACTTGGGAGGCTGAGGCAAGAGAATCGCTTGAACCTAGGAGGTGGAGGTTGCGGTGAGCCGAGATCATGCCACTGTACTCCAGCCTGAGCAAAAAGAGTGAAACTCTGTCTCAAAAAAAAAAAAAAAAAAAAAAAAAAAAAGAATGACTTCACTATGGTACAGCCACACTATGAGATATTATGGAACAATTAAAAAGAAGGAAGTCAGTATGTGTGGTATGTGTGTAAGGACAAGGAAAGATCTCCAAGAGAAAGTATTAAGTGTAAGAAGAAAGCTAGATCATAACAAGTGTAATATGAACCCTTTATGTTAAAAAATAGAAAAGACTCACCCAAAAGGAGAACTATAAATTTCTATGGGTACGTGTATATGTAAGTAAATAGGAAAGATCTGGGAAGATACACATCAAAGTGATAACAATGGCTAAATCTTAGGAGGAAGTAGGTGTGGAGGGGGATGGTCAAGGAGATTTGAAACTTTAAATTTCTTACAAGAATATATTCATATATTTTGGTCAGTTGTGGTGGCGCATTCCTGTAATCCCAGCTACTTGGGAGGCTGAGGCAGGAGAATCACTTGAACCCAGGAGGCAGCGGTTGCCATGAGCCGAGATGGCGTCACTGCACTCCGGCCTGGGCAACAGAACAAGACTCTGTCCCCCCAAAAAAAAATATATATATTCATATGTTCCTAATTAAATTCAAAATAATGTTATTGTTACTAGAAAAAGAAGGGAGAGACTGGGTGTGGTGCCTCACACCTATAATCCCAGCACTCTGGGAGTCTGAGACAGGAGAATCACTTGAGCCAGGAGTTGGAGACCAGACTGAGCAACAAAGTGAAAACTCATCTTTACAAAAAATTAAATTAAATTAAATTAAAATTAAATAAAGAAAGAAGGGATAGAAGAGAGTCTGCAAGTGGCGGTGTTGCATGGGAGTACTGGACTAGGAGAGGAAGCTAAATGATCAGATTGGAATGACAGAGAGAAGTGTAGCACCACTGGGGGCAGAAGTGAGCACCAACCCAGAAGGAGAGAGGCTCGGGGGGCTGTCAGGGAAAAGGAGAGAGCCAGACTAGGCAGAGGGAACCAGAGGAAGGTGCAGATAGAAGCTCACCATCGAGTCAGGGAGTCCTGGATGGCGTTGGTGAGTGCATGGCCCAGGTGCAGGGAGCCTGTCACATTGGGGGGTGGGATGCACATCATGAAGACACCTCGGGGATTTGCTGCTGACACATTAGGACGCTGATGGTGGAGAAGGATGGCACATGTTTAAGGCCTCAGGTCACCTCTCCCAGCCCCTCCCAGGCAACACATCCTTCAGTCCTGCCCTTCCCCACCCCACCCACTCTGGGCCTGGGCAGCAGTGCCTACTCACCCCATACTCTGGCTTGAAGAAGCCCTGCTGCTCCCACCAAGGGTACCAGGCAGCCTCCACATACCGAGGGCTGTAGGAGTCGGGCATGGGGCCACTGACATCTGGGGGAGAGGAAGGGAGGGCTCAGTGCCGTGGCTGGGAGCACTCTGGGAAGGAGACGTGCTGGCAGAGAGGGATCGGGATCTCCGTCACTCACATCATAGGACAGGCATTTGAGGGGCCTAGAGGCAGGGCAGGGGGTCTGCAATTCCTCACCAAACAAAGTGGTGAGAGCAAGAATAGAGCAAGATAGGGTGAAAACTTAGAAGGGGCTGCTGAGGGGTGAGCCCCTTCCCACTCCTAGTACCTTTCTTTTCCCCGGGTGGGGTTGGGAGGTCATAGGTAATGACCCCAGGATCCCGTTTCTCCCTCTTCTCTGGTTTTGGTTTCTTCTGCTTGGGAGGGAGAAGACATAGGCCCAGGCATCAGCCAACCCATCACCGCACACATCAACTTTCCTTCCAGCTCCACCCTCGCCTCACCTCCCCTGGAGGTGGCTGCTGCTGTTGGATCTTCTGCTTCTGTTGGAATTTCTCTAGCTTCTCCCGTTTCTTTGCCTCTTTCTTGAGCTGAGCAGCTGTCTTTGGGAGGGCAGGAGCCTCGGGGCCTAGAGAGAGGTGCAGAAATTCAGACTCAGCCAGCTGGGGACCCTCTTGGACGGCCATACTAGGTTTCAGATGGGGTATTTTAGATGCCCGAGGTCTTGCCCATGCTGACCTCCCCCCTCTCCCTCCTCTCCCGCAGGACCCTGCCCCAGTGATTCTGCCATTTCTAGGAAAAAAAGAAAGTGAGTTGCATGGAAGGCCCCAGGGAAGCCCCTATCCTCCAACTCCTCGCCCTTCCTCACCTGGCTGATGAGAGAGAGGCCTGGCTCCTGAGTATAGAACCACTTCTCCTAGCACGGCTCGGAATTCTGGCTGCCGGACACACGTGACAAACCAGCGAGTCACATTATTCCAGATCCGGCGGGCAGGTGGGTCTAGGACCTGGAACAGGAAATAAATGACTCTTCTCAGTCACCCTACAGTGAGGTCTGAGGAGAGCAGTCTTGTTCTTCCCCAGGCCTGGTGACTCACGTATCGGAAAGGCAGCAGCAAGGCTGTGACAGCCGCCAGGTCAGCCAGAGTGGGGGCCTCCCCGGCCAAGTAGGTGTGCAGCCGAAGCCACTCCTCCAAGGGGCTCAGGGCCCTGCCCAGGGCCCCCAGCACAGCCTGGCAGGAAGGGGAAGAAGTGTGAGACAAGGTTTGGCCCACCTCCATCTCCCACCACAACCCAATCCATGTGGCCTCCCTCCACCCCACTCTCACAAATCACCACCTCTGAGTCCCATTTCTTCACTCAAATAGTCACAATAAAAATACTTCTGGGCGGATCACGAGGTCAGGAGATCGAGACCATCCTGGCTAACATGGTGAAACCTCATCTCTACTAAAAATACAAAAAAAAAATAGCCAGGCGTGGTGGCGGGCGCCTGTAGTCCCAGCTACTCGGGAGGCTGAGGCAGGAGAATGGCATGAACCCAGGAGGTGGAGCTTGCAGTGAGCCGAGATCACGCCACTGCACTCCAGCCTGGGCAACACAGCGAGACTCCGTCTCAGAAAAAAAAAAACAAAACACTTCTGACTCATCCAACAAATCCCTACTCAATACTTATGTGTTAGATGCAATATGTTAAGCATAGAAGTAAAGATTATATGAGGCATCTCAATAACTGCCAGGTTCAGAACATCAATAAATATGTATTAAGTACTTCTCCAGGGAATGAGAGGAAAACACGAACAGATGGACAGAACCCTGACCTGGTAGAGTTAACATTCTTGTAGGGGAACAACAAATGAGCAAATATAAAATGAAGTGCCCTATTTTTCTTAACTCCTATGAAGAAAAATAAAGCAGAATGAGGGGAACAGGGGCCAGGCGTGGTGGCTCACACCTATAATCTCAGCACTTTGGGAGGCCGAGGCGAGCAGACCATCTGAGGTTAGGAGTTCGAGACCAGCCTGGTCAACATGACAAAACCCCATCTCTACTAAAAATACAAAAAATTAGCCGGACAAGGTGGTGGGCGCCTGTAATCCCAGCTACTCAGAAGGCTGAGGCAGGAGAATCGCTTGAGCAGTGAGCTGAGATCGCACCATCGCACCGTGGCACTCCAGCCTGGGCAACAGAAGGAGATTCTGTCTCAAAAAAAAAAAAAAAAAAGAAAAGAAAAGAAATAAAAGAGGGGAACAAACAGGGAATTCCAGAAGAGAGGGACTCTATTTTATTTGTTTGTTTGGACAGACATTCTGAATGCAAGGACTCTATTGTAGATAGGGTGATCACAATATGAGGGAGCAAGTCAGGGTCTGCCACATTCATTCATCCATTCAAGAAATACTAATTTTCCATCATGTGCTCAATACCATGCAAGGAGGCAGAGTTGAAAGTACACCAAGGCACAGGTCTCCTTTGGAAGGACTGATAGTTACAATCTGGCAGGGTTATCTCTCCTCTCACTTACCTTCCTCATTTCATTTCTCTTTTATCTCCTCCCAGCAATTGTCATCTCTCCCTCACCCAGTCTTTTCCTACAATTCAAATAACTTCTATCCTCATCAATTTCAGACTCATCAAACTTTTACTAAGAGACTTTAAAAGTGCCTGGCACTAAACTATGTGCTCTGCGCACATCTTTTAATCCTATTAACTCAGTGAGGCAAGCATTACATCAACTTGCCTGCGTGTTCATAGACATAGGAAGACCAAGACACAGCGGGTCTATGAAACGTGCCCAGGGTTACCATACCAGTTGGCAATCTGGGATTTGATCACTCTTTTCCCACATCTGATGTACTACCTTCTTGTCTCATTGTCCATTCCAGTCCTCGCTTCCCTCCTCTGAATTTCTCCCCTCCCCCTCTTCTGTACAACCCCCTCACCTGGGGGTCCTGGGCCGAGCTTCGGAGTCCCAGGGCCGGCAGCGTTGCTCCACAGGCAGCTGGTATTAACTCCGTGTCGGCGTAACTGACCCACTGTTGGACAAGGACAGCCGCCCGGCTGCCCCCTGGGCCCCCCAGGCCTGCTGGCCACAGCAGCTGGGCCACAGCCGTGGCCCCCCACACCCAGAGCCCACCGGGCCCCTGCTCCAGGGCCGGCAGGCGGGGTGGGGGAAAGGGAGTCCTGCTAGTCGGGGGTGGCTGGAGACAGATGCGGGGGTGGGCTCCTCCCCATCCGGGACCCTCCCCAGCCTCCCCATAGCGAGCGGCTATGAGGGCTCGGAGGCTGGGGAAGGCATCTGGGTGAGGGGAGACGTAGAGGGTGGACATAGTTATGAGAAGGTCCGAACGAAGTGGAAAAACCTAAGGAGAAAGAGAGACAGGGGAAGACTGCGGGATCGAGGTGGGTCCTATGTTTGAGTAGAGAGGGGACCCTCACGGGAGCTCCTTCGCCGCAGACACCCGAGTCCCATAGGACTGAGGGTCTGACCAGGCAGGCTGTCAGGAGCCGAGGACCTGGCTCTCAGAGGGGCAGTGTCAGTGGGGAGTTCCTGGGGAAGAGGAACTATCCACCATCGCGGGGCTTCGGGGAGTGTGGAAGGCTCTCAGGAGCGGGTCGGCGTCTGGTTGGATGCGGGTTCGAGCCGCGTGTACGTACTGGAGGGAGATGGTCAGACTGGGCCGGGAATCCACCTCACAGCCAGGCGCCGGCCGCGGCTGGACCGGCCGAGCGGCCCGGGCGGAGGAGTCGAGCGGGCAGAGACGGTGGGCGGCTCTCCAGGTGACCCTAGTTCCCTAAGATCGCCGCCCCGGCAGCCGGCGCCCACGTGTTCCCCCCTTTGTGACAGGGAGCGTTTCCGGGCCTGCGGGTCCTGGCGGGGGCGGCCGTGCCCCGCCTGCGAGTGCGCGCCCGCCGTGTCCGACACTGCCCCGGGGGCCGCGCGGCTCGCCGCCCGCCGGTCTCACGAGGAACAGCGCGGGGCGCGGGGCGCTGGGCGCGGACGCAGGACGAGAGGACACCCCTGAGCACGACGCTCCCGTCAGGCGCCGCCACGGGCACCTTGTGCGGGTCCTCGGCCGGGTGGCGAGGGCGGCGCCCAGCGGGCAGCTAGGGAACTGGCCCAAGAGGGTCGGCCGGCCCTGCCGGTGGAGGGCGTTCCCCACCCGGTAGCGGGGAGGTGCCCAGCAGGGAGCCGCCTGATGAGGACCGAAGGGGAGGTCCATTTGCCGAGGCCCTGGCGTCCAGCTTCCTCTTTGAGCCTCATCTCCTCATGTATGAAAAAAGGGTGACGGCCGGGCGCAGTGGCTCACGCCTATAATCCCAGCACTTTGGGAGGCCGAGGTGGGCGGATCACCTGAGGTCAGAAGTTCAAGACTAGCCTGGCCAAGGTGGTGAAAGCCCGTCTCACGCCTGTAATCCCAGCACTCTGGGAGGCCAGGGCGGGTGGATCACCAGGTCAGGAGTTCAAGACCAGCCAGGCCAAGATGGTGAAACCCCGTCTCTACTAAAAATACAAAAATTAGCCAGGTGTGGTGGCAGGCGCCTGTAATCCCAGCTACCCCGGAGCCTGAGGCAGGGAATTGCTTGAACCCTGGAGGTTGAGGTTGCAGTGAACTGAGATCGTGCCACTGCACTCCAGCCTGGCGACAGAGCTGCAGTATTTGTAAAAATACAAAAATTAGCCAGGCGTGGTGGCACACACCTGTAAGCCCAGCTACTTGGGAAGCTGAGGCAAGAAGATCACTTGAACCTGGGAGGCGGAGATTGCAGAGCTAAGATCACACCACTGCAGTCCAGCCTGGGTGACAAAGTGAGACTCCATCTCAAAAAAAAAAAAAAAAAAAAAAAATTAGCCGGGCATGGTGGTGGGCATCTGTAATCCCAGCTACTCAGGAGCTGTGGCAGGAGAATCGCTTGAACCGGGAGGCGGAGGTTGCAGTGAGCCAGACCAAGCCAGTGCACTCCACCCTGGGCAACAGAGTGAGACTCCCGTCTCAAAAACAAAAAGGAGGGTCACACTAGATGGTCTCTAAGGGTCCCTTAAGGCTGAGAAGTCTCATCTGTATCATGAACTCATATTTGCTGAATGAGTGAATGAAGTTTAGTAATTCCCAGTCACAACTTTTCTCTAAAATATAAATTACATCACTTGTATTTATCTTCTATACATATTCAGAAAACATGAACTGATTTGGTTGGATTGGTGAAGTCTGGTAGCATGAAATGTATCTTATGACACTATCACATTAATGGAAGGACAGCAAGCACTCCAGTTGCAGGTATGGTATAAGCAAAAGGCCACAGGGAGAACATACAGGTAGGGACATGTTGGGGAAACATGGTGTAGAGCAACTGTATTATATGCTTTATACCAAGGAGAGTAGTGGGAAGCTGAGTTGGATTCTTGGCTGGGTTAACGCAGAGTAACAGGGGCTTGGATGAATTCGACATCCTTTTCCATGTCCCAGCCCCCTGCCCAACACATAGTAACAGAACCAAAACACAAATTTGCATCATAAATTTTATTCCCGATGCGGGACAGATTCCTTCCATCCCCAAATGAATCACATGCTGCCCTGGAAAGACCTAGGAAACTCTCCTACCATCTCCAGAGAAGTAGTGAGAAAGGCAGGTGCTGGGGACTGGGAAGGCTTTGAAGTTTCCCAGCCTACTTATCCTCCCCTTCTCAAGAGAGGATAGCTGTTCCCTATTACTCCTCTCATCCACTCATCCCTTAAAAAAAACCCACAAAACCATCATTAGTAAAAAAACAAAACCCCTTCAAGTATTGGGGGTTAGGGGTTCTGGGCTGGGACTTGGGGTTATGGGTCACCAATGAAAGAGGGAGGGGAAGAGGAGGAGGAGCCATCACTGTTTCTGCTGCAGGGCTTCCTTCCTTGCCGCATCCTGTAGCAACTGTGTGTCGACCTCATCTGCTGGCAGCTGCACGTATCGGACCACTGAGCCCCGAATGAAGCAGTTCTTCACTGATAACTAGACAAAGATGGACAAATATGAAAACACCCTTAAAAATGTCCTCTAACCACCCAGGGGCCTCCTGCTTTAGAGGTGTTTCCTCTTCTCCACAGACCCCAACTCACCATGTGAGGGTATTTCTCAGGGTCTGTGACACTGATGTCAGTTAGTTTGATGTTGAGATACTAGGAAAGGAAGATGAACACCATTATTATTATTATTTTTTTTTTTTTGAGACAAGAGTTTTGCTCTTGTTGCCCAGGCTGGAGTGCAATGGTGCCATCTCGGCTCACTGCAATCTCCGCCTCCTGGGTTCAAATGATTTTCCTGCCTCAGCCTCTCGACTAGCTGGGATTACAGGTGCCCACCACCACGCCCAGCTAATTTTTTGTATTTTTAGTAGAGACGGGGTTTCACCATGTTTGTCAGGCTTGTCTTGAACTCCTGACCTCAGGCCTCGGCCTCTCAAAGTGCTGGGATTACAGGCGTGAGCCACCGTGCCTGGCCGACGAACACCATTATTAACCCTAGAGACATGATGTAAGAACCCAACCCTTAAGTCTCCCCTCTCCTTCTCCAGGAACCAATTCTGGGGCCCGTGCTATATCTCACCTGATCCACAGAATGGAGGGTTCCACAGATGCTGTCAAGGGCAGAGGGAGAGAAGAATCAAATTAGTTTATAACAAAGTCAACATAGAGGTGACTTCAGAGCTGGGATGAGAACATGACTGGGAGAAGTCAAGGACTTGAGGATGTCAGAAAAGGTAGAACCAAAAGGGGGCATTCCTAAGCCCTGGAGTAGGAAAGACAACTAACAGAGTAGTTTATTTTCAACCCCACATCTCCTCTCCCTAAACCAATCCATTCTTTTTTTTTTTTTTTTTTTTTTTGAGATGGAGTCTCACTGTCAGCCAGGCTGAAGTGCAGTGGTGTGATCTTGGCTCACTGCAACCTCTGCCTCCCAGGTTCAAGCGATTCTCCTGCCTCAGTCTCCTGAGTAGCTAGGACTTCAGGCGCATGCCATCATGCCCGGCTAATTTTTTATTTTTAGTAGAGATGGGGTTTCACCATGTTGGCCAGGCTGTTCCTTAACTCCTGATCTCAGGCGATCTGCCCACTTCAGCTCCCCAAAGTGCTGGGATTACAGGTGTGAACCACTGTCCCCGGCCAAACCAACCTATTCTTAACAGCTACCATTAAACAACTGGTAAAGGCTAGACCTGTATTCTATATAGTATTTGTAATCTTTACAGCCATCTTTCAAAGTAGTTATTACCTTCCAGGGGCTCAGAGAGGTTGTTTTAAACTTTATGAGTTTAGAACAAATGGGAACTTCAGTCCAAGTCTGTGTGACTCCCAAAACCATCAGCTATTTTTTTTTTATTTTTGCGACAGGGTCTCACTCTATGGCCAAGGCTGGAGTGAAATGGCGTGATCATGGCTCACTGTGGCCACTTGAGTAGCTGTGATTACAGGCTTGAGCCACCATGCCCAGCTGATTTTTTTTTGAGATGGAGTCTCGCTCTGTCGGCCAGTCTGGAGTGCAGTGGCACAATCTCGGCTCACTGAAAGCTCCATCTCCCAGGTTCACGCCATTCTCCTGCCTCAGCCTCCCGAGTAGCTGGGACTACAGATGCCGGCCACCACTCCTGGCTAATTTTTTGTATTTTTAGTAGAGACGGGGTTTCACCGTGTTAGCCAGGATGGTCTCGATCTCCTGACCTCATGATCTGCCCACCTCAGCCTCCCAAAGTGCTGGGATTACAGGCATGAGCCACCATTCCCGACTTTTTTTTTTTTTTTTTGTAGAGAAAGGGTCTCACTGTGAATGTCACCCAGGCTAGCTATTTTCAAACATTTATTGCTTTGGAACCAGAGCCCATATGTGGATAAAGGTAGGTAGCATTACTCTTGATGATGCAGGCATGAGTGATGTCCTCTCCATTCCCCAATCCTCGAGCCCCTTGAAATGCTATTTGAGGAATGCTATCAAAACACCAGTGCTCTTTGAGAGAATGGTGCAAAAATTTAAAAAAACAGCCTTTGGCTGGGAATGGTTGTTCACGCCTATAATCCAAGCATTCTGGGAGGCTGAGGCAGGAGGATCGCCTGAAGCCAGCTGGAGAACAGCCCAGACAACATAGCAAGACCTCATCTCTATTTTAAAGTTATAAAATAAAATAACTGTGGCCGGGCACGGTGGCTCACGCCTATAATTCCAGCACTTAGGGAGGACGAGGCGGGCGAATCACGAGGTCAGGAGTTCGACACCAGCCTGGCCAACATCGTGAAACCCCATCTCTACTAAAAATACAAAAAATTAGCTGGGCATAGTGGCAGACGCCTGTAATCCCAGCTACTCGGGAGGCTGAAGCAGGAGAATCACTTGAACCCGGGAGGTGGAGGTTGTAGTGAGGCGAGATCGAGCCACTGCACTCCAGCCTGGGTGACAGAGTGAGACTCCATCTCAAGAAAAATAAATAAATAAAAATAATCGTAATAAATAGCAGTTTTAAAAACGTCCTTATCTTGCCAAAAATAAAGTTGGCAGTTCTCTGCCCCAATTTTTGTAAAATTCTGAAAGTCTTTAAAACCCAGCGTCTAGGCCATGTGCGGTGGCTCATGCCTATAATCCCAGAACTTTAGGAGGCCAAGGTGGGCGGATCACTTGAGGCCAGGACTTCAAGACCAGCCTGGCCAACACGGCGAATCCCCATCTCTACTAAAAATACAAAAATTGGCCGGGCGTGGTGGCTCACGCCTATAATCTCAGCACTTTGGGAGGCCGAGGCGGGTGGATCACGAGGTCAGGAGATCGAGACCATCCTGGCTAACACGGTGAAACCCCGTCTCTACTAAAAATACAAAAAATTAGCCGGGCATGGTGGCGGGCACCTGTAGTCCCAGCTACTTGGGAGGCTGAGGTAGAAAAATGGCGTGAACTGGGAGGCAGAGCTTGCAGTGAGCGGAGATCACACCACTACACTCCAGCCTGGGTGACAAAGCAAGACTCCGTCTCAAAAAAAAAAAAATACAAAAATTAGCTGGGCATTGTGGTGTGCACCTGTAATCCCAGCTACTCAGGAGGTGAGGCACGAGAATCACTTGAACCCAGGAGGAAAAAAAAAATTTAAAAATAAAATATAAAAATACAAAAATTAGCTGTGTGTGGTGCATGCCTGTAGTCCCAGGTATACAGGAGGCTGAGGCACGAGAATCATTTGAACACAGGAGGTAGAGGTTGCAGTGAGCCAAGATCATGCCACTGCATTCCAGCCTCGGTGACAGAGTAAGGATCTGTCTCAAAAAAAAAAAAAAAAAAAAAAGACCCACTTAAATATGCTCTAGGAAATTAATTTAAATGAACTAGTACTAGGCAATCATTATTTTTTTTGAGACAGAGGGTGAGTCTCTGCCTAATAACAAAAACAAAAACAAACACCCAGTATCTGAAACCCACTGCCTCAGTAATGTTCTCACCATATTGCTAGCTGCTGAAAAACATTTGACAGCACCCCACCATCTCCAGCAGTGAAATAACATTTGGGAATTGTACAAAGTGGTGTCATTTTATTAAGTCCCTTAAGGAGGGGGAGATACATAGCACAAAAGTGGTCTGACAACAAACATAAGAGAAAGAACTTTTGGCCAGGCGTGGTGGCTCACACCTGTGATCCCAGCACTTTGGGAGGCTGAGGCAGGAGGATCACTTGAGGTCAGGAGTTTGAGGCCAGCCTGGCCAACATGGTGAAACCCCATCCCTACTAAAAATACAAAAAATTAGCTGGGAGTGGTGGCATGCACCGGTAATCCCAGCTATTCGGGAGGCTGAGGTGGAAGAATCACTTGAACCCAGGAGGCAGAGGTTGCAGTGAGCCAAGATCGCGCCACCGCACTCCAGCCAGGGCAACAGAGTGAGACCCTGTCTCAAGGAAAAAAAAGGAGAAAGATCTTCTTTCTCATCCCAACAGAAAAGTCACTTTAAAGCCACACACATATTGGCTCACACCTGTAGTCACTGCACTTTGAGAGGCTGAGGTGGGAGGATCACTTGAGTCCAGGAGTTCAAGACCAGCCTGGGCAACACGGCCGAGACTCTGTCTCTATGAAAAATTTTAAAAATAATATAAAAAGGCCGGGTGCAGTGGCTCACGTCTGTAATCCCAGCACTTTGGGAGGCCGAGGCAGGTGGATCACGAGGTCAGGAGTTCAAGACCAGCCTGACGAAGATGGTGAAACCCGATGTCTACTAAAAATACAAAAATTAGCCAGGTATGGTGGCAGGCACTTGTAATCCCAGCTACTTGGGAGACTGAGGCAGGAGAATCACTTGAACCCAGGCAGCAGAGGTTGCAGTGACCCGAGATCATGCCACTGCACTCCAACCTGGGTGACAGAGTGAGACCCCATCTCAAACAAAAATAAATAAATAAATAGAAAAAAAAGAAGGCTGGGCGCAGTGGCTCACACCTGTAATCACAGTACTTTGGGAGGCCGAGGTGGGCAGATCACAAGGTCAGGAGATTGAGACCATCCTGGCCAACGTGGTGAAACCCCTTCTCTACTAAAAATACAAAAATTAGCTGGGCGTGGTGGTGCATGCATATAATCCCAGCTACTCGGGAGGCTGAGGCAGGATAATCACTTGAACCAGGGAGTCGGAGGTTACAGCACCACTGCACTCCAGCCTGGCGTAGACTCGACCAGAGCGAGACTCGTCTCAATAAAAAAAAGAAAAAAGAAAAAGAAAAGAAATGTTACTACGGCCGGGTGCAGTGGCTCACACTTGTAATCCCAGTACTTTGGGAGGCTGGGGTGGGCAGATCACGAGGTCAGGAGTTGGGAGACCAGCCTGGCCAACATGGTGAAACCCTGTCTCTACTGAAGATACAAAAAATGAGCCAGGCGTTGTGGCGCATGCCTGTAATCCCAGCTACCAGGGAGGCTGAGGCAGGAGAATCACTTGAACCCGGGAGGCAGAGGTTGCGGTGAGCCGAGATCACGCCATTGCACTCCAGCCTGGGCGACAGGGCAAGACTCTGTCTCAAAAACAAAATAAAATAAAAAAAATAAAGGTACTTTAGGGCCTAGGGTTATAACACAACAGTTAGGCTTCCCATGTAAAAGGCCCAGGAAGGAGAAAAGAGGAGAATCAAAAACAAGTCATCACACCAAATTGCCTAAGACTGATAGTGATTACCGTACTTGTCTTGCTCTGTGGCCCCAATCTATACACATCAATATCACTTGCATTGCCAGTGCTACAAATGGAAACCTGTGTTCTAAAACGCAAAGGCCCTTAAGTCCCTCTCCTCACCATTCCCTGCCCTGTCAACGTGTAACCCATGAAAAAATTATCTCACATAGAAATGTGGAAGACAGCCAGACACAGTGGCACACACCTGTAATTCCAGCACTTTGGGAGGCCAAGGTGGCAGGACTGCTTGAGCCCAAGAGTTTCAGACTAGCCTCGGCAACACAGTGAGACTCTGCCTCTCCAAATAATTAAAAAATTAGCTGGGCATGGTGGCATATAGCCCCAGCTATTCAGGAGGCTGAGTGAGCTATGGTGGTGCCACTGCACTACAGCCTGGACAACAGAGTGAGACCCCCATCTCAAAAAAATAAATGTGGAAGACGCTTTTGGGAAGAGAATACAATTGATCCCATCTTTCTAAAGGATAATGAGGTAACAGGTATCAATATTTTAAATGTACTTTTTTTTTTTTTTTGAGATGGAGTCTCAGTCTGTCGCCCAGGCTGGAGTGCAGTGGCCTGATCTCAGCTCACTACAACGTCCGCCTCCCGGGTTCATGTGATTCTCCAGCCTCAGGCTCCTGAGCAGCTAGGATTACAGGCGCACAACACAACATCTGGCTAATTTTTGTATTTTTAGTAGAGATGGAGTTTCACCATGTTGGCCAAGCTAGTCTCAAACTCGTGACCTCAGGCATCCACCCGCCTCGACTTCCCAAAGTGCTGGGATTACAGGTATGAGCCACCGCATCTGGCCTAAATGTACATATTATTTAAAGGACTGTACAGATAAGTACAGGGCCAGGTGTGCTGGCTCATGCGCGTAACCCCAGCACTTTGGGAAGCTGAAGCAAGAGGACTGCTTGAACTCAAAGAATTTGAAACCAGCCTGAGCAACAAAGTGAGGCACTGTCTCTAATTTTTAAATAAATAAATATTATTTTAAGAAAGAAAGTAGGACTAGGCGCAGTGGCTCACGCCTGTAATCCCAACACTTTGAGAGGCTGAGGCAGGTGGATCACAAGGTCGAGAGTTCAAGACCAGCCTGGCCTAGATGGTGAAACTCCATCTCTACTAAAAATACAAAATTTAGCCGGGCATGGTGGTGGGCACTTGTAATCACAGCTACTAGGGAGGCTGAGGCAGAGAATTGCTTGAACCCAGGAGGCAGAGGCTGCAGTGAGCCGAGATTACGCCATTGCAGTCCAGCCTAGGTGACAGACTGAAACTCCATCTCAAAAAAAAAAAAAAAGAAAGAAAAAAAGCTGGACAGAATCATATTTCAGTTGTGTCACTTACTAGTTTTGTAGACTTGAACAAGTGGTATAGCTGATCTAAGCCTCAGTTTCCTCGTGTAAAACAGCAATAGTATATATTACTTAGCAGTGTTTGAGAAATCAATCAATAAATGTATTCAGAATAGTGGTTAGTCAATACGTCTTCGGATATTATTTTTCTTTCTTTAAGCACCTATCATATAACTGGCCTATGCTAGGTATTAGATACACTACATGGTTTCACCATGTTGGCCAGGCTGTTCTCGCTCTCTTGACCTCGTGATCCACCCGCCTCAGCCTCCCAAAGTGCTGGGATTACAGGCATGAGCCATCGTGCCCGGCCTATGGCCTGTTCTTTTTTTTCTTTTTTTTTTTTTTTTTTTTTGAGACGGAGTCTTGCTCTGTCACCCAGGCTGGAGTGCGGTGGCACCATCTTGGCTCACTGCAAGTTCCGCCTCCCAGGTTCACGCCATTCTCCTGCCTCAGACTCCCAAGTAGCTGGAACTACAGGAGCATGCCACCACGCCTGGCTAATTTTTTGTATTTTTAGCAGAGACAGGGTTTCACCATGTTAAACAGGATGATCTCAATCTCCTGACCTTGTGATCCGCCTGCCTCGGCCTCCCAAAGTGCTGGGATTACAGGCGTGAGCCACCGCGCCCGGCCTGGCCTGTTCTTTTTTTGAGACAGAGTCTTCCTCTGTCAACCAGGCTGGAGTAAAGTGATACAATCATGGCTCACTGCAGCCTTGACCTCCTGGGTTCAAGTGATCCTCCCACCTCAGCCTCCCGAATAGCTGAGACTACAGGCATGTACACTACACCTGGCTAATTTTTTATAGAAATAGAGGTCTCATCACTATGTTGCCCAGACTAGTCTCGACATCCTGGACTCAAGTGATCCTCCTGCCTCAGCCTCCCAAAGTGCTGAGATTACAGGTGTGAGCCACCATGGCCAGCCTAGTACTTACTTTTTTTTTTTTTTGAGACAGAATCTCACTCTGTCACCCAGCTGGAGTGCAGCAGTGTGATCTCAGCTCACTGCAACCTCTGCCGCCCAGGTTCAAGCGATTCTCCTGCCTCACCCTCCCGAGTAGCTGGGATTACAGGCACCAGCCACCGTGCCCGGCTAATTTTTGTATTTTTAGTAGAGACAGGGTTTCACCATCTTGACCGGGCTGGTCTTGAACTCCTGACCTCGTGATTCGCCCACCTTGGCCTCCCAAAGTGCTGGGATTACAGGCATGAGCCACACGTCCAGCCCGTGAGCCACTGCGCCTGACCTGTATTTACTCTTTAAACTATATATTGCTTTGTATTGTTTTCCAATACACGATACAATCTCTAAGCTTATCTGTAAATTTAAGGCACAAGGCATTTATTTATTGCTAAATTTTAAAATTTTTCTTAGAGATGGGGTCTTGCTCTATTGCCTGGGCTAGAGTGCAATGGAGTAATCACTGCTCACTGCAGCCTCAAACTCCTGGGCTCAAGCTTTCCTCCTTCCTCAGCCTCCCAAAGTGCTGGGATTACAGGCTTGAGCCACTGCACCCTATCCATTTATTTCTTCTGTACATCTTCCACCTCGCCTAGCCCTGAAATATTTCTCAAATTAAAGAGGTTCCAGGGCCCTGGGCACACCCACCCCCAACAGACTTGTTGGAACAGGTACCTACCTCAGGTCATTCTTTAGTTCCACGACCACATCCTTGCCCACAAGGGACTTGAAAAAAGAATAGAAGAGCTATTGGGAGAGAGGGGGAAAACCATCATGTGGGAAGGAGCATGGTAGGGAGGAGTGTCCTTTGACAGTATTACCAAATACTGGTATTGTGAACCCCACTGCATCCCTGACAGTTCTCAAAATTTCACAGGAAAGAATAATTGGTTGACAGAGCTGAAAGGCTGGAGCCCAAATTATTCTGCACACTGCACTGAGCCCATCACTTAAAGTCCCAGAGAGACTCTGCCCTGCATACGTCGGCCTCCCCACTGTGCTCTCTCAGTCGACCACCTTTCTCGGGTACCTGCCCACTCCTTTCAATGAATTGTAGAAAATATCCCACCCGCACCCTGCCGAAGCTTGCCTGGCAGAGAAGTGCTCTGAGGTCTAACTTTTCCGTCTCCCGCTATCCTCACTGAATCTCTCTCAGGGTTGGGGTTTTTTCCCTCATCATGGAAAAAATATCCCATTTGTTCTCAGTGCCTCCTCAATGAACCTGAGAAACAGTACAGTACTAAAGATGAAGATAAAAACTCCGGACCTAACTCCAGCCTAGGGGTACAAAGGCCAGATCCCCCGCCCCAACCATGCGAGGTCCCCGAGGGCGCCCCCTTTTGACGTCACGGTACCCACCATGGTGCTGGCGCCGCGGGCAGCGGGCCGGACCGGGAAGACAGCAGGGTGCTGCGAGCAGGTCTGGGGAAACCGAAGCGCGAGCCCGCGCGTGGGGCGAGGCGGGACCGCGCAGGCGCAGCGGGAAGCGACGCAGAAAGCTCCAAGCGCTGACGGGCAAAGCGCGGCCGACTTGCGGCTGGGGAGCGCAAGCTGGGTAGAGTAGAGGGGAGGAGGAAGCCGGGAAAGGGGCGGGGTTTCCTTCATTCCGACTTCCTCCCTGGCCGGCCGGCTCCCATTGCGCAGGCGCGGACCCTAGCCTGGGCTGCCAGACGGGTGGCGGGACTCAGCGCCTGAGCTCAAAGGATTTTGTTCTTTTCCAGAATCCTGCCATCTACAGCGTGATGTGTTTGTGCCCTACACACACTTCCTATCGAGAATTGTGGGGAGTTTGTTAAGATTATGAAGTGTGCACTTTTCTATATTTGTTAAAGTAAAAACATAAAATTTAAAAAATAAAATTAAAAAATGTTTTGAATCTTAAATTCAGCTGATAAAAAGAAAAAAAGGCCGAGGGCCGTGGCTCAAGCCTTTAATCCCAGCACTCTGGGAGGCCTAGGTGGGTGGATTGTGTGAGGTCAGGAGTTCGAGACCAGTCTAGCCAACATGGTGAAACCCCATCTTCACTAAAAATACAAAAAAAATTAGGCGTGGTCGCAGGCTCCTGTAATACCAGCTACTCGGGAGGCTGAGGGAAGAGAATCGCTTGAACCTGGGAGGCGGAGGTTGCAGTGAACCGAGATCGCGCCACTGCACTGCAGCCTGGGCGACAGAGCAAGACTCCGTCTCAAAAAAAAAAAAAAAAAAAATGACCGGGAGCAGTGGCTCACACCTGTAATCCCAGCACTTTGGGCGGCCAAGGCAAGTGGATCGCCTGAGGTCAGGAGTTCGAGACCAGCCTGGTCAACATGGCGAAATTCTGTCTCTACTAAAAACCCAAAAATTAGCCGGGTGTGGTGGCACGCGCCTGTAAATCCAGGAGGCATAGGTTGCAGTGAGTGGAGATCTTGCCATTGCACTCCAGCCTGGGCAACAAGAGCAAAACTCCATCCCAAAAAACAAAAAATGTTGAGGCCTGTAAATCCCAGCATTTGGGGAGGCTGAGGCAGGAGGATCATTTGAACCCAAGAGTTACAGTGAGCTACAATCTCCCCACTGCATTCCAGCCTGGGTGACAGAGCGAGACTCTCTCTAGAAAAAAGAAAATTATAAACAAACAACGTTGAGCAGTCCCAGAGATAAGGAGGAGCTGGAGCACAAATTTTGATTTTATCAAAGGTTACCAATAAATACATTTCTCCAAAGGAGCCAACCTCAATCTCCGCATTTCTTACACACTTTTGCCAAGACTGTCCTGTAAAGGACTGTGTAAAACTAAAGAGACTGTGGCTCACAGATACAAATAACCCAGTCTAACATTTCACTGTTAAATGTTTCAAACACAAACAGACAGAAATGCAGTTACATATTATTCTAACTCATATCCCCCAGGTTTTTATAAATATGTATTAGGACACAGGTAAAAGAAAAAAATGTTTTTGAGATGGAGTCTCGCTCTATCACCAGGCTGGAGTGTGGTGCCACGATCTCAGCTCACTGCAACCTCCACGTCCCGGGTTCAAGCGATTCCTCTGCCTCACCCTCCTGAGTAGCTGGGACTACAGGCACGCATCACCGTCCTCAGCTAATTTTTGTATTTTTAGTAGAGACGGGGTTTCACCATGTTGGGCAGGATGGTCTCAATCTCTTGACCTCATGATCCGCCCGCCTCGGCCTCCCAAAGTGCTGGGATTACAGGCGTGAGCCACTGTGCCCAGCTGGTAAAAATATTTTTTCATGGACTGAGACTTCATAAAACTTGTATTTGTCATCTTGCATAGACATACTTATTTGTCAAGAGTTTGTTATAGAAATATTTTCTGGGGCTGGGCACGGTGGCTCACGCCTATAATTCCAGCACTTTGGGAGGCTGAGGTGGGTGGATCACCTGAGGTCAGGAGTTCAGAACAGCCTGGTCAACATGGTGAAATCCCGTCTCTACTAAAAACACAAACATTAGCCGGGCATGGTGGTGAGCGCCTGTAATCCCAGCTACTCATGAGGCTGAGGCAGGAGAATCGCTTGAATCTGGGAGGCAAAGTTTGCAGTGAGCCGAGATCGTGCCATTGCACTCCAGCTTGGGCGACAAGAGCGAAACTGTTTCCAAAAAAAAAAAAAAAGAAAAGAAATATTTTCTCCATGTAATGGATGTAAACAATGAACTCTGTGAGTGCATAGATGCTGAATCTCCTGGACCTTACCTATAAGTGACATCAGGACATCAAGCAGGATTTGTCCCTCCACCCCCAGTTGAGTCCTAAACTCCAAAACCAGCTTGTAACTGATTAAAAGCAGTTATAGTTTGCCATCTGTTCCATCTGTGCTAAAGGTGTCTGAGGATCAAAAATTATGTGGCTGATTGAAACAATGAGTTCATGGGCCGGGCACGGTGGCTCACGCCTGTAATCCCAGCACTTTGGGAGGCCGAGGCGGGCGGATCACGAGGTCAGGAGATCGAGACCATCCTGGCTAACACAGTGAAACCCCGTCTCTACTAAAACAATACAAAAAATTAGCCGGGCATGGTGGGGGGCACCTGCAGTCCCAGCTACTCGGGAGGCTGAGGCAGGAGAATGGCGTGAACCCAGGAGGCAGAGCTTGCAGTAAGCTGAGATTGTGCCACTGCACTCCAGCCTGGGTGACAGGGCGAGACTGTCTCTCAAAACACACACACACACACACACACACACACACACACACACAAAATGAGTTCATGAAAATTCAAATACTTTACCCTTACCAATTTAATCATTCACAGTGACCTCACAATCAGAGAACACATGCTCTCTCCATGAACTCTCCCCTTCAAGGTACATTCACAGCCTAAATACCAGAAGTAATTTTCTTTACGAACAAATTTACTGATTGACAAATAAGCATCCACACAGGAAGAAGAATGTTAGGGTGGCTGGAAATAACAGACATTCAAATACATCACACGGTTTAAAGAGGGGCCTAGTTTTCCTGAGTCCATTCCAAAGTCAGAAACAGGATGTGAGGGAGTGTGATAGGTGGTGCATGAGACTCCTTCTCCAGAATTTCCAAGGGATGGTAACTTAGATTCAGGTCTGGTCAAGAATAATAATGATGTTTGAAGATGAGGGGAATGAAATACATGTAGAGGCATCCTAGGATGCTTCAGTTCTAAAAAGAATTAATCTACTTCTTCAATTGTGGGGCCTGTGGCAGGCCTTCCAGGCACATACCCTGTTCCGCAGGCAGGCCCAGTGCATCCTCCTTGGTAGAGTTTTGTGATGATAGGGTTACACATCTGCTCCAATTCCTTTCTCTTATGATCAAACTCATCTTTCTCTGCCAGTTGATTGACCTCCAGCCACGAAAGGAGCTCGTTGCATTTATCCAATATTTTATTTTTATCAGACTCACTAATCTTGCCCTTCAAACCTTCATCACTCACAACACTCTTCATGTTAAAAGCATAGGATTCTAAGGCATTCTTTGCAGCAATTTTCTCCCTCTGGACCTCATCTTCAGCTTTATATTTCTCAGCATCCAGAACCATGCGCTCAATCTCCTCCTTGCTCAGGCGGCCCTTGTCATTGGTGATGGTGATCTTGTTCACCTTGCCGGTGCTCTTGTCCGTGGCTGTGACATTGAGAATACCATTGGCATCAATGTCAAACGTCACCTCGATCTGAGGAACTCCCCTGGGTGCTGGAGGGATTCCAGTCAGGTCAAACCGCCCCAGCAGGTTGTTGTCCTTTGTCATGGCCCTCTCGCCCTCATACACCTGGATCAGCACCCCGGGTTGGTTGTCAGAGTAGGTGGTGAAAATCTGTGTCTGCTTGGTGGGGATGGTGGAGTTGCGCTTTATCAGGGCAGTCATCACGCCCCCAGCCGTCTCCAGCCCCAGGGACAGGGGAGCCACGTCCAGCAGCAGCAGGTCCTGTACCTTCTCAGACTTGTCCCCCATCAGGATGGCTGCTTGTACCGCAGCCCCATATGCTACGGCCTCATCAGGGTTGATGCTCTTGTTGAGATCACGTCCATTGAAGTAGTCCTGAAGCAGCCGCTGCACCTTGGGGATGCGGGTGGAGCCCCCTACTAAAACAATGTCATGGATTTTAGCCTTATCCATCTTGGCATCCCGAAGCGCTTTTTCTACAGGCTCCAGGGTACCCCTAAACAGGTCTGCACACAACTCTTCAAATCGAGCTCTGGTGATGGATGTATAGAAGTCAATGCCTTCATAAAGTGAATCAATTTCTAGGTTGGCCTGGGTGCTGGACGACAGGGTCCTCTTGGCCCTCTCGCAGGCGGTGCGCAGCCGCCTCACGGCTCGCTTGTTCTGGCTGATGTCCTTTTTGTGTTTCCTCTTGAACTCCTCCACGAAGTGGCTCACAAGCCTGTTGTCAAAGTCCTCCCCACCCAGGTGAGTGTCCCCAGCAGTGGCCTTTACCTCAAAAATCCCATCATCTATGGTCAGAATTGACACATCAAATGTGCCTCCACCCAGATCAAAAATCAGGACATGTCGTTCTCCTTGACCTCCTTTATCTAAACCATAGGCAATGGCAGCAGCCGTGGGCTCATTGATGATTCTTAGCACATTAAGTCCAGCAATCACACCTGCATCCTTAGTAGCCTGACGTTGAGAGTCATTGAAATAGGCTGGCACGGTAATCACTGCATTGGTGACAGGGTGGCCCAAAAAGGCCTCAGCAGTCTCCTTCAACTTAGTCAATACCATCGAAGAGATTTCCTCAGGGTAGAAAGCTTTATTCTCCCCTTTGTAGGACACAAGGACTTTGGGCTTGCCTCCTTCATTAATCACTTGAAAAGGCCAAAGTTTCATATCTGCTTGTACAACAGGATCATTAAATTTCCTGCCGATCAGACGTTTAGCATCAAAAACAGTGTTCTGGGGATTCATTGCTACCTGGTTCTTGGCCGCATCCCCAATGAGCCGCTCGGTGTCTGTGAAGGCCACGTAGCTGGGGGTGGTGCGGTTGCCCTGGTCGTTGGCGATGATCTCCACCTTGCCGTGCTGGAACACCCCCACACAGGAGTAGGTGGTGCCCAGGTCGATGCCTATGGCGATTCCCTTGGCAGTAGCCATGGTTCTCTGAGGCCTATGGAGAAAGAATAAGATACTGTTTTGGGAGAGTGCTTTTCAATGTTATTTATTTTTTTGAGACAGGGTCTTCCTCTGTCACCCAGGTTGGAGTGCAGAGGCGCAGTCATAGCTCACTGCAGCTTTGATCTCCTAGGCTCCAGCAATCTTCCTGCCTTAGCCTCCAGAATAACTGGAGACAACATGCCCGGCTAATTTTTTTTTTTTTTGAGACGGAGTCTTGCTTTGGACTGCAGTGGTGTGATCTAGGCTCACTGCAACCTCCACCTCCTGAGTTCAAGCGATTCTCCTGTCTCAGCCTCCCGAGTGGCTGGGATTATGAGGGCACCACCACGCCCAGCTAATTTTTGTATTTTTAGTAGAGATGGGGTTTCACGGTTTCACTATGTTGGCCAGGCTGGTCTCAAACTCCTGACCTCAGGTGATCCGCCCGCCTCGGCCTCCCAAAGTGCTGGGATTACATACGTGAGCCACCGTGACCAGCTCTCTGCCTGGCTAATGTTTTAATTTTGTGTACAGATGGGGTCTCCTTATGTTGCTCAGGCTGGTCTCAAACTCCTTCAGGGCTCAAACGATCCTTCAGCCCCAGCCTCCCCAAGTACTGGGATTACAGGAGTGAACATCTCGCCCAGCCTATTTTTTATTTTTTATTGTGGTAAAATACATACAAATTGTACCATCTTAACCATTTTTAAGTGTAGAGTTTGGTAGTGAGTTCAATCACAGCGGTGTTCAACCAATTTCCAGAATTCTGTTCATCTCGCAAAACTGAAACTGTATACTCATTAAGTAACTCCCGTTTTCCCCTCCCTTTATCGCCTGGTAACAACCATTTTTTTTTCTCATTTTTTAGAGACAGGGTCTCGTTTTGTCACGCAGGCTGCACTGCAGTGGTGTAATCATGGCTCACTGCAGTCTTGACCTCCCAGGCTCATAGGATCCTTTTGTCTCAGCCTCCCAAGTAGCTTGGACCACAGGTGAATGCCACCACACCCAGCTAATTTTTTATTTTTTTGTAGAGACCAGGTCTCCCTGTTGCCCAAGCTAGTTTCTCACTCCTGAGCTCAAGGAAACCTCCTCCCACCTCCAAGTCACCAAGTGTTAGGATTATAGGCTTGAGCCAAGGCGCCCGACCTCTTTTTTCTATCTCTATGAATTTGACTACTCTTGTAACTTCATATAAGTGGAATTATACAGTATTTATCCTTTTGTGACTTTGCTTATGTCACTTAGCTTATGTGCACAGGTTTCATCCATGTTGTAACATGTCACAATTTCCTTCCTAAGGCTGAGTAATATTCATATTTATATACCACTGTTTTTGATTTTGTTTTGAGACAGAGTCTCACTCTGTTACCCAGGCTGGAGTGCAGTGGCATGATCTTGGCTCACTGCAACCTCCACCTCCTGGGTTCAAGCTAATTCTCCAGCCTCAGCCTCCCGAGGAGCTGGGACTACAGGCGTGCACTGCCACGCCCAGATAATTTTTGTATTTTTAGTAAAAACAGAGTTTCACCATGTTGACCAGGATGGTCTCAAACTCCTAACCTTAAGTGATCCGCCCGCCTCGGTCTCCCTAAGTTCTGGGATGGCAGGCATGAGCCACCACCGCACCCGGCCTATATACATTTTGCTTATCTATCTCTCGATGGATACAGATTACAGAATTTACAGAATAATGTTGCTATGAGCAAGCCTATACAAATACATGGAGACGCTACTGTCATGGCAGACTGCTTTTTGGACAGGGTAGACAAAAGTATTCTCAGCTACTCAAAGAAGTTGGGAAGCAAGTAGCTGTATATTGTTTTCAATTTCCCAAGTGACCTAATTCTACTGTCCTGTTCCTATATATTTTACTGTGGGATTCTGTCTCTTTATGACCCAAGAGTAGTGTACATTCTGGTCTCTTCAAGAGACATCAGCCTCCACACTTGAGTTCTGCTGCCTTCCTGGGATAATATTCTCTATTAGGGGTTCACCGGCAGTAAATTCCAGTCAGGCTGAAGATGACTGCTAGAAAACCACAAGCCTTCCAGTTTTCTCAAACGACATGGCACTCCAGACAGTATCTGTATCCTTCTCCTAAATAAAACTCCTGTTTTCTGGAGCCAATAACTGATCAATAAAGGGTTTAAGGGCGGGGGGCGGTGGCTCACGCCTGTAATCCCAGCACTTTGAGAGGCCGAGGCGGGCGGATCACGGGGTCAGGAGAACGAGACCATCCTGGCTACCATCCTGGCTAACACGGTGAAACCTCGTCTCTACTAAAAAATAGAAAAAATTAGCTGGGCGTGGTGGCGGGCGCCAGTAGTTCCAGCTACTCGGATGGCTGAGGCAGGAGAATAGCTTGAACCCGGGAGGTGGAGCAATTAGCCGGGCGCGGTGGCGGGCGCCTGCAGTCCCTGCTACTCGGAAGGCTGAGGCAGGAGAATGGCCTGAACTCGGGAGGCAGAGCTTGCAGTGAGCCAAGATCGTGCCACTGCACTCCACCCTGGGCGACAGAGCGAGACTCCGTCTCAAAAAAAAAAAAAAAATTAAAAATAAATAAATAAAAATAAAATAAAGGGTTTAGTGTCTATCCCTCTCCACACCGCAGATTCCTAGGCCGCACTCCCTTTCCCCCGCTTCCCAGTTACCCCGCCTCCCCCTTACCCCGCCTTCCCCGCCTCCCCATTTCCCCGACAGGCCGCACTCCCTTCCCCCGCCTCCCCCATTCTGGCTGCTCCGACCAATCAATCTGAAGCCATCTTAGCTTTCCCCAAGTGCTCCTCCTACCCGGATCAGCCAACGCCCACATACCTCAGGCTTAAACCAACTAGGGAACTTTCCAGTACTTTCCCAAACAAGGACCTACTGAGCCTTTCAGGTTCACAATCAATCAGATCCCTACTGGCTCACCTAGTCTCCCGACGCCTTCGCTTCAGTTTGGAAACGTCCAGATTACGCAGCCCCAGCGAGTAGGTGGGGGCTCCCTCAATATCAAACTGCACAACCGGGGTCCCCCCACCCCCCACCCCGTCCCTCCCTGCAAATTTGAGACGGCTCCAACTCAGTAATCTTTTTCCAAACTGGCCCATGAGGTCAGAGACAGTATCTCCATTGTAACGTGGCCGGGCGGTGTCAACACAAACGCCCCCACCCTCCCCTGGACGCGCGTAACCCGCTCCCCGCACCAGCCCCCTGCCCACAACTGCGCAGGCCCAGCAAGCCCCCACAATTAAAAGCCCAGCGCCGACCCTTCCTGTCAATTAGGCGCTGAAGCGCAGGCGGTCAGCATCGCCATGGAGACCAACACCCTTCCCACCGCCACTCCCCCTTCCTCTCAGGGTCCCTGTCCCCTCCAGTGAATCCCAGAAGACTCTGGAGAGTTCTGAGCAGGGGGCGGCACTCTGGCCTCTGATTGGTCCAAGGAAGGCTGGGGGGCAGGACGGGAGGCGAAAACCCTGGAATATTCCCGACCTGGCAGCCTCATCGAGCTCGGTGATTGGCTCAGAAGGGAAAAGGCGGGTCTCCGTGACGACTTATAAAAGCCCAGGGGCAAGCGGTCCGGATAACGGCTAGCCTGAGGAGCTGCTGCGACAGTCCACTACCTTTTTCGAGAGTGACTCCCGTTGTCCCAAGGCTTCCCAGAGCGAACCTGTGCGGCTGCAGGCACCGGCGCGTCGAGTTTCCGGCGTCCGGAAGGACCGAGCTCTTCTCGCGGATCCAGTGTTCCGTTTCCAGCCCCCAATCTCAGAGCGGAGCCGACAGAGAGCAGGGAACCGGCATGGCCAAAGCCGCGGCGATCGGCATCGACCTGGGCACCACCTACTCCTGCGTGGGGGTGTTCCAACACGGCAAGGTGGAGATCATCGCCAACGACCAGGGCAACCGCACCACCCCCAGCTACGTGGCCTTCACGGACACCGAGCGGCTCATCGGGGATGCGGCCAAGAACCAGGTGGCGCTGAACCCGCAGAACACCGTGTTTGACGCGAAGCGGCTGATTGGCCGCAAGTTCGGCGACCCGGTGGTGCAGTCGGACATGAAGCACTGGCCTTTCCAGGTGATCAACGACGGAGACAAGCCCAAGGTGCAGGTGAGCTACAAGGGGGAGACCAAGGCATTCTACCCCGAGGAGATCTCGTCCATGGTGCTGACCAAGATGAAGGAGATCGCCGAGGCGTACCTGGGCTACCCGGTGACCAACGCGGTGATCACCGTGCCGGCCTACTTCAACGACTCGCAGCGCCAGGCCACCAAGGATGCGGGTGTGATCGCGGGGCTCAACGTGCTGCGGATCATCAACGAGCCCACGGCCGCCGCCATCGCCTACGGCCTGGACAGAACGGGCAAGGGGGAGCGCAACGTGCTCATCTTTGACCTGGGCGGGGGCACCTTCGACGTGTCCATCCTGACGATCGACGACGGCATCTTCGAGGTGAAGGCCACGGCCGGGGACACCCACCTGGGTGGGGAGGACTTTGACAACAGGCTGGTGAACCACTTCGTGGAGGAGTTCAAGAGAAAACACAAGAAGGACATCAGCCAGAACAAGCGAGCCGTGAGGCGGCTGCGCACCGCCTGCGAGAGGGCCAAGAGGACCCTGTCGTCCAGCACCCAGGCCAGCCTGGAGATCGACTCCCTGTTTGAGGGCATCGACTTCTACACGTCCATCACCAGGGCGAGGTTCGAGGAGCTGTGCTCCGACCTGTTCCGAAGCACCCTGGAGCCCGTGGAGAAGGCTCTGCGCGACGCCAAGCTGGACAAGGCCCAGATTCACGACCTGGTCCTGGTCGGGGGCTCCACCCGCATCCCCAAGGTGCAGAAGCTGCTGCAGGACTTCTTCAACGGGCGCGACCTGAACAAGAGCATCAACCCCGACGAGGCTGTGGCCTACGGGGCGGCGGTGCAGGCGGCCATCCTGATGGGGGACAAGTCCGAGAACGTGCAGGACCTGCTGCTGCTGGACGTGGCTCCCCTGTCGCTGGGGCTGGAGACGGCCGGAGGCGTGATGACTGCCCTGATCAAGCGCAACTCCACCATCCCCACCAAGCAGACGCAGATCTTCACCACCTACTCCGACAACCAACCCGGGGTGCTGATCCAGGTGTACGAGGGCGAGAGGGCCATGACGAAAGACAACAATCTGTTGGGGCGCTTCGAGCTGAGCGGCATCCCTCCGGCCCCCAGGGGCGTGCCCCAGATCGAGGTGACCTTCGACATCGATGCCAACGGCATCCTGAACGTCACGGCCACGGACAAGAGCACCGGCAAGGCCAACAAGATCACCATCACCAACGACAAGGGCCGCCTGAGCAAGGAGGAGATCGAGCGCATGGTGCAGGAGGCGGAGAAGTACAAAGCGGAGGACGAGGTGCAGCGCGAGAGGGTGTCAGCCAAGAACGCCCTGGAGTCCTACGCCTTCAACATGAAGAGCGCCGTGGAGGATGAGGGGCTCAAGGGCAAGATCAGCGAGGCGGACAAGAAGAAGGTGCTGGACAAGTGTCAAGAGGTCATCTCGTGGCTGGACGCCAACACCTTGGCCGAGAAGGACGAGTTTGAGCACAAGAGGAAGGAGCTGGAGCAGGTGTGTAACCCCATCATCAGCGGACTGTACCAGGGTGCCGGTGGTCCCGGGCCTGGGGGCTTCGGGGCTCAGGGTCCCAAGGGAGGGTCTGGGTCAGGCCCCACCATTGAGGAGGTAGATTAGGGGCCTTTCCAAGATTGCTGTTTTTGTTTTGGAGCTTCAAGACTTTGCATTTCCTAGTATTTCTGTTTGTCAGTTCTCAATTTCCTGTGTTTGCAATGTTGAAATTTTTTGGTGAAGTACTGAACTTGCTTTTTTTCCGGTTTCTACATGCAGAGATGAATTTATACTGCCATCTTACGACTATTTCTTCTTTTTAATACACTTAACTCAGGCCATTTTTTAAGTTGGTTACTTCAAAGTAAATAAACTTTAAAATTCAAGTGATGCCTTTTATTCCTTTATTTGGGGGTCAGTAGGGTCTGCATAGGTTGTTTTTCCCATAGCGTCTAAAATGGAATGGCATTTTTGCTTCCAGTAAGGGCAGATTTTGCAGAGGTGTGACTATTGTAATGTGATCCATTTGTGTTAGACAAATGGTATCCTCCAGTAAAGCTTCTTGATTCTGGCCAGGAGTGGTGGCTCAAGCCTGTAATCCCAGCACTTTGGGAGGCTGAGGTGGGCGGATCACTTGAGGTCAGGAGTTCCAGACCAACCTGGCCAATGTGGTGAAACCCTGTCTCTACTAAAAACACAAAAATTAGCTGGGCGTGGTGGTGCGTGCCTGTAGTCCCAGGGAGGCTGAGGCAGGAGAATCGTGTGAACCCAGGAAGCAGTGGTAGCAGTGAGCCGAGATCACGCCATTGCACTCTAGCCTGGGCATCACAGCAAGACTCCGTCTCACACACACACACAAAAAAGTAAAGTTTGTTGATGCTGATTGGGTTTAGCCTGAGGGTACAGAAAAAGTTTAACACCTGGGAGGGTAGCCTTAAAGTGATGTTTGTGTAAGATTGGTCTCAAAAGAGGTGGGAGGGGGGCGGGGATGTTTCTGCAAAAGTGGTCAAAAAGAATGCAGTTAGATGGGAGGCCAGCGCTCCTACCTCCTGTAGGTACACCTGATATGCTCATGGACTTGATACTTAATCTAGATTCAACATGGAATGGAAGGAGTGTCCTAAATTTCAAAGTGAAAAAACGGGTACATTCACTGGCTTGCTGAGTTATACACATGTGCTTTAGTTGTCATCTTTTAAAATGGAAGGGTTTGGCTCGATGCCTCTCTCATGACTGAAAGCATACTGAAATAGAAATGTCACATTCTTAGCAGTTATCACCTACAATTTAAGTACGCCAGTGAGCACCCGGGCCAGGAAGACCTACAGACTTCACTCCCATGCACTTTCCCTTGGAGATGCTTCATGCCCCAGCCGCTAGCATCCTAGAAGTAATTCCCTCCTCCTTGGAAAACGCCCACTACAATCCTTAAAGCTCCCGGAGTGAGCCCTTTTAAAAATGAATTGTATCTGGCCGGGCGTGCTGGCTCATGCCTGTAATCCCAGCACTTTGGGAGGCTGAGGCAGGCGGATCACCTGAGGTCAGGAGTTCGAGACCAGCCTGGCCAACATGGTGAGGACCCCCCCCACCACCCACCTCCTGCACTAAAAGTACAAAAATCAGCCAGGCGCGATGGTGTGCGCCTGTAATCCCAGCTATTCGGGAGGCTGAGGCAGGCGAATCGTTTGAACTCAAAGGCAGAGGTTTCAGTGAGCCGAGATTGCGCCACTGCACTCCAGCCTAGGTGACAGAGCGAGACTCCATCTCAAAAAATAAAAATTGTGTCGGCCAGGCGCAGTGGCTCATGCCTGTAATCCCAGCACTTTGGGAGGCCGAGGTGGGTGGATCACCTGAGGTCAGGAGTTCAAGACCAGCCTGGCCAACAGGGTGAAACCCCATCTCTACTAAAAATACAAAAAATTAGCTGGGCGTGGTGGCGGGCACCTATAATCCCAGCAACTTGGGAGGCTGAGGCAGAAGAATCGGTTGAACCCAGGAGGTGGATGTTGCAGTGAGCCAAGATCGTGCCATTGCACTCCAGCCTGAACAATGAGTGAAATTCTGTCTCAGTGAATAAATAAATAAATAGTATCTAAGGGCGATGAAAATGTTTTGGAACCAGAGTTGACGGTTGCATAACATTGTAAAGGTCAAGGCTGCAGTGAGCCATGACTGTACCACTGCACTCCAGCCTGAGCAACAGAGTGAGACCCTGTCTCTAAAAAAAAAAAAAAGAAAAAAAAATCAATTGTATCAATATTACATTAAAGCACTTTATGAGCTTATGTGTACCTCAAAGCCCATCAAACCATTCACTAAATACTTGTTAATGAAGAAAATCCAGTGTTATGGGAAATGATACATAAAGGTAGACCTTGCTTTGGAAGTTTGAAAATAGAAAATAAATATGAAATGCTTAGGTTTCCAGGCCAGTCTACAGAGGAACATTTATCTCTTATGGTAGTTAAACTGTAGTACTGTGGACTCTGGCCACAATGTAAATCAATCTTCATGGGAATATGCCTTTGCTATAGGACCTCCTCTCCCCTTCAGAGCTGCAGTAGCATTTGTGACTCTGATCTGCAGACCCTGTAGTGACTCTAAACCAGGAGCAACTACCACTACTGTGGCATGGAGTGGGGAAAAAGGTAATTGGAAAAGGGTGGAGATGGGGAAGGACCTACCAAATGCCTTTGTTGACACAGTAGAGAAGTCATCAGACATAACATTGAATGGAGGCAATAAGAGAGTTCCTATGGCCCTATCAAGCTTATTAGTAGGTGTTTTAACAAGAAATATGTAAAAATTATTACTTGTCGGCCGGGCGTGGTGGCTCATGCCTGTAATCCCAGCACTCTGGGAGGCCGAGGCGGGTGGCTCACTAGGTCAGGAGTTCAAGACAAGCCTGGCCAAGATGGTGAAACCCCACCTCTACTAAAAATACAAAAATTAGCTAGGCGTGGTGGTGGGCGCCTGTAATCCCAGCTACTCAGGAGGCTGAGGCAGGAGACTCACTTGAACCCGGGAGGTGGAGGTTGCAGTGAGCCGAGATCGTGCCACTGCACTGCAGCCTGGGCGACAGAGCAAGACTCCGTCTCCAAAAAAAAAAAAAAAAAAAAAATTGTTTGCCTGCATACCCTAGCACAGAGTACTGTACCTTGAAATATTCACTTTGTAACCTCAAGAAAAGACGTTGAGGGAGCTGTGGAATTAGCAAAGAGAATGCAGTGCCACCCATAAACGGAGTGATGTTTTGAGGAGCAGAGGAACTTTGAGGGAGGAAAGTGCAACAGGAAAAATAACTGCAGGTGTGGAAAAACAAATATAAATATCTTCTCAATTCCAATCACCTCCTACCTTCCTATACCAGGCCTCAGAAGGCAGCAGGCTATGATAATAAATTTGATTTTATATGGCTTTGAACCCAGGATTTTATTTTATAACATATACACTTACTGTTATTCCTGGTCTTCAAGAGTTCTTGTCATCCTCAAAAAGACAAAAAAGGTACCAAAACAAAAAATTAACTACAGTATTTTATAGATGTGAGAGAAGTGGGCAGAAATAATACGGCTTTAGGCTAAAAAAGGAAATGAGGTTATTTCTTGGGGGAGCCAATATTGGCGATTTCTGAGGGAGCGATCCTTACGTGAATATAAAAAATTGTGACAGCCACCATTCCTCCTGCTAACTGATCTAAATCCATCCCCTTGGGAAACGCCCCTGAGGTATCTATCAGGTGTAGTTCAGCCAGAGGGAGTAAACCCACCGGGCCCTCGTCCTTTCCTAGCACCACCATTTAAAGGGATGTTTGAGGGGTAGGGCAGCGGAGCATTCCAGACACGGAGTTAAACCCGCCCCACCCCGCTGGCCCACGTCCAGCCCGATCAAGAATTGGAGGAGAGAGGAGCAGGGCGTGGTGGCGCGGGCCTGGAGTCCCAGCTACCCGGGAGGCTGGGGCGGGAGGATCGCTTGAGGCTGCAGTGAGCCGTGATTGCGCCACTGCACTCCAGTCTGGGCGACAAAGCGAGACCCTGCCTCAAAAAAAAGTGAAAAAAAAAAAAATTAGAAGGGAGGGCACCAGAGGAGGGCTGGAGCAGGTTCACAGGCTGGGACTACGGAGGAGCCCAGCAACCGAGAATCACTCCTGAGGGTCTAATTTTCTTACTCTCCTGATGCCTCACGGGGCGAGGGACTAGAACGGGGCGCTGAGCTGGCTGTAGGCAAAAGCCAACCGACTCCATCCCCTACTCTCCCATCAGTCGCGCGTCCCCGCGCAGACGGGTGCGCGCTGGCCGTGGGCGGTGGGGACCTTCTCTTCTCGCCTCTGGCCACCCAATGCATCTGATTTAGTTGTATGAAAGTTACAAAATTCTCCAATATTTTCGTCTTGTAAATCACCTAGTATGAGAGAAACTCGAAAGGTCCTTTCTTTCCTCCTTTAATCCCTTTTTGGAAAAAAAAAAACATCAGAAAACGCAGGAGTCGGATAGGCAGCCCCGAAGCCAGCCCCGCCCTCAGGCCCCAGCGGCCCCGCCTTTTCTCCCCCCGCCCCCCCCCCGCACTCCCCACCTTTCCTCCCCTTTGGCTGAGGCTTTTTCCCCCGTCGCTGGCTCTGCCCGAAGTTTCTAGAGTTTTCTGACCTTCAAGGCGAGAACTGCTGTGTCATTCTTAGGGACACTCCCCAACAAACTGCGCCACCCGAGTCTCTCCCTCCTCTCGCCAGCCGGCCCTAAAACATCAAGGTTAGTCAGGACTCTATATTTAACGTCCGGAAGATTCTGTGAACTATATGCCAACCTTGCCCTAGTAACGGGGCTCCCCCCTCCTTTCCCCTCTTTCTGCTTGAGCAATCTGTTCTATCGGAAAGGAGAGGCAGGGCTGGGAGAGCTGGAAGGTGGGGAAGGCAAGAGCTTGTAGGGGCCATGGTCTTGAGTCCGAAGAGCAGAGCAGCAGCCAGGACGGGAGTCCCTGGCTGATCACATACCCGTGGTGCCCTTAATGCTCGCAGAGGCCAACACTGTATTCATTTGTTTTCCTCTTTAGAGAATAAAACAATTAGGTCTAACCACAAAATTAAAAGCAAACAAAACCCAGTTAGGTTGATGAGCCAATGTGGGAAGGAGTACAAAATGAGTGTCAGAACCCGTGGGTCCAATCACCGGTTCTGTAACCTGTCATCTGGGTAACCAGATCAAGCCACTGAACTTCTTTGATCCTTGGTGCTGTCTTTGAAAATGAAAAGGTTTGACTGAATGGCCTGTGCCCGCAGATCTTAGGACAGTTTTTACATTAAGCTGAAAGCAGCTGTAGTCCTAATAATGGTCCCCAACTTTTAAACACCTAAATAAGAATGACTACGAGTCATATCCGAGAGTATGGGATCCCCAATAAAAGGAGGGAGAAGATCATATTCTCTTTGATCATGTAGGGAAAAAAAATTTTTTTATTCGAGACAGGATCTCTGTCTCCCAGGCTGGAATGCAGTGGCGTGATCATAGCTCACTGCAGCCTTGACCTCTTGTGCTCAAGCGATCCTCCTGCCTCAGCCTCCCAAGTAGCTGGGACTACAGGCACCTGCCACCACGCCCAGCTAACTTGTAAAGTTTTTAGTAGAGATGGTGTCCCACTATGTTGCCCAGGCTGATCTTGGACTTCTGAGTTCAAGTGCCTGCCTTGGCTTCCTAAAGCACTGGGATTACCGACCTGAGTCACCACACGCAGTTCAGTTATTGTTAATTATGTTTTAGAGATGAACACGTCGAAACTTGTGTTATTTAGTCAATGTACAAGTACTTCCTTGTTGAAAAGAAAAACAGCCTCACCAAAGAAGTAGAGCGCAGATGCAAATCCAGGATTTTCCCTTCCCAGATTTTTTCTTTCCATGCTGCTAGAAATGGCCAGGGTTCTCTTTGTCATTGAAGCATTTGTCATTCATTCAGTTAAGAATGCCTGCCTCTAGATTTCATATCAATTAACTCTTTTGCTTTCATTTAAGTTCATTTGGATAAACTTAAAATTATAACAGCTTTTTTTTTTAATTTATTATTTTTTTGAGACAGAGTCTTGCTCTGTCACCCAGACTGGAGTGTAGTGGTGCGATCTCAGCTCACTGCAACCTCCACCTCCCAGGTTCAAGTGATTCTCCTGCCTCAGCTCCTGAGTAGCTGGGATTACAGATGTGCACCACCACGTCCGGCTAATTTTTGTGTTTTTAGGAGAGAAGGGGTTTTGCCATGTTTGCCGGGCTGGTCTTGAACTCCTGATCTCAGGTGATCCACCCATCTCGGCCTCCCAAAGTGCTGGGATTACATGCATGAGCCATCGCGCCCGGCCTATACCATCTTTTAAAATGAACAAAATTAAGAAAACTACTGTTTGAGGAACTATAAAAAGGAGAGGGAGAAGGAAGGAAAAGACCCTGCAGCGTCAGCCTGAAGAAGGCTGTCTTACCCCACACTGCTGTAGCAATTATGTTCTTGGCACTCCCTCTTCAGTTCTCTTGTCCCTTTGAAAGCATCTAACCTGGCTTTCACTTTGGGGACTCTGAGCTCTGATCCTTCCAAACACAGAATCCAATAAAAACCTAATTCTGAAATTAATCACATTAAAGTTCTGAAAAATCTCCTGGGGTTCTTATATATTCACCTTAGACAGCAATTAAACTTGTGACTGGATTTCTGCCTTGGGAAGCATCCAGTCTGAAAGGAAAGAAAAGGCCGGCGTGGTGCTTCATGCCTGTAATTCCAGCACTTTGGGCGGCCCAGACGGGCGGATCACTTGAGGTCAGGAGTTCGAGACCAGACTGGCCAACATGACGAAACCCCCTCTCTACTAAAAATACAAAAATTAGCCAGGCGTGGTGGTGTGCACCTGTAATCCCAGCCACTCAGGAGGCTGAGGCAGGAGAATCGCTTGAACCTGGGAGGTGGAGGTTGCAGTGAGCCAAGACTGTGCCATTGCACTCCAGCCTGGGCGACAGAGCAAGACTCTGTCTCAAAAAAAAAAAAAAGAAAAAAAAAAGAAAATTCAGGTGACCCTCTCCTTGTCAGGAAATGGACAAGGAATATGTATGTGTGGGTTTCCAGTCTAGTCCACAGAGGCTTCACTTAAAAGCTAGGTCAACTATAGCACTGTAGACTCTGACTAGTGTGACTGATTGAAGAAAAACAGCATTTATATTGGATTTTTCTGCTATCCAGAGAGCACCCAAGATTTGGGGTCCCAACACCACATCTACTTGCTAGGCAGTTGAGACAGTGATGCCCTTTGCTTCATGCCAATAGAGAGGTTTTTTCTCCCCCTCTCCCACCCCCCACTCCCCACTTTTTATGTTTCTCAGCAGAATCAGAGAAGTATTTTATTTTTGAGAAGGAGTTTCGCTCTTGTTGCCCAGGCTGGAGTGCAGTGGCGCGATCTCGGCTCACCGCAACCTCCGCCTCCTGGGTTCAAATGATTCTCCTGCCTCAGACTCCCAAGTAGCTGGGATTACAGGCATGCGCCACCATGCCCAGGTAATTTTTTTTTTTTTTTTTTTTGGTATTTTTAGTAGAGACCGGCTTTCTCCATGTTGGTCAGGCTGGTCTCGAATTTCTGACCTCAGGTGATCTGCTGCTTCGGCCTCCCAAAGTGCTGGGATTACAGGTGTGAGCCACTGTGCTGGCCTTTTAAATTGTGGATTTGGAAGGAGGGAAGGAATGAATCCAGACCTGCCAGTAGTAGCAGTTGATGGTGAGGAAGTTTCCAGAGGGAGGGGTGAGGTTAAGGGTCTCTGGAAGTGTTGATACACTGTGCAGCTAAGATGAACATAGTTTGGGAGAATCTCCAGCCAGACATTTCATAGAGAAATGTTTGGGAAAATTCCTGAAGTTTGACCGGTTTGACTAGTTTAGAGAGGTGATTCATTAGGGAGCTAAAGCTGAATGTGAAAGTTATCACCTACCTGCACATACAGACACACACATATTGTTAAAGCAATTTATTTGCAACATGAGTTTAGATCAGTGAATTATAAACAAATGAATACCCTTAAATTCCAGGAAGAGGTGTTTTGATAGTGGACAGGTGTGTGTGTGCAGGTGTGCATATGAAAAGTGCCAATTGAGCAAAGTGTTTAAAAACAGGATTATTCCTTCATCAGTAACTTCTTCCTTTCATTTGTGCTCAAGGAATATCGCCATGGCAATGAGGCTATTTTTTTTTTCTTTTCTTTTTTTTTTTTGTGGTAGGTTGTAAACACAGTACTATTGCTTCAACCCCCTCACATTTTCCTTTCAGACGCCTAACAAAGGGTCTTGCATTCACACTAAGAATGAAGGAAAAAAACAAAGGGAAAGTAAATTACTAAATGCAACCGTATTTAAAACAGGAGGAAGGAGAATCCGCAGGAAGTTGGAATCTAGGATAAAAACTTAGACACATTCAGCCTGGCCAACATGGCGAAACCCTGTCTCTATTAAAAATACAAAAATTAGCCCGGCGTGGTGGCACATCCTGTAATTCCAGCTATTGGGGAGGCTGAGGCAGCAGAATTGTTTGAACCCCAGGGGCAGAGGTTGCAATGAGCAGAGATCTCACCACTGCACTCCAGCCTGGGCGACAGAGTGAGACTCAGTCTCAAAACAAACAAACAAAAACAACAGGCCGGGAATGGTGGCTCACGCCTGTAATCCCAGCACTTTGGGAGCCCGAGGTGGGCGGATCACGAGGTCAGGAGTTCGAGACCAGCCTGACCAACATGGGCGGATCACGAGGTCAGGAGTTCGAGACCAGCCTGACCAACATGGGGAAACCCTGTCTCTACTAAAAATACAAAAATTAGCCAGGCGTGGTGGCGCACGCCTGTAATCCTAGCTACTCAGGAGGCTGAGGTAGGAGAATTGCTTAAACCCGGGAGGCGGAGGTTGCAGTGAGCCGAGATCACGCCACTGCACTCCAGCTTGGGCGACAGAGCGAGACTGTCTCAAAACGAAAACAACAAACTTAAGACACATAACCTGAGGTGTTAAGAGGAGCTAGTAACTAGAACCTGGGTCCCAACCCCTCCTGCTTTCCAGCATCACTCCACACAGTTTGCTTAAAGAGGGCCACCTGCCAAACAGCTGTAGTATGTGATGTTAAAGAGAGCTAAACACCCCCCGCACCTCCCTCCCAGGGTCACCATCTTGTTAAATTTGACCTAAAAACGGTAACAGCCTAGGGGTTTCAGGGACAGACAGAAAATCTTACTCGGGACTGTGAGGTCCTACTTCTACACACCGTCCAGGAGTGAACCAGGAATTGAGAAAGTAGGAAGGAGGTGTCCCAGACCCCAAGCTAGGAATGGGGAGGGAAATGGAGGAATCCCAAATGCCTTAAGGACGGCCTACATACTAAGGAAAATTTTTTTCTAACTCCTGGTTGCAGCTGAGGGGAGCGGCTGAGGGCGGGGACAGGGGTGCGGCGGACCCACTGCTCCCATTACCCGACCAGCGCCTCCCTTCCTCCTTGGATGGGTGCCCCTGTCTTGCTAAGAACTGCCTGTTTACACAACTGCTTTCCTTGTGAAAATTTAAAGGCTCCTATTCCCAGTTGTTCTATCCTTGTAGGTTAAAGATTATGTCAAAAACTATATTGCATTATCTCTTTCCTTCTCCTTCCCATTAAGACGGAAAAAACATCCGGGAGAGCCGGTCCGTTTCTCAGGCAGACTAGGCCATTAGGTGCCTCGGAGAAAGGACCCAAGGCTGCTCCGTCCTTCACAGACACAGTCCAATCAGAGTTTCCCAGGCACATCGATGCACCGCCTCCTTCGAGAAACAAGGTAACTTTCGGGTTCTGGTTGTCTCCAAAGTCATCCGACCAATCTCGCACCGCCCAGAGCGGGCCCTTCCTGTCAATTACCTACTGAAGGGCAGGCGGCCAGCATCGCCATGGAGACCAACACCCTTCCCACCACCACTCCCCCTTTCTCTCAGGGCCCCTGTCCCCTCCAGTGAATCCCAGAAGACTCTGGAGAGTTCTGAGCAGAGGGCGGCACCCTGCCCTCTGATTGGTCCAAGGAAGGCTGGGGGGCAGGACGGGAGGCGAAACCCCTGGAATATTCCCGACCTGGCAGCCTCATCGAGCTTGGTGATTGGCTCAGAAGGGGAAAGGCGGGTCTCCACGACGACTTATAAAAGCCGAGGGGCGCGCGGTCCGGAAAACGGCCAGCCTGAGGAGCTGCTGCGAGGGTCCGCTTCGTCTTTCGAGAGTGACTCCCGCGGTCCCAAGGCTTTCCAGAGCGAACCTGTGCGGCTGCAGGCACCGGCGTGTTGAGTTTCCGGCGTTCCGAAGGACTGAGCTCTTGTCGCGGATCCCGTCCGCCGTTTCCAGCCCCCAGTCTCAGAGCGGAGCCCACAGAGCAGGGCACCGGCATGGCCAAAGCCGCGGCGATCGGCATCGACCTGGGCACCACCTACTCCTGCGTGGGGGTGTTCCAACACGGCAAGGTGGAGATCATCGCCAACGACCAGGGCAACCGCACCACCCCCAGCTACGTGGCCTTCACGGACACCGAGCGGCTCATCGGGGATGCGGCCAAGAACCAGGTGGCGCTGAACCCGCAGAACACCGTGTTTGACGCGAAGCGGCTGATTGGCCGCAAGTTCGGCGACCCGGTGGTGCAGTCGGACATGAAGCACTGGCCTTTCCAGGTGATCAACGACGGAGACAAGCCCAAGGTGCAGGTGAGCTACAAGGGGGAGACCAAGGCATTCTACCCCGAGGAGATCTCGTCCATGGTGCTGACCAAGATGAAGGAGATCGCCGAGGCGTACCTGGGCTACCCGGTGACCAACGCGGTGATCACCGTGCCGGCCTACTTCAACGACTCGCAGCGCCAGGCCACCAAGGATGCGGGTGTGATCGCGGGGCTCAACGTGCTGCGGATCATCAACGAGCCCACGGCCGCCGCCATCGCCTACGGCCTGGACAGAACGGGCAAGGGGGAGCGCAACGTGCTCATCTTTGACCTGGGCGGGGGCACCTTCGACGTGTCCATCCTGACGATCGACGACGGCATCTTCGAGGTGAAGGCCACGGCCGGGGACACCCACCTGGGTGGGGAGGACTTTGACAACAGGCTGGTGAACCACTTCGTGGAGGAGTTCAAGAGAAAACACAAGAAGGACATCAGCCAGAACAAGCGAGCCGTGAGGCGGCTGCGCACCGCCTGCGAGAGGGCCAAGAGGACCCTGTCGTCCAGCACCCAGGCCAGCCTGGAGATCGACTCCCTGTTTGAGGGCATCGACTTCTACACGTCCATCACCAGGGCGAGGTTCGAGGAGCTGTGCTCCGACCTGTTCCGAAGCACCCTGGAGCCCGTGGAGAAGGCTCTGCGCGACGCCAAGCTGGACAAGGCCCAGATTCACGACCTGGTCCTGGTCGGGGGCTCCACCCGCATCCCCAAGGTGCAGAAGCTGCTGCAGGACTTCTTCAACGGGCGCGACCTGAACAAGAGCATCAACCCCGACGAGGCTGTGGCCTACGGGGCGGCGGTGCAGGCGGCCATCCTGATGGGGGACAAGTCCGAGAACGTGCAGGACCTGCTGCTGCTGGACGTGGCTCCCCTGTCGCTGGGGCTGGAGACGGCCGGAGGCGTGATGACTGCCCTGATCAAGCGCAACTCCACCATCCCCACCAAGCAGACGCAGATCTTCACCACCTACTCCGACAACCAACCCGGGGTGCTGATCCAGGTGTACGAGGGCGAGAGGGCCATGACGAAAGACAACAATCTGTTGGGGCGCTTCGAGCTGAGCGGCATCCCTCCGGCCCCCAGGGGCGTGCCCCAGATCGAGGTGACCTTCGACATCGATGCCAACGGCATCCTGAACGTCACGGCCACGGACAAGAGCACCGGCAAGGCCAACAAGATCACCATCACCAACGACAAGGGCCGCCTGAGCAAGGAGGAGATCGAGCGCATGGTGCAGGAGGCGGAGAAGTACAAAGCGGAGGACGAGGTGCAGCGCGAGAGGGTGTCAGCCAAGAACGCCCTGGAGTCCTACGCCTTCAACATGAAGAGCGCCGTGGAGGATGAGGGGCTCAAGGGCAAGATCAGCGAGGCGGACAAGAAGAAGGTTCTGGACAAGTGTCAAGAGGTCATCTCGTGGCTGGACGCCAACACCTTGGCCGAGAAGGACGAGTTTGAGCACAAGAGGAAGGAGCTGGAGCAGGTGTGTAACCCCATCATCAGCGGACTGTACCAGGGTGCCGGTGGTCCCGGGCCTGGCGGCTTCGGGGCTCAGGGTCCCAAGGGAGGGTCTGGGTCAGGCCCTACCATTGAGGAGGTGGATTAGGGGCCTTTGTTCTTTAGTATGTTTGTCTTTGAGGTGGACTGTTGGGACTCAAGGACTTTGCTGCTGTTTTCCTATGTCATTTCTGCTTCAGCTCTTTGCTGCTTCACTTCTTTGTAAAGTTGTAACCTGATGGTAATTAGCTGGCTTCATTATTTTTGTAGTACAACCGATATGTTCATTAGAATTCTTTGCATTTAATGTTGATACTGTAAGGGTGTTTCGTTCCCTTTAAATGAATCAACACTGCCACCTTCTGTACGAGTTTGTTTGTTTTTTTTTTTTTTTTTTTTTTTTGCTTGGCGAAAACACTACAAAGGCTGGGAATGTATGTTTTTATAATTTGTTTATTTAAATATGAAAAATAAAATGTTAAACTTTTTCTTGTCTGTTAATATGTGAAGATAATGGATATTTGCGGAGGGATAGTGTCTGAATACCATCTATCTTTATAGTCTGAAAAGAACAGTACTGCTGAAGAGTTATACGTGTAGGAGTTAGAGCTACACATATTTTTGTTTGGGCTTAATTGTGGGCCTTAAGAGAAATTGCAGGTGCCCGTCTTGATTAGAGTGGGGCTTGTTTCAGGGAAAAGTCGGATGGCAGCTGCAAAACGGTATTGGAGGGGTGGTTGAGGTGGGTTCACTGGGGCGGGGAGGGGAGGGGTGGTGCTGAGATGGGATTATGGTGGTTTTCTCTCCCTCTTCTACTTAGTGAGCGGAGTCCACAAAAAAATGCTGACTTTTTTTTTTTTTTTTTTTGAGACGGAGTCTCACTCTCACTCTTGTCGCCCAGGCTGGAGTGCAGTGGCGCAATCTCAGCTCACGGTAACTTCCGCCTCCCGGGTTCAAGCGATTCTCCTGCCTCAGCCTCCTGAGTAACTGGGACTACAGGCGCCTGCCACCACGCCTGGCTAATTTTTTGTATTTTTGGTAGAGACAGGGTTTTACCGTGTTAGCCAGGATGGTCTCAATCTCCTGACCTCGGCTCATATTCATTTATATGTGGAATCTAAACAGTAGAACTCAGAAGCAGAGAAGTGGTGGTCACCAAGGGCTGTGGGATGGGGGAATGGGGAGACGTGCAAGGGAAACAAAGCCTTAGTCAGGAGAAATAAATTGTATTTTTTTTTTTTTGAAACGGGATATTGCTCTGTCACCCAGGCTGGAGCACAGTAGAGCTCACTGTAGTCTCAAACTCCTGGGTTCAAGCAATCCTCCCACCTTAGCCTCCTGAGTACTGGGTCTACAGGTATGTGCCATCATGCTCAGCTAATTTTTTGTATTTTGTAGAGACGAAGTCTTGCTGTGTTGCCCAGGTTGGTCTCGAACTCTTCAGCTCAAGCGATCCCCTTGTCTAGTCCTCCCAAAGTGCTGGGATTATAGGCGTGAGCCACTGTGCCCTGCCAGTTTTTGTGTTTTTTTTTGGGGGGGTGGTGGGTGGAGGGTATATATTGCATGGCATGGTGAAAATAGTTAATAGTGTATTGTATATTTCAAAATTTCAAATGTTCTTGTCACAAAAATATTTGAGGTGATATGTTAATTAGCTTGATTTAATTACTCCATATTGTGTTAATAACTACTTTGTACCAATATATGCAACTAAAGTTTGTCAATTTACAAAAAGAATTTAAAAATCAAATAAAATGGGCCAGGTGCGATGGCTCATGCCTATAATCCCAGAATTTAGGGAGGGTGAGGTGGGCGGATCACTTGAGGTCCGGAGTTCAAAACCAGCCTGGCCAACATAGCGAAAACCCATCTCTACAAAAAACAATAGAATTAGCTGGCCGGGCGTGGGGGCTCACGCCTGTAATCCCAGCACTTTGGGAGACCGAGGTGGGACGGTTGGATCACCTAAGGTCAGGAGTTCCAGACCAGCCTGGTCAACATGGTGAAACCCTGTCTCTACTAGGTGGGCACGGTGGGGCATGTCTATAATCCCAGCTACATGGAAGGCTGAGGAAGGAGAATCACTTGAACCCTGGAGGCGGAGGTTGTAGTGAGTTGAGATTGCGCCACTGTACTCCACCCTGGGTGACAGAGCAATACTTCATCTCAAAAAAACATAAATAAAACGGTTAAAGTCCTGTGTTGCACCTTTGTGTAAATCCTTACCCTCTAGGGTTTTAAAATGTTTTAAATCCTTAAAACGTTTTAAGGATTACATAATACTGGAAATCCTCCTTGAAAGTGTATAAAAGAAAAGGAATATAGTAAGTTTCTTTGGTTTTGGGGCCAAGTTTTTTTTTTTTTTTTTTTTTTTTGAGACAGAGTTTCACTTTTGTTGCCCAGGCTGGAGTACAGTGGAGCAATCTCGGCTCACTGCAACCTCTACCTCCCAGGTTCAAACGATTCTCCTGCCTCAGCCTCCCAAGTAGCTGGGATTACAGGCACCGGCCACTATGCTCAGCTAATTTTTTGTATTTTTAGTACAGACGAGGTTTCCGCCATGTTGGGCAGGCTGGTCTCGAACTCCTGACCTCAGGTGATCTGCCTGCCTTGGCCTCCCAAAGTGCTGGGATTATAGGCGTGAGCCACTATGCCCGGCCCTTGGGCCAATTCTTAAAGGCCTGTTTTATTAATGAAAGAGATGAACTAGGCCAGGCGCGGTGGCTCACACCTATAATCCCAGCACTTTGGGAGGCCGAGGCGGGCGGATCACCTGAGGTCTGGAGTTCGAGACCAGCCTGACCAACATGGAGAAACCCCATCTCTACTAAAAATACAAAATTAGCCGGGTGTGGTGGCGCATGCCTGTAATCCCAGCTACCCTGGAGGCTGAGGCAGGAGAATGGCTTGAACCTGGGAGGCGGAGGTTGCTGTGAGCCGAGATCGCGCCATTGCACTCCAGCCTGGGCAACAAGAGCGAAACTCTGTCTCAAAAAAAAAAAAAAAAAAAAAAAGAGGAACTAAAGCCTCTGACCATAGCACTTAGTAAAGGCAGCTTAACTGCCAAAACAGCAGGAATTAGGGCTTTCTGTATATATATATATTTTTTTTAAGGCAGGGTCTCACTCTGTTGCCCAGGCTAGAGTGCAGTGGTATGATCACGGTTCATGGCAGCCTCGACCTCCTGGGCTCAATTGATCCTTAGCCTCCTGATTAGCTGGGACTACACGTGTATGCCACCACCCATAGCTAATCTTTTTTTTATATACTTGCCAGGCAGTAGAGGGAACAAATACTTTAGCTTTGAGCCATGGCTCTCCACCGTAATGGAACAATAAAACGATTAAGGGATGCTAAAAAAATACAGATGCCAGGCCTCTCTCAGGCCAATTCAGAATCTCAAAGAGGGCAGTGTAGACATTTAAAGCTGCCCAGGTGTTTGTAATTTGCAGCCAATGTGGAGAAAACCACTGAACTGGGCTGGCCACGGTGGCTCACGCCTGTAATCCCAGCACTTTGGGAGGCCGAGGTGGGAGGATCACTGAGGTTCACCAGTTCAAAACCAGCCTGGGCCAACATGGTGAAAACCCCTGTCTCTACTAAAAATATATAAAATTAACTGGGTGTGGTGGCAGATGCCTGTAATCTCAGCTACTCAGGAGGCTGAGGCAAGAGAATCACTTGAACCCGGGAGGCAGAGGTTGTAGTAAGCCGAGATCATGCCACTGCACTCCAATCTGGGTAACAGAGCAAGACCCTATCTCAAAAAAAAAAAAAAAGAAAAAGAAAAAAAAAAAAAGGAAGAGGCCAGGCTCGGTGGCTCACACCTATAATCCTGGCACTTTGTGGAGGCCTAGGCAGGCAAATCACCTGAAGTCAGGAGTTCGAGACCAGCCTGGCTTACATGGTGAAACCCTGACTCTACTAAAAATATAAAAATTAGCCAGGCATGGTTGTGTGCACCTGTAATCCTTGCTACTTCGGAGGCTGAGGCAGGAAAATCGCTTGAACCGAGGAAGCGGAGGTTGCAGTGAGCCGAGATCCCGCCACTGCTCTCCAGCCTGGGCAACAGAGTCAGACTCCGTCTCAAAAAAGAAAAAGATACCAACACACACAACACACATCACCAAACATCATACGCGTTTATAAATGGGGGCGATAGGAAAGGGTCCAGAAAGGATTTGAAATGACTTATGAGTTTCAATAATTTTTTTTTTTTTGAGACAGAGTCTCGCCCTGTCGCCCAGGCTGGAGTGCAGTGGCGCAATCTCGGCTCACTGCAAGCTCGGCGTCCTGGGTTCACGCCATTTTCCTGCCTCAGCCTCCCGAGTAGCTGGGACTACAGGCGCCGCCACCACACTCTGCTAATTTTTTTTTAGTAGAGACGGGGTTTCACCGTGTTAGCCAGGATGGTCTCGATCTCCTGACCTCGTGATCCACCTGCCTCGGCCTCTCAAAGTGCTGGGATTACAGGCGTGAGCCACCGCGCCCGGCCTAATTTTTAAATAAATAGAGACGGGGGTTGGGTGTCACTATTTGCCCAGGCTGGTCCCGAACTCCGGGCCTCAAATGATCCTCTGCCTGGGCCTGTCCAAAGTGTTGAGATTACAGGCGTGACCTATTACGTCCGACCTGCCTTTTGGGTTTTTGGTTTTTGTTTTGTTTTGTTTAATTGAAGGTTAGGGTGCCTGACAGTCTGCGGGATCGAACTGGGAGGCAAATTCAGATTTCGCTGGGGGAACGGAGTGCGAAGTGTCAGGGTAGCTGGACGCTAAACTGGCGCAGCTGCGCGCGCCCGCGCGCGCGCGGGAAGAGTCCCAGGGTCATTAACGGACCATGGGCTGCTGGGAAACGGCTTAGGAGCAGCACCCGGCTGGCGCTGGCCGGCCGGCGCCGGGGACTTTCTTCCGCCTGGCCAGACAGATCCCTGTTTTTTGTTTTTCAAAATTCAGAAAGCATCTCCGAATATTTGCCCAGAGGAGTGTGAAACATACTTTCCTGGTCTTTCTTTCACTTTGTTTTATTTCTGTGTGGACAAACAATGGGGAAAATGCCGCGCGTCTAGCCAGGCAGATAAGAAAACAACTATACCCGTCAGGCCCCCAACCCGGCGCCGCCATAAATGGCCCCGGCCTCGCCATTTTAGTTCTTTTTGCGAAGTGGGCTCGTGGGTTGGCAGTATGAGAGTTGTAATGGCCCGACTGTTGAGTGAGGGGGAGCAGGGGATCCCAACGGCTTGCGCTGCCTTTGCGCAGCAGCCGGCGGGCGGCCACGTCGCGGCCTGGCTGGGGTAGGAGAGGGCGGTCCCCAGTGCAGTTGGGTGAACTACCGTTGCACACTGGAGTTTCTGGTGTCTTTGCTTGGAACTGACCTAGCTCGTGGCAGGGGGAACTCGGCTAGCGGCCCCACAGCCCCTGCTGACTCAAAACAACTGTGAGTGGGGTTGGGCGAGTGATTGCAAAATGGGGGTGGCGGTCGCCCGGGGATAGGAAGGGAGTGATGATGACCCCAGGTAACTCTTGAGTGTGTCGCTGATGCCATCACCGCAGCGCTCTGACCGCCCCCTCGGTCCAGCATTTCTCAGGCTCAACGAGTTCATGGCCAAGATTCCTAATCTTTTGTTCTGTTTCATTTCCCCGTTAGGAGTTGTAAGACGTTCATCGCCGTGTTATCCTTGAGTAAAGGTGAGTATTAGGTGCGAGAGCCTTTTGAATGCCTCTTCGGAAAGCTTTGTTCCCAAGCAAGCTTTCGTTCATGGGCATTATGCGCCTCCCTGCCCTTTTTTTTTTTTTTTTTTTTGAGACAGTCTCGCCTTGTCACCCAGGCTGAAGTGCGGTGGCACGATCTCACTGCAACCTGCGCCTTCTGGGATCAAGCGATTCTCCTGCCTCAGCCTCCCGATTAGCTGGGATTACAGGCGCATGCCACCAAGCCTGGCTAATTTTTTGTATTTTTTAATAGATAAGGGGTTTCACTGTGTTAGCCAGGATGGTCTCGATCTGCTGACCTCGTGATCCGCCCCTCTCGGCCTCCCAAAGTGCTGGGATTACAGGCGTGAGCCACCGCGCCCGGCCTTTTTTTTTTTTTTTTTTTAAGACAGCCTCCCTGTCACCCTGGCTGGAATGCAGTGGCAAGAACACAATTCAGTGCGGCCTTCAACTCCCGGGTTTAACCGATTCTCCCACCTTAGCCAATTTTTTCCTTTTTTTTTTTTTTTTTTTGAGATGGAGTCTTGATCTTGTTGCCCGGGCTGGCAATGGTACGATCTCCCTGCAACCTCTGCCTCCCGGGTTCAATCGATTGTCCTGCCTCAGCCTGCCGATTAGCTGGGACTACAGGCCCGCGCCACCACACTCGGCTAATTTTTCTGTTTTTAGTAGAAGGGGTTTCACCATGTTGGCCAGGATGGTCTCCATCTCCTGACCTCGTGAGCCGCTGTGCCCGGCCACTTTTTCTTTTTTGAGCTATAATCCATGTACCACAGGTGGTGACTTCCATTTGTTTGTTTTTGCTATTTTGTTTTTGAGACAGGGCGCAATGCCAGGATCTCCCTGCAACATCCACCGTCAGGGCTCAAGTGGTCTTTCCACCTCAGCTTCCTGGGACTGCAGGCACGTGCTACCACCACGCCTGGCTAATTTTTAGTTTTTTTACAGAAGCGGGCTTTTGCCATGTTGTCCAGGCTGGTCTCTACTCCTGGGCTCAAGCAGTCCTCCTGCCTCAGTCTCCCAAAGTGCTGGAATTACAGGGGTGAGTTGCTGCGTCTGGTGTTGGTGACTTTCTAGAGATTACTTTTTGGTTTACATCATTTTCCTTGTGACTATTTTTACTTTTTTGGGGGGCGGGGGGACAGTCTTACTCTTTTTAGTTTACATCATTTTCCTTGTGACTATTCTATTTTTACTTTTTTAGGGGGCGGGGGGACATGAGTCTCACTCATGTTGGTCAGGCTGGTCTCAAACTCCTGACCTCAGTTGATCCACGCCCTTCGGCCTCCCAAAGTGCCGGGATTACAGGCGTGAGCCACTTTGCCCGGCCTGTATTTTTACGTTTTAATAAATCCCCGTATTTTTGTTAAAGGCTGGGTAACCTGACTCCTCCCCTCATTTCTACTGCAAAATAGGAGTACACTGGGGCCTCCCAGTGGAGCTGTTCTCTGCTGTTTTAAATTACTTTCTACTCCTCCCTTTCTAACGTCCACTCCTGGACTCATTTGTTAGATCAATATATACTGGGACTGTTGTGTTTTCTTTGAGTGTACTAGATCTCTTTCCAGAAGAGCTTCCCTTGATCCAGATCTCCCTAATTGGGAATGATGATTTCACAGACTAGAGTCTCCGATGCTGGTCATGATGTCAAAACTAAGTTCTGACTCATTTAGGGAACTGGATACTTGGGTCTCCAGAAGGGCCAATGGGAGGGCCATAATTCTGTTTATTTTCAAATTGTCTTGTTTTCACCTTGTTAGAATGAACTCTGGAAGCCCAGCCAGGGACAATGCACCTTCACAGAGATTCTGCACTAATCTGAGTGAAGGTCTAAGGTTTGGAATCTCCCCCTCATGGAGAGAAGCTTTGTATGGCTGTCATGCTTAGACAGTGATTCCTGCAACTTGACCTTCAGGCTGGGAGAGGTGGAGAGCCATGCCTGTTCTCCTTCCTTGCTATGGTGAGTATCTTTTGTTTTGGCTCTCAGTGGGAGTGGTAATGATGATCTGGTTGGACAAGAGTCTCTGAGCTTTTCTCTGAGGATCTTTGAACCCACCTGATCCACCTTCATCCTGCCGGCAATCTCCTGTAATTCATGTTTTTATGGCCAGTTACTTACATGATGAGGTTTAATTGGCTATGGTTCTGCAGGATGTACAGGAAGCATGGTGTTGGCATCTGCTCAGCCTCTGGTGGGGGCCTCAGGAAACTATATTGCATAAGGTACAGAGGGAAGCAGGGATGTAGCATGGCCAGAGCAGCAGCAAAGGCAGGGAGGTGCCACACATTTTTAATAAATTGATCTCTAGAGAACTGACTGTCATGAGCACAGCATCAAGGAGGATGGTGCTTAAGCCATTCATGAGGAATCCACCCCAGTGATCCATTACAATTCAATATGAGATTTGGTGGGGAGACAGATCTAAACTGTATTACAGGGTCTCACTTTGTGCACAGGCTGGTCTTCAACTCCTGCCTCAGTGAGCCACTGTGCCCCACCCCAACATGTTTTGTGTGTTTTTTGAGACTGTCTTGCTCTGTCATCCAGGCTGGAGTGCAGTGGTACACTCTTGGCTTACTGCAGCCTCTGCCTCCCAGGTTCAAGCAATTCTGCCTCAGCCTCCCAAGTAGCTGGGATTACAGGCATGCGCCACCAGTCCCGGCTAATTTTTGTATTTTTAGTAGAGGGTTTCACCATGTTGGCCGGGCTGGTCTTGAACTCCTGACCAAGAGATCTGCCCACCTTGACCTCCCAAAGTGCTCAGATTACAGGTATTAGCCACCGAGCCCAGCCCGCAACATGTATTTTTATTTATTTTTTGTTTGAGATGGAGTTTCACTTTGTCGCCCAGGCTGGAGTGCAGTGGCACATTCTCAGCTCATTGTAACCTCAGCCTCCCGAGTACTTGGGATTACAGGCATGCGCCACCATGCCCAGCTAATTTTGTATTTTTAGTAGAGATGGGAGTTTTCACCATGTTGGTCTTGAACTCCTGATCTCAGGTGATTTGCCCGCCCTAGCCTCCCAAAGTGCTGGGATTACAGGTGTGAGCCATAGCATCTGACAATTTTATTCTATTTTTTGAGACAGTCTTGCTCTGTCACCCAGGCTGGAGTGCAGTGGTGCAGTCACAGCTCACTGCAGCCTCAACCTCCTGGGTGGAAGCTCACCTCTCACCTCACCCTTGGAGTAGCTAATGACTTACAGGCATGCACCACTATCCCCGGCTAATTTTTTTTTTTTTAAATTTGAGGATGGGTGTGGTGGCTCATGCCTGTAATCTCAGCTCTTTGGGAGGCCAAGGTGGGTGGATCACCTGAGGTCAGGAGTTGAAGACCAGCCTGGCCAACACCGTGAAACCCTGTCTACTAAAAATACAAAAATTAGCTGGGCATGGGTGGCGGGCGCCTGTAATTCCAGCTACTTGGGAGGCTGAGGCAGAAGAATCGCTTGAACCTGGGAGGTGGAGGTTGCAGTGAGCTGATATGGCGCCATTGCACTGCGCCATTGCACTTCACCCTGGGCAACAGAGCAAGACTCCATCTCAAAAAAAAAAAAGCTGTAGATAATGGGGTCCCACTATGGTGCTCAAGCTGGTCTGAAACTCCTGGGCTCAAGTGATTGTCTTGCCTTGGCCTCCGAACACTTCTGCCTTGGCCTCCCAAAGTGTTGGAATTGACAGGCGTGAGCTGCCATGCCCAGCCTCAGCTTTTATTGTAGATTTAGGGGGTATATGTGCAGTTTTGTTACTTGGGTTCATTGTATGATGCTGAGGTTTGGGGTAGGATTATCCCCATCACCCAGGTAGTGGGCATAGTACCCAATAGTTATTAAACCTTTGCCCCATTTCCTCTCCCCAGTGTCTGTTGCCATCTTTATGTCCATGTATACTCAACATTTAGCTCCCACTTACAAGTAAGAACATATGGTATCTGGTTTTCTGTTCTGTATTGATTCACTGAGGATCATGGCCTGTGGTTGCATCCATGTTGCTGCAAAGGATATGAAATCGTTTTTTTATTGGTGCATCTCATATGGTTCTAATGTTCTTTTTATTATTTTTCAGGAATTTGCTGACACAATATCTTCCGCCTGGTGCTGGGCATATCCTAAGAACTTACAACTTTCCTGTATTATCCTGTGTGAGCAGCTGTCACCTTATTGGGGGAAAAATGCCTGAAAATTAGGGGGCACTTCAAGTAGATAGCTTCTATTTCCTATATTTGTCTTATATACAAGTATTTGCTTTTATCAAAATAATTCCAATAAAGCATTTTAAAGTAAAGAAGACGTGGTTTGGTCTCAGAACAATGGTACAAAAAGATTAAGGGGGCTGGGCGCAAGTTGCTCATGCCTATAATCCCAGCACTTTGGGAGGCCGAGGTGGGTGGATCACAAGGTCAGGAGATTGAGATTATCCTGGCCAACATGGTGAAACCCTGTCTCTACTAAAACAAAAAAAGGACAAAAATTAGCTGGGTGTGGTGATACATACCTGTAATCCCAACTACTCGGGAGGCTGAGGCAGGAGAATGGCTTTGAACCAGGGAGTCCAAGGTTGCAGTGAGCCGAGATCGTGCCACTGCACTTCCAGCCTGGCGACAGGCTCCGTCTTAAAAAAAAAGAAAGATGAAGCCCCGTGAGCTAGTTAATGCTGAGTTAGGCTTAACTCTTAAGCCTAATATTAGAGATTCTTGGTTGGGTGACATAGTATTATGTATAATACACTAGACTTTTGACAATCATTTGAGATGGTTTTTCTGGCAGGGGAGGAGGTGGAGTTTCGCCCTTGTTGCCCATGCTGGAGTGCAATGGCAAAATCTCGCCTCACTGCAACCTCTGCATCTTGAGTTCAAGTGATTCTCCTGCCTCACAGCCTCCTGAGTAGCTGGGATTACAGGCGCCTGGCACCTCCCCTAGCTATTTTTTGTACTTTTAGTAGAGACAAGGTTTCACCATGTTGGCCAGGCTGGTCTCGAACTCCTGACCTCAGGTGATCCACCCACCTCAAGCCATCCGCCTGCCTCAGCCTCCCAAAGTGTTGGGATTACAGGTGTGAGCCACTGTGCCTGGCCGAATTTGAGTTTTTTTTAATGATTGTAAAGTGTCCACGGCTACCCAATTAGCCATCTTTTTTTTTTTGAGACAGTTGCACCTTGTCACCTGGGCTGGAATATAGTGGCGCAGTTTGGGTTCACTGCAGCCTCTCCCCGGGTTCAAGTGATTTTCGTGCCTCAGCGTTCCCAGTAGCTGGGGCTACAGCTGCACACCTTATTTTTGTATTTTTTGAAGAGATAGGGGTTTCACCATATTGGCCAGGGTGGTTTCGAACTCCTGACCTCAAATGATGTGCCTGGCCAGAACATTACCAATAACTTTGAAACAAACCTGTCTGATTCAATTTCTCTTTTTCTTCTTCCTACTTGGAGAATTAACTGGGTATATCATCCTCTGGCTTTTCTTAATAGTTTTACTGAGTGCATTGCTAAACAATATCATTTTAATTTTGCGTATCTTTTGAACTTTGTAAAAATGGAATGATTCACCAGACACGAGACAACATTTTTCTTTTTTGGGGGGATGGAGTCTTGCACTGTCGCCCAGGCTAGAGTGCAGTGGCGTGATCTCGACTCATACTGCAATCTCTGCCTCCCAGGTTCACCCCATTATTCTGCCTGGGCCTCCCAAATCACTGGGACTACAGGTGCCCGCCACCATGCCCCGCTAATTTTTTGTATTTCTAGTAGAGATGGGGGTTTCACCATGTTGGCCAGGCTGGTCTCGAACTCCCGACCTTGTGATTTGCCCACCTTGGACTCCCAAAGTGCTGGCATTACAAACAGCCACCATGCTGGCCCATTTTTCATTTTTCAAAAAGAATAAATCTTCATGTGTTCTACTGCAACTTTCTGCTTTTCTGGGGGGCGGGGGGGACAGAGTCTTGCTCTGTCGCCAGGCTGGAGTGCAGTGGCGCGATAGCTCACTGCAACCTCCACCTCCCAGGTTCAAGCGATTTCTCCTCCCTCAGCCTCCCGAGTAGCTGGGACCACAGGCGCGCACCACTATGCCCAGCTAATTTTTGTATTTTTACTAGAGACGGGGTTTCACCACATTGGCCAGGGTGGTCTCCAACTCCTAGCCTCACCGTCCGCCCGCCTCGGCCTCCTGAAATGCTGGGATTACAGGCGTGAGCCACCACGCCTGACATTTACTTATTTCATTTATCTTTGAGATGGAGTCTCGCTCTGTCGCCCAGGCAGCATGTAGTGGCGCGATCTCGGCTCACTGCAAGCTCTGCCTCCCAGGTTCAAGCCATTCTCCTGCCTCAGCCTCCGGAGTAGCTGGGACTACAGGTGCCCGGCTAATTTTTTTGTATTTTTAGTAGAGACGGGTTTCATTGTGTTAGCCAGGATGGTCTTGGATCTCCTGACCTCGTGATCCGCCCGCCTTGGCCTCCCAAAGTGCAGGGATTACAGGCGTGAGCCATCGCGCCCAGCCTTTTTTGTTTTTTGAGACATAGTTTTGCTCTTGTTCCCCAGGCTGGAGTGCAGTGGCACTATCTTGGCTCACCACAACCTCTGCCTCCTGGGTTCAAGCGATTCTCCTGCCTTATCCTGCCAAGTAGCTGGGATTATATGCCACCACGCCCGGCTAATTTTGTATTTTTATTAGAGATGGGGTTTCTCCATGTTGGTCGGGCTGGTCTCCCGAACTTAGGTGATCCGCCAGCCTCAGCCTCTGAAAGTGAAAGTGCTGTGATTCTAGGCCAGAGCCACCACACCTGGCCTGCAACTTTTGTTGTTGTTCATGTATTTTCCTGTAGTTCATTTGGAGTCCACCCTTCCATACACATTTGTGGACATAAAAAACTTCAGGGCCTGGCATGGTGGCTCATGCCCGTAATCGCAGCTGAGGCGGACAGATCACCTGAGGTCAGGGGTTAGGGACCAGCCTGGCCAACATGGTGAAACCCCATCTCTACTAAAAAAAATATAAAAAAGGGCCAGGCTCACGCCTGTAATCCCAGCACTTTAGGAGGCCGAGGCGGGCAGATCACGAGGTCAGGAGATCAAGACCATCCTGTCTAACACGGTGAAACCCCGTCTCTACTAAAAATACAAAAATCAGCCGGGCGTGGTGGCGGGCGCCTGTAGTCCCAGCTCCTCGGGAGGCTGAGGCAGGAGAATGGCGTGAACCCGGGAGGTGGAGCTTGCAGTGAGTCAAGATCCCGCCACTGCACTCCAGCCTGCGCGACAGAGTGAGACTCCATCTCAATTAGGGCCAGGCATGGTGGCTCACGCCTGTAATCCCAGCACTTTGGGAGGCCGAGGCAGGTGGATCACCTAAGGTCAGGAGTTCGAGACCAGCCTGGCCAACATGGCAAAACCCTGTCTCTACTAAAAATACAAAAATAAATTAGCCAGGTGTGGTGGCACACGCCTGTAATCCCAGCGACTCGGGAGGCTGACGCAGGAGAATCACTTGAACCTGGCAGGCGGAGGTTGCAGTGAGCTGAGATCATGCCATTATGCTCTAGCCTGGGCAACAAGAATGAAACTACATCTCAAAATACATACATACATACATACAGTTAACCGAGCATGGTGGCATGCGCCTGTAAGCCCAGCTACTTGGGAGGCTGAGGCATGAGAATCGCTTGAACCTGAGAGGTGGAGGTTGCAGTGAACCAAGATGGCACCACTGCACTCCAGCCTGGGTGACAGAGTGAGACTGTTTCAAAAAGATTCAGGAGCCAGACTGAACACTTACTGCTAGGTTAACTTTGGCTAAGTTCCTCAGTGATTCCCATAACAATTTCCTTGTTTGTAAATAGATAACAGAGTTCCTACCCACCCTCTTTTTTTTTTTTTTCTTCAGTAGTAGAGATAGGGTTTCACCATGTTGGCCAGGCTGGTCTCAAACTCCTGACTCCAGGTGATTCACCCACCTCCCAAAGTGTTGGGATTACAGGTGTGAGCCACTGCACCGGGCCTACCCTCTCTTTTTTTTGAGACAGGGTGTCACTGTTGCCCAGGCTCGAGTACAGTGGCAAGATTACAGCTCACTACAGCCTTGACCTCCTGGGCTCAAGTGATCCTCCCACCTCAGCCTCTGAAGTAGCTGGAACTACAGGTGCTCCATCATGCCCAGCTAATTTTTTTTTCTTTTTGAAAGAGAATCTTGCTTTGTCGCCCAAGTTGGAGTGCAGTGGTGCAATCTCGGCTCACTGCAAGCTCCACCTCCTGGGTTCACACCATTCTCCTGCCTCAGCCTCCCGACTAGCTGGGACTACAGGCACCCACCACCACGGCCAGCTAATTTTTTGTATTTTTAGTAAAGATGGGGTTTCACCGTGTTAGCCAGGATGGTTTCGATCTCCTGACCTCGTGATCCACCTGCCTTGGCCTCCCAAAGTGCTGGGATTACAGGCGTGAGCTACCGTACCTGACCTTTTTTTTTTTTTTTTGAGACGGAGTCTTGCTCTGTCACCCAGGCTGGAGTGCAGTGGCGCGATCTTGGCTCACTGCAAGCTCTGCCTCTCAGGTTCACGCCATTCTCCTGCCTCAGCCTCCCGAGTAGCAGGAACTACAGGTGCTAGCCACCACGCCTGGCTAATTTTTTTGTATTTTAGGTAGAGACGAGGTTTCACCGTGTTAGCCAGGATGGTCTCGATCTCCTGACCTCATGATCTACCTGCCTCGGCCTCCCAAAGTGCTGGGATTACAGGTGAGCCACCGCGCCCAGCCATGCCCAGCTAATTTTTAAATTTTTTATACAGTGAAGTTTTCACTATATTGCCTGACTGGTGTCTAACTCCTGAAATCAAATGATCTACCTGCTTTGGCCTCCCCAAATGCTGAGATTACAAGCTTGAGCCACCAAGCCCGGCCTATCCCGTCTCTAACAAAAAAGAAGCATAGTGCGGTGGCTCACACCTGCAACCCCAGCACTGTGGGAGGCCATGGTGGGCAGATCTCTTGAACCCAGGAGTTTGAGACCAGTCTGCCTGGGCAACACGGTGAAATCCAGTTCCTACAAAAAATTTTAAAAATTAGCCGGTTGTGATGGCATGCCGTGGTTCAGCTACTTGGGAGGCTGAGATGGGAGAATTGCTTGAGCCCTGGAAGTTGAGGCTGCAGTGAGCCATGATTGTGCCACTGCACTCCAATCTGGGCAACAGAGTGAGCCTTATCTCTAAATAAATAAATGAAGAGGTAGAGTCATGCTCTGTTGCCCAGGTCTGACTTGAACTCCTGGGCTGAAGTGATCCTCCCGCCTCAGCTTCCTCAGTAGCTGGGGCAACAGGCATATGCCACCATACTCAGCTTTGTTGGTTTCATTTCTTGTCCCCAAGGGTCTCTTCTGCATTCCCCTGCCCTTTGTATGGTTCAAGTCCTCCCCTGTGTGGTGGGTGCTAATCCCAGGTTTGGGGTATAAGACTGAGCTACAGCCATGGTAAGATGGTCACGTGAACTTCTTTTCTCACACAGTGGTGATGCTGAAAGACCTCAACCCCAAAATGCTATTTTCCTCATTTCTTTTTTTTTTTTTTTGAGACGGAGTCTCGCTCTGTCGCCCAGGCTGGAGTGCAGTGGCGCGATCTCGGCTCACTGCAAGCTCCGCCTCCCGGGTTCACGCCATTCTCCTGCCTCAGCCTCCCGATTAGCTGGGAATACAGGCGTCCACCACTACACCCGGCTAATTTTTTGTATATTTAGTAGAGACGGGGTTTCACCGTGTTAGCCAGGATGGTCTCGATCTCCTGACCTCGTGATCCACCCGCCTTGGCCTCCCAAAGTGCTGGGATTACAGGCGTGAGCCACCGCCGGCCTATTTTCCTCATTTCTTTAGGCCCCATTTCCATACCAGGAGTGGAGCAACTTCAGTAATAAACAGTCCTCCTTCCCATCCTCCCAGGCTGAACTCCCCAGCTTGCAGTTACTCTAATAGCGGCTAGCCTGCTACTTCAGCTACTGTAGGCAGTGAGCCTCCTAAGGCTTGGCCTCAGCCTGTCTCCCCACAGAAATGGGAGACAAGAATCCTTGGAATCCTTACCCACTGGCCAGTGTGCTGGCCCTCCAGGTGACACCTCTACCTGCCAGTTGCTTAGGCTAGACCCTTGGAATCTGCCTGACTGCTCTCCTGTTCTCACATGCTACATCTAATTTGTCAGCAAATCATACTGTCTGTATCTTAGAAATGACACGAGGATCTGTGTCTCACACCTTTACTGCTGCTCCATCCTGGTGGGAGCCACCATTGGCTCTCACCTAGACAACTGCAACTGTCTCCTACCTGGTCTCCTGGCTTCCACTTTTGCCCGTTACAGGCTCTCTCCACACAGCAGCCAGAAGGTTCCTTCCAAATCAGGAGTCAGGTCATGTCTCCCCTCTTCTGAAGATCCTGTAACAGCTGCCATTTCACTCAGAGTAAAAGTCTCCATCTTACAAGGGCCACCCAACAAGGTCCTCCCAGTCTAGCTCTGTCAACTTTCTGACCTCATCTTCTACACCTGAGGTTAGGGGTTGGGGACCAGCCTGGCCAACATGGTGAAACCCCATTTCCACTCTGCTTCAGCCATGCTACAGAAACCCAGGAGCTGCTTGGAGCTCTTTTGTCAGTGTTCGAGGAGTAAAATTTCTACCCATTGGCCAGAGTCACAGCCGCAGGCTTTGTGGGGTACACCCAAACCTGCACCAACAGAACTCATGGATGAAATTTGCATCTTTTGGGTTGTGAGGAAATTCTAGAGCCCAGAAATAACCTTAAAAACTTTTGGGGCTGGGTGCAGTGTCTCATGCCTGTAATTCCAGCGCTTTGGGAGGCCGAAGCAGGTGGATCACTTGAGGCCAGGAGTTTGAGACCAACCTGGTCAACATGGCGAAACCCTGTCTCTACTAAAAATACAAAAATTAGCCAAGTGTGGTGGTGCACACCTGTAATCCCAGATACTCTGATGGCTGAGGCATGAGAATTGCTTGAACCCAGGAGGTGGAGGTTGCAGTGAGCCAAGATTGAACCCCTGCACTCCAGCCTGGGCAAAAGCATGAGACTCTGTCTCAAAAAAAACAAAACCAACAACTAGTGGTACGTAATGTTTACATATTAGTTGTATGTAACATTAATATATGTTTACATACTGGTAGTATGTAAGCATATGTAATGTGCCTGGCCTCTCATTTCTTATTTTTGCATGTCTGAAATATTTCTTAGTATCTTAAAAACATAGCTTGGGGGCTGGGTATGGTGACTCATGCCTGTAATCCCAGCACTTTGGGAGGCCAAGGTGGGAGGATCACCTGAGCCCAGGAGTTCGAGACCAGCCTGGGTAATATTGCAAGACACCATCTCTAAAAATAAAAACCAAAAAAAACAACAAAGATACACAATAAACAAGATAAACAGCAGACCAACTAAATGAAGAATTAGTGAGTTGGAGGGAGAAATAATCCATAATGTGGAGCAGAGAAATCAGAGGTGATATGAAAAGGAAGTTTTGAAACATGAAGGATGGAATGAGATACTCCAACTCCAGAGCTGCTTTGTTTTTGTTTTTGAGATGGGAGTCTTGCTCTGTTGCCCAGGCTGGAGTGCAGTGGCATGATCTCAGCTCACTGCAACCTACGCCTCCCAGGTTCAAGCGATGCTCCTGACTCAGCCTCCTGAGTAGCTGGGATTACAGGTGGTGCCACCACGTCTGGATAATTTTTGTATTTTTAGTAGAGACAAGGTTTCACCGTGTTGGTCAGGTTGGTCTTGAACTCCTGACCTTGTGATTCACCTGCCTCGCCCTCCCAAAGTGCTGGGATTACAGGCGTGAGCCACTGCACCCAGCCTACTTTGTTTGTTACATGGATTTGTTACCTGCAGCCAGAACAGCCACAGAGCCATCATGAGCTCTGCTGCCCAATGGCGTACAGGGGTACCTGGTTTTTAGCATCTCAGGCCCATCTGTTAGTTTGTTGATTGTAGTACTTTCTTTTCATTAGCATTCTACTTTCCCATGACTTTTTTTGGGGGGGAGTGGGGTGGACAGGGTCTCACTGTGTTGTCCAGGCTGTAGTGCACTGGAGCCATCTTGGCTCACTGCAGCCTCTGCCTCCTGAGCCACCAAGCCTGGCTGTTTTTTTTTTTTTTTTTTTTAATTCTTGTGTTATTTTCCAAAGACTATATAAAGAAACAAATTATCCTAAGGGTTAAAGTACCTGCTGACTCTTGAAATGTTAAACTTTATTGCCTCCAGTCAGGTGAACCTCAGGTGGAAGTGGGTCACATTCTAGGCTGGCTGTTGCCTGTCTTAAATTCTAAAGAATGTAGTGAAGATAAAGGTGTCAGCTGATAATCCCCAGTTATTTACTGATGGCAGATAATAAACTGGGAAGGGGGAGCCTTCTTCAAAGGGCCTTGCAGCATTAGCTGGTACCACCTTGAAACAGGGAGCAAGTCCCATCTCCTAGTGCCACCCAGGGAATACCTGTGCTCCACACTGGGTTGATTGCCTCTAAAAGAGGCAGAGGAACTGTTATAAAACAAAAAAAAAACTTTTAAAAGTTTTGGTTGGGCGTGGTGGCTAATGTCTGTAATCCCAGTACTTTGGGAGGTCAAGGCAGGAGGATTGCTGGAGTGCAGGAGTTTGAGGCCAGCCTGGGCGGAGACCACTTCTCTACAAAATTAAAAAATTAGGTGTACTCCCAAGCACCTGTAGTCCCAGCTACTTGGGAGGCTGAGATGGAAGGATCACTTGAGCCCAGAAGGTCGAGGCTACAGAGCCATGATTGTTCCACTCACTGCTCTCCGGCCTGTGCGACAGACCAAGACCCTGTATCTAAAAGGAAGAAAAAAGAAAATTGGCAAAAACAATGATATTAGCATCTGTATGTACTTATATTTGGTAGGATCATTTCAAAGTATATTAAAGAGATTATGACATTTTATCCCTTTGTATTTGAGTATGCATCTCCAAAAAATAAGGATGTTCATCTGCATATTCACAATACTATTATACCTGAGAAAAGCAAATTTAATTCCCTAATAGCACTTAATATTCAGGCCAGTTACCATGGCTCACACCTGTAGTCCCAGCACTTTGGAAGGCCGAGGTTGGTGGATTGCTTGAGCCCAGGAGTTCAAGACCAGCCTGGGCAACATGTCGAGACCTCGTGTCTTCAAAAAATACAAAAATTAGCAGGTGTGGTGGCACACACCTGTGGTTCCAACCACTCATGGGGCTGAGGTGGGAGGATTGCTTGAGCCTGGGAGGTCAAGGCTGAAGTGAGCTATGATTGCAGTACTGCACTCCAGGCTGGGTGACAGAGTGAGACCCTGTCTTTAAAAGAAGTGTGTTGTTGAGCACAGTGGCTCACGGCTGTAATCCCAGCACTTTGGGAGGCGGAGGCAGGTGGATCACCTGAGGTCAGGAGTTTGAGACCAGCCTGGCCAACATGGAGAAACCCCATCGCTACTAAAAATACAAAAATTAGCCGGGTGTGGTGGTGAACACCTGTAATCCCAGCTACTCTTGAGAATCTGAGGCAGGAGAATTACTTGAATCTGGGAGTCGGAGGTTGCAGTGAGCCGAGATCATGCCACTGCACTCTAGCCTGGGTGACAGAGCGAGACTCTGTCTCAAAAAAAAAAAAAAAAAAAAGTGTGTGTGTGAGTGTGGCTGGGGGGAGAGAGTGAGAGAGTAGAGGAGGAAAAAGTTTAAAACAGTTTGGGAGTTTGGAGAGTTTTTCGTGAAACACAGACTCATCAACCTTTTTATTTTTTCACTCTAATTTTTTTTTTCTTCAGACAGAGTCTTGCTCTGTTTCCCAGGCTGGAGTGCAGTGGCACCATCTCAGCTCACTGCAAGCTCTGCCTTCCAGGTTCACTCCATTCTCCTGCTTCAGCTTCCCAAGTAGCTGGGACTACAGGCTCCCGCCACCACGCCCGGCTAATATTTTGTATTTTTAGTAGAGACAGTGTTTCACCGTGTTAGCCAGGAGGTCTGGATCTCCTGACCTTGTGATCCGCCCGCCTTGGCCTCCCAAAGTGCTGGGATTACAGGCATGAGCCACCGTGCCCGGCCTAAAAAAATTTTTTATAAAAGTATTTGACCTAATGTGCTGTGGGTTTCTTATTTGTTTGTTTTTGAGACAAGTTTCTTGCCCTGTCGCCCAGGTTTGAGGGCAGTGGTGCGGTCTTGGTGCACTACAGCCTCTACCTCCTGGGCTCAAGTGACCCTCTCACCTCAGCTTCCCATGTAGCTGAAACTACAGGTGTGGGCCACTGCCCCAGCTAATTTTTAAATTTTTTGTAGAGATGAGGTCTTGCCATGTTGCCCAGGCTGGTCTCAAACTCCTGGGCTCAAATGATCTGCCCGTCTTGGCCTTCCAAAGTACTGGGACTGGGATTACAGGCATGTAATTACCGCCTCTGGCCAGCTTTTTTTTTTTTTTTTTTTTTTTGAGACAGAGTCTCGCTCTTGTTGCCGAGGCTGGAGTGCAGTGGCGTGATCTCGGCTCACTTCAGCCTTCCCCTCTCGGGTTCAAGCGATTCTCCTGCCTCAGCCTCCTCAGTAGCTGGCATTACAGGCATGCACTACCACGCCTGGCTAATTTTTGTATTTTTAGTAGAGACGGGGGTTTCACCATGTTGGCCAGGCTGGTCTTGAACTCCTGACCTCAGGTGATCCGCCCGCCTTGGCCTCCCCAAAGTGCTGGGTGGCGTGAGCCACTGTGCCCAGCCTAATTTTGTATTTTTAGTAGAGACTGGGTTTCTCCATGTTGGTGAGGCTGGTCTTGAACTCCTGACCTCAGGTGATTCGCCTGCCTTGGCCTCCCAAAATGCTGGGATTACAGACATGAGCCACCGCGCCCGGCCTCTTTTTTTTTTTTTTTTGGGACAGAGTCTCACTGTGTCACCAGGCTGGAGTGCAGTGGCATGATCTCGGCTTACTGCAACCTCTGCCTCCCAGGTTCAAGCGATTCTTCTGCCTCAGCCTCCCGAGTAGCTGAGACTACAGGGGCATGCCACCACACCCAGCTAATTTTTGTATTTTTAGTAGAGACCAGCCTGGTCAACATGGTGAAAACCCATCTCTACTAAAAATACAAAAAATTAGCCAGGTGTGGTGGTGGGCACCTATAATCCCAAATACTCAGGAGGCTGAGGCAGGAGAATCACTTGAACCTGGGACACGGAGGTTGCAGTGAGTTGAGATCACGCCACTGCACTCCAGCCTGCCTGGGCAACAGAGCAAGACTCTGTCTCAAAAAAAAAAAAAAATCCCAGAGTATTAGGAAAAGGAAGACCTATACTTCTACTATGGTAATTTGAGTCTGTTGTGGTTTTGTTGTTGTTGTTGTTGTTGTTGGAAAGATGTCCAAGCCATTGCTTTGATCTTCCTTCCCAATCCTTTCTTGGGCAAAAATTATTAGATGGCTATGGGTGGGCAGGCCTGTAACTCTAGCACTTTGGGAGGCCGAGCGGGTGGGGTGGTCAAGGATCACTTGAGCCCAGGAGTTTAAGACCAGCCTGGGCAACATAGTGGGACCCTGTTTCTACAAAAATGAAAATATTAGCTGGGCTTGGTGGCAAGTGCCTGTAGTCCCAGCTACTCAGGAGGCTGAGGTGGGAAGATTGCTTGAACCCAGGTGGTCAAGGTTGCAGTGAGCTGTGATCATGCTACTGCACTCCAGCCTGGGTGACAGAGTAAGACCCTGTCTCAAAAAAAAAAAAAAATACTTTTTCCTATTCCCTCCTTGTCATGACTTTTGGTTGGAAGGATTACATTAGCAAAAAAGTATCCATGGTCCCTGGTCCCTGGTATTTGCTGTTCAGGTCAGTGTTCATTGTTACTGTCTCTTTCCCTTATTTAAGGGACAGCTGAGAAGACAGAGAGAGCTTGAGCTGGTTTGATCCTAAGCAAAGGGGCTGGGAGTGGGGATCAATGTGTGAAGGGAAGGAGGGCCATGCAAGGTGAAAGGGGATGTTGGGGAAAGGGTTTCATGCTAGAATTTGGCTGCTGATCCAGCGGGCACTCACCAGGCAATGATGTGCAAAGTCCACCGTAAAAAGAAAACAAAACTTCAGGACTCTAAGTTTATGCCAAGATGGAAGTTAAGCCTTGGAGACTGAGTCATGTAGCATGTTTGCAATTCTGCTTCTTACAGACTCTCCTCCTCATTGCTCTTGTTCTGTAATGAGACCTCCTTTCCAATCACTGATCTTTGTTGTAGATTAACTGCCTCCTTTATTGTCCTGTACCTGACTCAGACCAGATGGCACCCAAGACCCCATGACTATTGCATCTTCAGTGTGGAATGTAAAAAACACCTTCCCCCACCCCCCAAAAAAGAAAAAAAAAATTGACTAATCAGATCATTGTAACTATGCAATAAGCCTTACCATAGAACTGAGAGTTGACAGCGTGCTGACAGCCCTCGCAGCCCTTGCTGGCTCTCGGCGCCTCCTCGGCCTTGGCGCCCATTCTGGCCGCGCTTGAGGAGCCCTTCAGCCCGCCACTGCACCGTGGGAGCCTTCTCTGGGCTGGCCGAGGCCGGAGCCGGCTCCCTCGGCTTGCGGGGAGGTGTGGAGGGAGAGGCGCGGGCGGGAACCGGGGCTGCACGCAGCGCTTGTGGGCCAGCGCAAGTTCCGGGTGGGCGTGGGCTCGGCTGCCCCGCTCTTGGAGCGGCAGGCTGGCCCACAAGCCCCGGGCAGGGCAGTGAGGGGTTTAGCACCTGGGCCAGCAGCTTGCTGTGCTCGATTTCTCACGGGGCCTTAGCTGCCTCACCACAGGACAGGACTCAGGACCTGCAGCCCGCCATGCCTGAGCCCCAACCCCGCCGTGGGCTCCTGTGCTGCAGAGCCTCCCCGACGAGCGCCACCCCCTGCTCCACGGCCCCCAGTCCCATCAACCTCCCAAGGGCTGAAGAGTGCAGGCGCATGGGGCAGGACTGGCAAGCAGCTCCACCTGCGGCCCCAGTGCGGGATCCACTGGGTGAAGCCAGCTGGGCTCCTGAGTGTGGTGGGGACTTGGAGAACCTTTATGTCTAGCTAAGGGATTGTAAATACACCAATCGGCACTCTGTATCTAGCTCAAGGTTTGTAAATATACCAATCAGCATCCTGTGTCTAGCTCAGGGTTTGTAAATGCACCAATCGACACTGTATCTAGCTAATCTAGTGAGGACATGGAGAACTTTTGTGTCTAGCTCAGGGATTGTAAACGCACCAATCAGCACCCTGTCAAAATGGACCAATCAGCTCTCTGTAAAACGGACCAATCAGCTCTCTGTAAAATGGACCAATCAGCAGGATGTGGGTGGGGCCAGATAAGGGAATAAAAGCAGGCTGCCTGAGTGAGTAGTGACATCCCGCTCTGGTCATTTTCCATAGAGTGGAAAGTTTGTTATTTCCGTTTTTGCAATAAATTTTATTGCTATTTGTTCTTTGGGTCCACACTACTTTTATGAGGTGTAACACTCACCGCAGGGGTATGCAGTTTCACTCCTGACGCTAGCGAGAGCACGAACCCCCCGGGAGGAACAAACAACTCCAGAGGCGCCGCATTTAAGAACTGTAACACTCCCCGTGAGGGTCTGCGGCCTCATTCTTTAAATCAATGAGACCAAGAACCCACCAATTGTGAACACAGAACAATGTTGAAATTCTAAGTTTCCATAAACTTTCTGTTTATATAAGCGATTCCAAACTTCTACACTTTTGGAACATAGACTAATATTCTTTGGAATCTTCAGCTCTAGACGGGCCACTTCCTCAACATTTGCAGTTGGATAAACTCTTTTTTTTTTTTTTTTTTTTTTTTAAATTTATTTTTTTATTGATAATTCTTGGGTGTTTCTCACAGAGGGGGATTTGGCAGGGTCATGGGACAATAGTGGAGGGAAGGTCAGCAGATAAACAAGTGAACAAAGGTCTCTGGTTTTCCTAGGCAGAGGACCCTGCGGCCTTCCGCAGTGTTTGTGTCCCTGATTACTTGAGATTAGGGATTGGTGATGACTCCCAACGAGCACCCTGCCTTCAAGCATCTGTTTAACAAAGCACATCTTGCACCGCCCTTAATCCATTTAACCCTGAGTGGACACAGCACATGTTTCAGAGAGCACAGGGTTGGGGGTAAGGTCACAGATCAACAGGATCCCAAGGCAGAGGAATTTTTCTTAGTGCAGAACAAAATGAAAAGTCTCCCATGTCTACTTCTTTCTACACAGACACGGCAACCATCCGATTTCTCAATCTTTTCCCCACCTTTCCTGCCTTTCTATTCCACAAAGCCGCCATTGTCATCCTGGCCCGTTCTCAATGAGCTGTTGGGCACACCTCCCAGACGGGGTGGTGGCCGCGCAGAGGGGCTCCTCACTTCCCAGTAGGGGCGGCCGGGCAGAGGCGCCCCTCACCTCCCGGACGGGGCGGCTGGCCGGGCGGGGGGGCTGACCCCCCCCACCTCCCTCCCGGACGGGGCGGCTGGCCGGGCGGGGGGCTGACACCCCCACCTCCCTCCCGGACGGGGCGGCTGGCCGGGCAGAGGGGCTCCTCACTTCCCAGTAGGGGCGGCCGGGCAGAGGCGCCCCTCACCTCCCAGACGGGGCGGCTGGCCGGGCGGAGGGCTGACCCCCCCACCTCCCTCCCGGACAGGGCGGCTGGCCAGGCGGGGGGCTGACCCCCCCACCTCCCTCCCGGACCGGGCGGCTGGCCGGGTGGGGGGGCTGACCCCCCCATCTCCCTCCCGGACGGGGTGGCTGGCCGGGCTGAGGGGCTCCTCACTTCCCAGTAGGGGTGGCCGGGCAGAGGCACCCCTCACCTCCCGGACGGGGCGGCTGGCCGGGCGGGGGGCTGACCCCCCCACCTCCCTCCCGGACGGCACGGCTGGCCAGGTGGGGGGCTGACCCCCCCACCTCCCTCCCGGATGGCACGGCTGGCCGGTCGGGGGGGCTGACCCCCCACCTCCCTCCCAGATGGGGCGGCTGGCCGGGCGGGGGGTTGACCCCCCCCACCTCCCTCCCGGACGGGGTGGCTGCCGGGCGGAGATGCTCCTCACTTCCCAGATGGGGTGGCTGCGGGGCGGAGAGGCTCCTCACTTCTCAGACGGGGCAGTTGCCGGGCGGAGGGGCTCCTCACTTCTCAGACGGGGTGGTTGCCAGGCAGAGGGTCTCCTCACTTCTCAGACGGGGCGGCCGGGCAGAGACGCTCCTCACCTCCCAGACGGGGTCTCGGCCAGGCAGAGGCACTCCTCACATCCCAGATGGGGCGGCGGGGCAGAGGCGCTCCCCACATCTCAGACGATGGGCGGCCGGGCAGAGACGCTCCTCACTTCCTAGATGTGATGGCGGCTGGGAAGAGGCGCTCCTCACTTCCTAGATGGGATGGCGGCCGGGCGGAGACGCTCCTCACTTTCCAGACTGGGCAGCCAGGCAGAGGGGCTCCTCACATCCCAGACGATGGGCGGCCAGGCAGAGACGCTCCTCACTTCCCAGACGGGGTGGCGGCCGGGCAGAGGCTGCAATCTCGGCACTTTGGGAGGCCAAGGCAGGCGGCTGGGAGGTGTAGGTTGTAGTGAGCCGAGATCACGCCACTGCACTCCAGCCTGGGCACCATTGAGCACTGAGTGAACGAGACTCCGTCTGCAATCCCGGCACCTCGGGAGGCTGAGGTTGGCGGGATCACTCGCGGTTAGGGGCTGGAGACCTGCCCGGCCAACACAGCGAAACCCCGTCTCCACCAAAACCAGTCAGGCATGGCGGCGCGTGCCTGCAATGGCAGGCACTGGGCAGGCTGAGGCAGGAGAATCAGGCAGGGAGGTTGCAGTGAGCCGAGATGGCAGCAGTACAGTCCAGCTTCGGCTCCGCATGAGAGGGAGACCGTGGGGAGAGGGAGACAGAGGGAGAGGGAGGGAGAGCCGGTGGATAAACTCTTTAAACTAGATTCTAAGCCTGGTACAGTGGTATGTGCCTGCAGTCCCAACTCTATCTACTCTAGGAGGCTGAGGCAGGAGGATCCCTTGAACTTCAGTCTGAATCTAACCTGGGCAACATGGCAAGACTCCATCTGTAAAAAGCAACAACACTAGATTCTCAGCTTTTGTTCGTTTGTTTAAGACAGTCTCGCTGTGTCTCCCAGACTGGAATGCAATGGTATGATCTTGGCCCACTGTAACCTCTCGCTCCCGGGTTCAAGCGATTCTCCTTCCTCAGTCTCCTGAATAGCTGGGACTACAGGCGCGACCCACAACACCCAGCTAATTTTTGTATTTTTGGTAGAGACGGGGTTTCGTCATGTTGACCAGGATGGTCTTGAACTCCTGACTTCAGGTGATTCGCTTGCCTCTGCCTCCCAAAGTGCTGGGATTATAGGTGTGAGCCACAGCGCCTGGCCTAGATTCTGAACTTTTTAATTATTATTTTTTAGATTGATAACACTTACCCCGATTTTTTTTTTTTTGAGGGAGAGTCTCGCTCCATAGCCCAGGCTGGAGTGCAGTGGCATGATTTCAACTCACTGCAATCTCCGTCTCCCAGGTTCAAGCGATTCTCCTGCCTTAGTCTCCTGAGTAGCTGGGATTGTAGGTGCCTGCCACAATGCCTGGCTAATTTTTTGAATTTTTAGTAGAGACAGTGTTTCACCATGTTGGCCAGACTGGTCTTGAACTCCTGACCTCAAGTGATCCCCCTTCCTCAGCCTCCCAAAGTGCTAGGATTACAGGCGTGAGCCACCGTGCCCAGCCAACTTGCCCCAATTTTTAAATAACTTATTTTATTTTATTTTTTAAATATTTCCTTGGCCGGGTGGGGTGGCTCACACCTGTAATCCCGGCACTTTGGGAGGCCGAGGCGGGAGTATTGCCTGAGGTCAGGAGTTCGAGACCAGTCTGGCCAACATGGTGAAACCGGGTCTCTACTAAAAATACCAAAAAATTAGCCGAGCGTGGTGGCAGGCGCCTGTAATCCCAGCTACTTAGGAGGCTGAGGCAGGGGAATTGCTTGAACCAGCGAGGCAGAGGTTGCGGGGAGCCAAGATTGCGCCACTGCACTCCAGCCTGGGCAACAGAGCAAGACTCCGTCTCAAAAAAAAAAAAAAAATTTCCTCACAGAGTAGAGCTAACTCATAAGCAGTGTGCCCAGAGTCGGCCCACTTTGTCCCATTAGTACAAACAAGCTCTTTCCCCTTTCAGTCTCCTGCCACTTGTCCCAATCTTTCCTGTGTATTTTTTTTTTTTTTAAGATGAAGTCTTGCTCTGTCGCCCAGGCTGGAGGGCAGTGGCATAATCTCGGCTCACTGCAACCTCTGCCTCCCAGGTTCAAGTGAGTCTCCTGCCTCAGGCTCCCGAGTAGCTGGGACTACAGGCGTGTGCCACCACATATGGCTAATATTTGTATTTTTAGTAGAGATGGGGTTTTACCATGTTGGCCAGGCTGGTCTAGAACCCCTGACCTTGTGATCCGCCCACCTCGGCCTCCCAAAGTGCTGGGATTACAGGCGTGAGCCACTGCACCTGACCCTTCCCTGTGTATTAAAAGAAAAAAAAAAAGCTGGAAAAAAAAGGTTCTTTAACTATTTCTGCAACTTTGACATACATATAATTCATTTTAGCTGGACACTTGCACTTGTTTAAAAGTTCTGACCCTGGTTTTCAAACTTAAACGTATTACGAATCACCCAGAAGGCTTGTTAATGCCTGGTGGCTCCAACACCAGAGCTTCAGATTCCATGGGTCTGTAAAGAGTGAGGGAGGGAAGGTCAAGCTTTTTTTCTTTCTTGAAGGTTTTTTGTTTTGGTTTGGTTTTTTGGAGATGAGGTCTCACTCTGTCACCTAGGTTGGTGTGCAGTGGTGCAATCATAGCTCACTACTGCCTCGAACTCCTGGGGTCAAAGAGATCAAGCCATCCTCCCATGTAGCTAGGACTATAGGTGTGCGTTACCATGCTTGGCTAATTTTTAAATTTTTTAGACATGGGGTATTGCCATGTTGCCCAGGATGCCCTTTAATTTGATCATCCTGCCTTGGTCTCCCGAAGTGCTAGCATTACAGATCTGAGCCACCACACCTAGCCAGGAAGGTAGTGTCTGTCTCTCAAGCCTCCCAGCACTTCTGTTTCTAACAGGTAGTAGTTCATGGGTCAGACATTCATAGTGTCCTTTCCTTTTTGTCTTCCACTATTTCTTTTTCTTTTTTTTTTTGAGCAAGGGCTCTCCCACTTACCTGCAGGCTGAACAGATTCTTTTCATAAGCATCTGCCTGGGGAATATTTTCTTACATAATTTGCCATAGGAAGTGCTCACTTCTCTGTCAGGCTAGCTGGGACAGGATTCCCATCTGCATTTCACACACTTGCACCCTATTTCATGGAGGATGGTATCCTACCCCATGTTAGAAATATAAAACAGCGTGGATTTTTTTTTTTTCAGACGGAGTCTCACTCTGTTGCCGAGGCTGGTGTGCAGTGCTGTGATCTCAGCTCACTGCAAACTCCGCCTCCTGGTTCAAGTGATTCTCCTGCCTCAGCCACCTGAGTAGCTGGGACTATAAGTGTAAGCCAACACGCCTGGCTAGTTTTTGTATTTTTAGTAGAGATGGGATTTCACCATATTGGCCAGGCTGGTCTCGAACTCCTGACCTTGTGATCCGCCCACCTTGGCCTCCCAAAGTGCTGGGATTATATGTGTGAGCCACCACGCTTGGCCAAGTGTGGATTTTAAAATATCTTACAGGCTGGGTGCAGGGGCTCAAGCCTGTAATCCCAGCACTTTGAGAGAACATGGCCGGCAGATTGCTTGAGCTCAGCAGTTTGAGACCAACCTAGGCAATATAGTGAGACTTTGTCTCTACTAAAAATTAAAAAAATCAGCCCGCCGGCACCATGGCTCATGCTTGTAATCACAACACTTTGGGAGGCCGAGGCGGGTGGATCACCTGAGGCCAGGAGTTTGAGACCAGCCTGGCCAACATGGTGAAACTCCGTCTCTACTAAAAATACAAAAATTAGCCGGGTGTGGTGGTGGGCACCTGTAATCCCAGCTATTCGGGAAGCTGAGGCAGAAGAATCGCTTGAACCTGGGAGGCAGAGGTTGCAGTGAGCCGAGATCGCACCACTGCACTCTAGCCTGGGTGCCAGAGCAAGACTCCATCTCAAAAAAAAAAAAATTAAATTAAAAAATAAATAAATAAAAAATAAAAAATATCTTATGGCACTCCCTTCATACTCATTACACCTGTGAAGATCAACCTGTTTCTCGGTGATAAGAAGGAATGTAGGCTGGGTGCGGTGGCTCATAGCTGTAACCTCAGCACTTTGGGAAGCTGAGGCATGAGGATTGCTTAAGCACAGGAGTTCCATACCAGCCTGGGCAACATAGCGCAACCTTGTCTCTACTGAAAATAAAAATTAAAAAAATTAACCAGGCATGGTGTCACTGACCTGTAGTCCCAACTACTCCGGAGGCTGAGACGTGAGGATCACTTGAGCCCAGGAGGTTGAGGCTTCAGTGAGCCGTGATTGTGCAACTGCACTCCAGCCTGGGTGACAGAGCGAGCCCTGTCTCAAAAAAAGCAACAACAAAAAAAGAGGGCATGTCAAAAGGAAAAGAGGATTTGATTTGCCAAAGTCAGATTTTCACAGGCAGTACGCACATCAGGTCTCTCCCCAGAACTCACCCAGGCTCACAAGGATACATGAGGAAAACAGACACGAAGATGTGCATTGACAGAACCATAGAGACTCTACAAATATTCATTATCCTTCATTAAAAATTTTAAGTTACAAACATTTTGATTGATAGTCAGTCATGGTGGTGCACCTAGTCCTTACTCTGAAACCAAATATCCTGCCATCTGGGGACTTTCACCAGCCCTGTCGGTTATCTTACCGCAACACCAAAGAGGAGGCTCAGCCTTCCCCAGTTCCCTGAGTTCACATTGATTCAATTCTACAGCTCACTAGACCTGCCCAAGACAGGACCAATCAATGTCCCGGGAGGGCAGAGAGGGTGGTGGGGCCACACTTAGCCATATGGAAAGACAGTATTCTCAGATGAGGGCAGGACTTTTTTGTGGGAGAGGACGCCTAGCTTTCAGTCCTAAAGGAAGTGATTTCCCTGGTAAAGGGAAGGTGATTTTGCCAAGGCTGGAGTCTAAAGGAAGATGGAACTGTCTTTCAGGCGTCTCCAGCAGACCCTCTACAGACCCGTGTTCCTGAAGGCAGAGTCCTGAAGGCAGAATACCCCTGTGGCAGTGGCACAGCTCAGAGTGTCCCATAGACACTGATTTTGGCCACGGAGATGCTCTCTGTGTAGTGGTTCCGGCCTTTCTCATACAGGACGTAGAGCTGGGGGGCCTGCTCCTCTCCATCCATGCTGCCCTCCAGGGTTGCCAGGGATGAATAGCCACTGGGGCCTGGCCATAGCTGGACTGTCTCTTTCCGCCATGAGGTACCATTGCTGAAGCTCCATCGCAGGGTCAGGTTCACTCCTGGGGAGAGCAGGAGAGTCAGGGAGAGAGGGTCTCTGCCCAGGCCTTGTCTAGACACAGGGCTCTCCCTGCTGACCCCACCCATGAGGCACTCACGGAACTCTGGATGTGCTGGGTTGGAGAAGAAGACAATGCCGGAGCTGGTGACTACAGCTCCTGCAGCTACCACAGGGTCCACGAGCTCAGGGTCGAAGGTCACATCACGGGGCCTTAGTGTATCACAGGCATCATAGCTGCGGAGGACAATTCGGCAGTGGCAGTGGTAGTTGTTCTGGTTTCGGGCATTGATGACGACTGAGCCATCTGGGAGCTCATAGGGCTGAGGGGAGAGGACAGGACCTCAGGGAGGGAACAGGGAAAATGCCCTGTCCCCGAGGGGAGCAAGGGTGTGTGGCACTGAGTGGAGCAGTCAGACCCTGGGTCTGTGCGTGAAATGATGTTCTGGAGGGCAGGGAGGGTCAAATGGGTAGGGAACATCTCATGGACTCCTGACCTGGCATTCATCAGGATTGAAATCATTTTCCTGCTTGGGCTGACCGTAGGGGATGCCGCTGACCCCACTTCCGTAGCGCCAGGAGGCACCATGATCATCGCTGAGGAGACAGAAGACTCCGTCCCGCTCCAGCGTCCCATGGCCACACACGATGAGGCGGCCCTTCCGTGGCTCCCGCTGTTTCTGTGGGAAAGGGAACTGGGTGTCACAGAAGGAGACTCTAGGGGCTCAGAGGCAGGGACAGAGAACCCACCACTTCCCAAATGCAATCACATGTATGGTCCCCTTGAGTTCAGCCCTTGCTCACTGAGGGTTCCAGTCAGATCCCATAAATACACACCCTGTTTGAATTAAGAAGCTCTCCCAGGGTGTACAGCTGGACATGTGCACCAGGGGCCCAGCCACAGGGTGCATGAGAGCTTAAACCCAACCTGTGCTCACTCGCCAAGCTGTGCACCCTGGCACAGGCTTGTGTCTGTCCAAAGAGGCAGTGCCTTTTTCTACTTTGCATGAGGGTATTGCATGGACTAACGCAGTCCTGTTGACAATGCCAAATGGGAAGCCAATGGCAGAGTTCCCTCTTCTCCTGATAATGTGTTCCTACCAGGATGCCCTGTCTTTCAAGGAATCCCACCCAAGCCAGAAAATCTGACTTCAGAGAATCTTCCCCTTGGAAAGGAGTCCATTTGGGGGTATCCCTCAGACTCTCCACAAGGCAGCCCCCTCCACCTATCTCCTAGGACAGAGACCTGAATACCAGAGCCCGGTCCAGGGGCAAACACTTCAGTGCCAATATCCAGGGAGAGATTCCGGGGTGTGCTCCAGGAAACACCATCATCCTTGCTCCATACCAACATGGTAGAGGCCACCTGGCAGCCGGCCTTGTGAGCACAAAGGGAGTAGAAAAGAAATACTACTCCTGTCTCAACATCGCTCACTACTGCCCCAAGGTTCAGCCCATCGGGGACATCCCCATCATTGACAATGAACGCTGTAGGAGACCATGTGCTGCCTGAAAAAAATTGGAGGAAGAAACCCAGAGTGAGCACTCTGCAGGTACCCTTTCTACCACTTCCCGTTAATTTCCCACCTTCTGCTAGGGACCTCAGGCCTTCCGATGGTCCCAGGGTGCAATCCAACACTTGCACTATCTATACCTCTTGTCCTGTTTTATTTTTCTCCATTGCATTTATCACCTTGCAACAGACAAAAAAGTTTACTTGTTTATTATGCTTGTCTGTCTCCTTCCAGTACAATTTAAATCCTGAGGGCAGAGATTTTTGATCTGTTTTGTTCGTGGCTATATTCATGAAACCTAAAATAGTGCCTGGTATAGGTATATAGTACCCAATAAATGTTTGCTAAGTGAATGTCCAACTCCTTGGTGATCCCAATTTCCAGATCACTGTCCTAGACACTTGCCCTTCTCGGGTTCCCTCTACCCCTCAGGGACTCAGGCAACCAACCCTCTAAGTTCCCCTATCCTCAGGGCCCTTGGGCTCATTGGGCTGCCCACCCATCCAACCTAGCACCGGCTCTTTCACCCAGACATCTTTATACCCTGGTCCATGGACCTCCGCAGGGCGATGAACTTGGCCCCCTCATCGGATGAGGACATTTTCCTCGCCTCAGCAAAGGCGAGAAGAGTGCCCCGCGGAGTGGCTGTGATGAGCGGGATGCGGAAGGTGTCCACTGAGCCGATCTGTCTCCCGCTCACCCACAGCAGTTGCTCCATGGTCACCAGCGGCTGCACCTGTCATGGGAGGAGGAAGGGTCAACAAAGACAAACTTGTCTTGGGGGTTTTAGGAACCCACGTTCCGATGGGAGAGGGAGGATCTAATGGGGATCCCGAGTAGGGGATGGGGTCCCAGAACAAGAAAGAGGAACACGAAGGGGAGTTTGGAGCGAAGCTGGAGGCTCGGAGCAGGGGAGGGTCTACGAAAGGAGAAGGCGCCTTCAGGGAGGGAAGGGGACCCCAAAAGAGGAAGGGGCTCGAATGAGGAGAAGGACGGGGACCCGGAGAGGGAGAGGGGCTGGGAGCGGTAGGAGGAAACGGGGTCTGGGAGAAAGAAAAGGGTCCTGTCGCGGAAAGTCGGCTCAGCCGCCCGCGTTCCGGGGGACACTAGGTGTCGATCACCTGCGCGGGTCGGGGATGGGGCTATGCAAAGGGTGACTCACCAGACCGAAGTCGTTCTCAGCCTTGGACCAGGAGGCTGCCAGAGACAGCAGCAGGAAGATCGCGGCAAACACCCAAACCCTACAGCCTCCCCAGAAGCCCAGAATCCGCGGCCCCCAGCGTCTGTCCGGGAGCGCCGTGCTGGGTCGCTCCCCAGTCATCTCTCCCCGCAGCTGCCGCGACCCTGGCAGCTAGACTCCACAGAGTCGGGAGTCAGCTGACCCGGACCCTTTAAAGCGCAGATGTCACCCTTAAGCCCGCCCCGGTCTGGAGGCCCCGCCGCGCTTCCCGGACTCTAATTGGTCTTCAAGTAGCTCATCTCCTCCCACGTGATCACGCAGCATCTCGAAGCTTGCCCTTCCGATTGGCCCTCTTGGAGGCCCTCTTGGAGGCCCGGAGCGCGTGACCCGAACGGGAAGCGGACTGGCTGGGGTGAAGAAGGGACTGGCACCATCCTTATTGGGCTTTTTGATTGGCCGCGGCACCAGGACACGTCACAGGGGCGGGGCCGATTTTAAAGAGCCGGGCGCGGAAAAAAAAAGGCCGCCTGTCGTCGTGGAGAGAATGAGTCACAGATTTACTGAGTTAACAAAATATCTTTAATAAAATCTTTTTGTTTGTTTGTTTTGTTTTGGAGACAGAGTCTGTCACCCAGGTTGGAGTGCAGTGGCGCGATCTCGGCTCACTGCAACCTCTGCCTCCCGGGTTCAAGCGATTCTCCTGCCTCAGCCTCCCGAGTAGCTGGGATGACAGGTGCATGCCACCACTCTCGGCTAATTTTTGTATTTTTAATAGAGACGGAGGTTTCACCATGTTGGCCAGGCTGGTCTCGAACTCCTGACTCAGGTGATCCGCCCGCCTCAGCCTCTCAAAGTGTTGGATTACAGGCGTGAGCCACGGCGCCTGGCCTAAAACCTTTTTTTACCACAAAATGGAGACCTGTAAGGCGAAGTGAGGTTGGATGGCTGGACGGTGGGGGTGGGGTGCAGTCCTGGATCAGGGCCGGAGCTGTCACTTCTTCCTCTTCTTGTTGTCCGGGGGCGCCTCGTTCTTCTTGCCCAGAATCTTTAGAAGGCTCTTGGACATGTAGTAGGGCCGGTCCAGGGAGCCGTTGTTCCGCTCCAGGTCTTCCACTGAGCCGCAACAGAGACCGGTTAGAGCGGACCCTGGGGCCAGGAAATCGGGGACTGGGAGGCAAGCTGCCTGCGGGATTTGGAATCCAAGCTGCACCACCACCCTTACCCCCGGGCAGGTTATGTAATCTCAGTTTCCTCCTGTGAAGTGGGGTCGGGAATATTATGTTGCATAGAGCGATGATAAGAATTAGCGGAAAAAATGCATGTCAGTCGCTTAGGAGGAGACTGGCAAACCCTGAATGGATGCATGCTGTAGAGTAAGAAAATCCCCTGCCGCTACAGCCACCTGCTGGGAAGTCTCTCTAATGGCTCTTTTTTTTTTTTAATCTTTTTTCTTTGTTTTGAGACGGAGTCTTGCTGTCGCCCAAGCTGAAGTGCAGTAGCGCAATCTCGGCTCGCTGCAACCTCCGCCTCCTGAGTTCAAGCGATTCTCCTGCTTCAGCCTCCCAAGTGGCTGGGATTACAGGCGCCCGCCACCGCGCCCAGCTAATTTTTTGTATTTTTAGTAGAGAGGGGTTTCACCATGTGGGCCAGGCTGGTCTCGAACTCCTGACCTCAGGGTGATCTGCCCACCTCGGTCCCCCAAAGTGCTGGCATGACAGGCGTGAGCCACCATGCCTGGCCTCTAATGGCTAACTTCTACCCGAGATTTCTTAGGGAAGATAGCAGAGACCTCTCCATCAGAATGCTCCTTCTTTGGAGAGCCTACCGGCCTGGGGGCTCACTCTCTTCCTTCTTCCCTAAACGCCTGGCCTCAGGATGTCACAAGAAGCTCCCTCTGGTTCGTTTAGCTCACAAAGGCATTGTTTCTAGAAGCACCAAATCTCCAAAAAAAAAAAAAAATGCTTGAACGGCTCAGTACTTTAAGGTTGGGGACAGGTGGCTGGGGGTGTCACTCACGGAAGCAGAGGAAGAGCGTGTCCACACACATGCCGAAAACGCTGAAGAAGCCGCTGGCGATGACATAGGCCCCCAGGATGGAGGTCTGGAAGACATGACCCGTTGGGGTTATTGGGTTCCTCTGGGGAGTTGGGGGTGGAGCAGCAGAGAGGGGAGTCACTCACCATGATGGGCAGCCAGTAATAGTTGAGGTGGGGGCTCTTAAAGTCTTTACCCAGCCCCGGGATGCGACCGGAGAAAAAAAAGAAGGACAGGACCCCTGTGGAATAATTCTGGGGGTTAGTGCTGCACCTCTGAGGCCACCTCTTCAGCTGCCCAGCACCCCTACCCTCTGTCCCCACAGCTTCTGGTCCCTTACCCACGCCTCCGACCACCAGCAGCTTCCCAAAGAACAGCAGCAGGTCTGTGACTTTGTCCAGGACGACCACCCTGTGCCAGAAGTTAGGGCAGGTTGAGGGTGAGAGGCCTGGCAATGCTGAGAGTGAAATTGGCTTCGTAATTTGTGGGGACTGGTGCAAAATGAAAATTGTTCACGTTTCAAGATGGCAAGAGCAGAGCACTAAACTAAGTCTAGGGCCCGACTGAGCACAGCACACCCACGAAGCCAGCCTTGGGTGGGAGATCAGAGGAGGGAGCCACAAAGCGGGGGGGGAGCAGCCTAACCTGACAATGTTTCGCATGAGTAGCATGAACGCATTTTTGGCTGAGACACAGAAATTCTTCCCGTAGATGGCGATCTGAGGGAGGTGGAAAGGTCAGAGTTACCAAGGCGAGCTGCCTGGACCAGGATGGGGGTGTCTAGACCAAAGGGCACCAGAACAAAGGGTTGCTTGCAGTGTAGCTCACCATGATGTATGCATTGCGGTTTAGGAACTTGATAAATTTTTCCAGACACCAGAGGCAGCACTTGAAACAGCACATGATGCAGCGGGCTACAGGGTTCTGCACTCCTGGGAGCGAGGAAGGCTCATGTTTGGTCACTGCCCCTCCCTAATGGCCTTCCCCAGCTCCTGACTCCTACTCCGACTCCAGACTCACCTCTGAGCTTGTGGTCAATATACTCCAAGATGACCCGGGCTATCTGCACAAGGGTCAGGATGAGGGCTCCAAATGCCAATGACCCAGTGTGGTAACTGCAGAGGGTGTTATGCAGTCAGAGACAGCTCCAGGACCCCTGGGGCCCCCGTGCCTACAATGACCAGGCCCCTGCCCCATCCTTACCGGAGTGTGCGGATGAAGGCAGAGATTAAGGGGAAGGTAGGGATGTCCTGGGGCTTGTGGAAGGCCCAGTAGAAGGAGGCAAAGGCTCCAGCGAGGACGCATTGGCCCAGGGCCAGTACCCAGTTAAGGGTCCAGAAGAGCCCCAGGACCCCATAGATTTGCAGATTGAAGACAGAACGTTGGATTAGGCCTTTGGATGAGTAGCCCTGGAAGACGCACATCAGCCCTGGGCACGAGGAGTTCACAAGGTGGGCCTGGGAGGGTAGACGGGGATAGAGTAGGCTCAGGCATCGGGGGCCTCAGTATGGAGCCTGGGCGTCCCATTCCCAGTAGCTCCTGCCCCTCCCAGAGTTGACAGGTGGGAAGTAGCTTCTCTGGACTGCGGGAATCAAGTTCTGTCGGAGAGTTCCATCTCCAGGCTCAAACTCAGTTTGGTCTGCCTATAGCATAAGCATAATCAGCTCCCTCAGTCTCAATCAGAGGGGAAGGCACTCACTCAGCATTCCCATTCCAGAGCAGCCTCTGCAACGTCTACCAAAACCCTTTCCGGCAAATTGAACAGGCTGGGTATTTGATGATATTAAGGAATTATTGTTAATTTTGTGAGATGTGATAATGATATAGTGGCTATGCTTTTAAACAGTTCTTATCTGTTGAGATCCATCTCGATGCATGTACAGGTGAAATGGCATGATGTCCAGAATTTGCCTTAAAAGTCTCCAGAAAAAAAAATTTATGAGGCGGGTGCGGTGGCTTATGCCTGTAATCTCAGCACTTTGGGAGGCCGAGGTGGGCGGATCGCCTGAGGTCAGGAGTTCAAGACTAGCTTGGCCAACATGGTGAAATCCCATCTCTACTGAAAATACAAAAAATTAGCCGGGCGTGGTGGCAGACGCCTATTATCCCAGCTATTCAGGAGGCTGAGGCAGGATAATTGCTTGAACCCAGGAGGCAGAGGTTGCAGTGGGCCGAGATCGCGCCACTGCACTCCAGCCTGGGAGACAAGAGCAAAACTCCATCTCAAAAAAAAAAAAAATTATAGGTGAGGATATAGATGAAATAAGAATAGCAAAAAGTTGAGGGTTGTGGAATCTGGGTACAGGGAACTCACTGTGCTATCATCTCTACTTTTGCATATGTTTAAAAATTCCCATAATAAAAAGTAAAAAGTCACAAATTAAAAAGCAACCCTTTCTAGCAAATATAACCAAAAAAATTTTTTTTTGACACAGGGTCTCGCTCTGTTGCCCAGGCTGGAGTACAGTGGCTCAATCTCAGCTCACTGCAACCTCTGCCTCCCGTGTTCAAGCAATCCTCCTGCTTCAACCTCCCAAGTAGCTGGGACTGCAGGTGTGTGCCACCATGCCTGGCTAATCAAAAAATCTTTTTTTTTTTTTTGAGATGGAGTCTCACTCTGTCACCATATTGGCCAGGTTGGTCTCGAACTCTGGACCTCATGATTCACCTGCCTCGGCCTCCCAAAGTGCTGGGATTACAGGTGTGAGCCACTGCGCGCGGCCTTCTGTCAGTCTTTACTGCTAGATCACAAGCAAGTTGAAAACAACACTCACGTCATACCCAGCACAGTTGCTCATGTGTATAATCCCAACACTTTTGGAGGCTGAAGCAGGCAAATTGCTTGAGCCCATTTGTTTGAGACCAGCCTGGGCAACATAGTGAAACGCCATCTCTTAAAAAAAAAAATTAGCCGGGCATGGTGGCACTTGTTTGTAGTCCCAGCTACTTGGGAGACTGAGGTGAGAAGATCACTTGAGCCTGGGAGATCAAGGCTTCAGTGAGCCATGATCGCATCACTGCACTCCAGCCTGTGTAACAGCCTTTTTTTCATTAAAAAAGAAAAAAAAAAGAAAAAGAAAAAGAACCACATCATTTTGGGCTTTGTATACCCAGTGCCTGGCACATAGTGGGTCCTCTGTACATGTAAATAAACCTTTTTTTTTTTTTTTTGAGACGGAGTCTCGCCGCCCAGGCTGCAGTGCAATGGCGCGATCTCAGCTCACTGCAACCTCCGCCTCCCGAGTTCAAGCAATTCTCCTGCCTCAGCCTCCTGAGTAGCTGGGATTACAGGCACCTGCTACCATGCCTGGCTAATTTTTGTACTTTTAGTGGAGACAGGTTTTTGTCATGTTGGCCAGGCTGGTCTCAAACTCCTGACCTCAGGTGATCTGCCCACCTCGGCCTCCTAAGTGCTGGGATTACAGGCATGAGCCACCGCGCCTGCCAAACCTCCCCTTTTTAATAGGGGTGGGGCTAATGCCTGCAGCACAGCTCATGTTCCCAGCTCAGACGAGGTGAAGATATGACAGGTTTGAGAAGAGTAAATTCCCAGCAGCCCAGCGCCACTCCCGGGGAACCTCACAGGGGAATTTTGGAAGCAGCTTCTCTCTCGGGTCCCCCGCAGGGAGTCCCACCTGGCTACTACCTAGGGCTCTGTGTTCCAAGGGAGTAAGACTTAACAATATAATACAATTCAACCTGTTGTTGAGCTCTTATCAGGTGCCAGGCATTGTACTAAGCACTTTATGTGCCCAAAGTCATTTCATCTTCTCAGCCACCCCAGGGATGGGTATTATAATTATCCTCATTTTACAGAGGAATGGAGCTGCATGTGGTGGCTCACTCCTATAATCCCAGTACTTTGGGAGGTTAAGCCAGAGGATTGCTTGGGTACCTGACTACATCGGGGCAACCCCAGGAGTTCAAGACCAGCCCGGGTAACACAGCAAGACCTTGCCTCTACAAAAAGCTTAAAATTAGCCTGGCGTGGTGTCATACGCTAGTAGTTCCAGCTGCTCAGGAGGCTGAGGTGGGAAGATTGCTTGAGCCTGGGGGATGGAGGTTGCAGTGAGCTGAGATTGCACTGCTGCACTCCAGCCTGGGCAACAGAGCAAGACCCTGTCTCAAAACAAACAAACAAACAAACAAACAAACAAACAAACAGGAGTAGGCTGAGACTCAGAGGGTGAAGTGGTTGATGGTCCTCAAGTCAGAGCAATGTCCTGGGGAGGGGTGGAGTAAGTCCTGGTATCCAGGGCTGTCTCTCCCAGCCTCAGTTTCCCTCCCCACATGATGGATGGCTCAACAGGAGTACCAGGTATTCTGGGAACTGGTTTCTTCTAGCTCTGCTGGGGGTTGAGTGTGTGACCTTGCACAAGTTTCTTGCCCTCTGTGGCCTCAGTCTTCTCTGCACAATGAGGAATGTGGCCCCTACAGCCCCTCACCCCTACTAGTCCCGCCTCCATGTCCCCTGCTTCCTCTTACCGTGGGGTTGCATGATGTATTTATTGGCACTTTCTCACAGCCGGGGGAGCTGATGTTGGATGCCCAGAGCACATACTGGGGTTGCCCCGATGTAGCCAGGTACCCAGAGGGGAGTCAAGGAAAGCATGATCACACGAGGTCTCCACAGGTCACTCGCTCCTTAGGGACCTGTTCCTAGGTGCTTGTGCAGATCGTTTGCTGCACAGAGAGGGCTGAAATTCAGCCTGTGTGCACCCTTTCAACTCTGTTCAGGCACAGTGCTGGTGTGTCTGCCCAGAGAAAGGGGCACCTCTTCCAGTGACACCAAGGCACTCTACAGGGCAAGTATTGCTTTGTTTTCCATCACCCCCCAGGACTCCAAGAGTGGCTGGCTGCGTGGGCAGAGGATACAGAGCAGTCATGGCCCAGTAGGCAATGCAGATGAGGAGGAGGACAAAGGTGACCAGTGGGTAGAACATGGTAGACATCATCTGTCCCACAGCCCTGCAGGGAGACAAAGCTGTTAACCGGCACCGCCCCAGCTGTCCATCTTCTCAAGGGGCTGACCCCGGCCGGGCGCAGTGGCTCACGCCTGTAATCCCAGCACTTTGGGAGGCTGAGGCGGGCGGATCACGAGGTCAGGAGATCGAGACCATGCTGGCTAACACGGTGAAACCCCATCTCTACTAAAAATACAAAAAATTAGCCGGGCATGGTGGCGGGCGCCTGTAGTGCCAGCTACTCCGGAGGCTGAGGCAGGAGAATGGCGTGAACCCGGGAGGCGGAGTTTGCAGTGAGCTGACATCGCACCACTGCACTCCAGCCTGGTCGACAGAGCGAGACTCCGTCTCAAAAAAAAAAAAAGGGGGGGGCTGACCCCTCTGCCCTCACTGGGGCCTGCCCCACTCCCCCAGGGTGGGACCAACAGGGTTAGTGACATTGTCTTTCATATCTGTGTCCTCAGGGCCTGGTGCAGGGCTAGGCATACTGTAGGTGCTCACTGGATAAACAGAACTGAATAAATCAGGCTCACAGGACCCTTAGAGGAAACTGGGGTCACAGAGAAGCCACCTGGGGCAGCTTCGGGTGGAGTAAGGGAAGATCACCCCCAAGCGTGATCCCTTGGCAGGTGTGTGTGGCAGTTCCTGATCGGGAGCAAGCTGCTGCCCCTCCTGGCCCGGATTCCTGCCGTTCCACTCAGCCACCACCACTCCCACCAACCCCTCTAGAAGGCCTATGTCATATTCCAGGCACTCATTGAATCCTCAAGACAACCCTAGAAGGCAGGAATTATTGTTACCCCCATTTTACAGATGGGGAAGCAAAGCCACAGCAGTGTTCACCACTGTGCTATATTCCTCCCTTCTCCTCTGAGGCTCCCTGCCACCTCTCTAGCACCCCCTAGGTCCCCTAGCACTCCTGGGTCCACGCTGTCCTCAACCCCATCTCCCTCCCAGGCAGGCCCTAACTTGCTGGCCTCCTTCAGGAGGGCGATGGCAATACGAATCCGCTGCCGCAGGAAGATGAGCATCAGCAGCAGGATGGCTTCAAGCACCGCCAACACGATCACTGCAGAGGACGGGGCAGACAGACCTAGGTCAGGGCCAGGGCTGGGGCCGGGCATGGCCCAGGGCGGTCCTTGGGCAGCTGGTGGCTTGGGGGTGGGCAGGACACTCACGGGCGGCCAGCCAGGTCTCCTGCACGCTCTGGTAGGCACTGAGGTTGGTGGTGAAACCCAGCTGGGAGATGGAGGCGCCCTTGTCCCGCAGCACTCGGTACTCCTCCCAGCAGTAGTAGATGCCGTATGCCAGCACGCCCAGCACTCCCAGGATCAGCACCAGCACCAGGGGCCCAGCCACCAGGCGCAGAAGCAAGATAAACAGTAGGCTCAAGACCAGAGCCACCCCCAGGGCACTGTAGGCAGGGTGAGGACAGTGAGGTTCAGCCCTAGCCCCTCAAATCTTTCCCCTTACAGAGGCCCTCCCTGCCTTTCCACACACCACCCAATGTCCCCAGATTAGGCCTCTTTCCCTTATAAATCCTGTTGGTCTTGGAATCCATTCGGAGCTCTGGCTCCTCCTCCTCTGTCCAAAGCCTGTGTTTCAGACATTGGGCGAGGGGGTAGAGGATCAGGGAGGAAGAAGGCAAGGACACAAGAGGAGGGGAATCTGGTGACTCACACAAGAATCCAATACCAGGACTGGGCAAAATCTTCAAAGATCTTAACACTGATGTCTCGGGCATTGAGGCTGTCAATAAGACCGCTGTTGGGGAGACAGAGTCAGATGGGGCTGTGGGTGGAAGGGGTGTGGCCAGGATGTGGGGGAGGGAGGTGCCTACCTGATCCCCTGCTGTATGGTGGTGTCATTGGTGATCCCTGGGAGCGCCGGTGGAGTAACGTTGGTCCATGGAAAGCAGCGCCCCAGAGCTGGAAGGGAGAGCCGGGCTGCTGGGTTGGGGGCCAGGAGCTCTGCCTGGAGGGTCTCTGGCCCCCTCCCAGTCCACAGTGCCCTTAGGGGAGGGAAGGGTGATGGGCCTTGCATCCCTCAGTGGGCTGCTTTTGATTTCACAAATGGGCTTCTGCCCTGTGGAGCCCAGTCTATCCCCTGCCTCCCCTCCCTGTCGTGCCTTGGTTTGGACCCTCCTCTCCGCTGGCCTCAACTCTTAGAACACCCTGTCACCCTTCCATCCACCCTCCACCCGAGTGGAGTGCCAGGGAGACCGTGGCACTGCCTGGACTTCATCACTCCAGGGTTCTGGGTCCCTTTGTGACTCAGACATCTCCAGAGGCTCTGCCCCAGAGACAGCATCCACACTCCCTGGCCAGGCTTCCAGGCTCTCCTGTGCAAATCCAGCCCATGTTCCCTTCTACTCTGTACCTTTGCTCTTACTGTGCCTCTCTCTCAGGGCTCTCTTTCCACCAGAAATCCCATCCATGACTCCCTGTTCAAATCCAGCTCCATCTCACCTCCTCCAGGAAGCCTTCTGACCTTATCCCCACCTCCTTTGGCAACTGTTATGTGCCTACAGAGCCACTTACTGCCATCCTTGCAACAACTTTGCCAGGCAGCCTTGCTTTGTCATTTATTTATCTATTTATTTATTTATTTTCTTATTTTTGAGTCAAGGTCTTGCTCTGTCACCCAGGCTAGAGTGCAGCTGCATGATCATAGCTTACTGCAACATTGAACTTCTGGGCTCAAGCGATCCTCCCCACTTAGCCTCCCAAGCAACTGGGACTATAGATGTGCACCACCACACTTGGCTAATTTTTAAATTTTTTGTACAGATGGGGTTTTGCTGTGTTGCCCAGGCTGGCCTCAAACTCCTGGGCTCAAGCAATCCTCCCACCTCAGCCCCCCAAAGTGTTGGGATTACAGGTGTGAGTCACCTCACCTAGCTTATTTATTTTTTAGAGGCAGGGTTTCTCACTCTATTGCCCAGGCTGGAGTGCAGTGGCACAATCATAGCTCACTGTAACCTCCAACTCCAGGACTCAAGTGATCCTCCCGCCTTAGCCTCCTGAGCAGTTGGGACTACAGGCATGAGCCACTGCACCTCACTGTCATTTACATTCTAAAGATGAGGAAACAAGGTTCAGAGAGGTTGCATAGTTGGGTCAAGACCATAGGGCTGGAAAGTGCTAGAATTTATATTCAGATCTACTTGACTTTGAAGTATTCACTTGAGATACTCCTTACTGTACTTAAATTGATAACTGGATATCTCATCTTATGCTATAAATTGTCTAATTTTTTTTTTTTGAGATGGAGTCTCACTGTTGCCCAGGCTGGAGTGCAGTGGCACCATCTCGGCTCACCGTAAACTCCGCCTCTGGGCTCAAGCAATTCTCCTACTTCAGCCTCCCGAGTAGCTGGGATTTCAGGTGCCCACCACCACACCTGGCTAATTTTTGTATTTTTAGTAGAGACGGGGTTTCACCATGTTGGCCAGACTAGTCTCGAACTCCTGACCTTGTGATCCGCCCGCCTCGGCCTCCCAAAGTGCTGGGATTACAGGTGTGAGCCACTGCTCCCGGCCTAAAATTTTTGTTTGAGACGGAGTCTCGCTCTGTCAGCAAGGCTAGAGTACAGTGGCACGATCTTGGCTCACTGCAAAGCTCACTGCAACCTCTGCCACCCGGGTTCAAGCAATTCTCCTGCCTCAGCCTCCTGAGTAGCTGGGATAAGAGGTGCATGCCACCACGCCCAGCTAAGTTTTGTATTTTTAGTAGAGATAGGGTTTCGCCATGTTGGCCAGGCTGGTCTCGAACTCCTGATCTCAGGTGATCTGCCTGCCTCAGCCTCCCAAAGTGCTAGGATTACAAGCATGAGCCACCATGCCTGGCCTAAAAATTGTTTTATATTAAAAATGACATTTGCAACTGGGTGTCGGGGCTCATGTCTGTAATCCCAGCACTTTGAGAGGCTGAGGTGGGAAGATTGCTTGAATCGAGGAGTTCAAGACCAGCCTGGGCAACATAGCAAGACTTCATCTCTTAAAAAAAAAAAAAGACATTTGCTACTGGAAGGAAGAGCACACTGTAAAAGAAAAAAAGTTCAACTGTGATCCTACCACCCAGCCACGTTCACTTATAACATTTGAACAAATATCCTTCTAGCCTTTTCCCTGTGCATATATAAAAATGATATGTGTGCAGGCTGGGCGTGGTGGCTCATGTCTGTAATCCCAGCACTTTGGGAGGCCAAGGTGGGTGGATCACGAAGTTAGGAGTTCAAGACCAGCTTGGCCAAGATAGTGAAACCCCGTCTCTACTAAAAATACAAATTTAATAAATAAATTTAATAAATAAAATAAAAATAAAAATTAGCCGGGCGTGGTGGCGGGCACCATGTGCTGTAATTCCAGCTACTCGGGAGGCTGAAGCAGAGAAGCGCTTGAACCCGGGAGGCGGGGGTTGCAGTGAGCCGAGATCACGCCACTGCACTCCAGCCTGGGCAACAGAGGAAGACTCCGTCAAAAAAAAAAAAATGTGTGTGTAGATTCACCCATGTATGTTTTCATGAGATTTTCATACAGTCTCTTTGTGAACAACTCTAATCTCTTCACCTAGAATGTAGCTGAAGCAGGGAGCAGTTGTTATCCCTGCCTCTGTCCCCAGCACCTGGCACATAGTAGGTCCCCAAAACACTGATGGTCTGACTGCAAGGCCACATAACAAAGAGCAAAATGAAGACCTGATGCTAATTCCAATTTTGCCACCAACAAGCTATGTGACTTCACTCTCTCTGGGCCTGATTTCTTCATTCAAGCAATGAAAACACTGGACTAGATGACGTCTGAGGAAGGAATCTGTGCTTCTCACCTGGAGCAGAGGGGAGGAGGAAACTGGGGCAGAGTTCCTGTTGCAGGCTTGTGATCACCGTCTGTGGCAGGAGTGAAAGGACAGACACACAGACACAGAGCAGGATGAAGAAGCAGGTCCCCTCACCACCACCATGGGGCTCAGCCTGTCCCACACTCCCCAGGAGAGCCAACCTGGTGATGATCTACCCAACTCCCCCTCCCTCTCGTGCCCACCCTGGCCCTTCTGGGCGACAGTGATGAGGTTAGGGGCAATATTCACCATATTCCAGGGTACCCCTGGCAGACAAAAGTTCCTGTTTTTTGTATAGAAGACTTCCCCAACAGTCTGTGAGAACTCGTTTTTTCCCACAGTCCATGGGTCCTCCGGGCAGGAGGACACACACACCTGGGTGCAGAGAGAACACTAAGGGGCTGGAACCTGAGACCCTGGGTGAGATCTGGGGTAGAGGCAGGTCCCAGGCTCTGACCTGGGGTGTGGGGCACTGTAGGCCGTTCTCAGCAACTGAGATGATGTTGCTGGACAGGATGCAGCTGAAGATGTTGAAGTACAGGAGATACGGCTTATCTCTGTGGGAGGGGAGGGACCATGTGCATCAGGGCCTGGTCAGGTGTTGGGGGAGGGGAGGGACCACTAGGGTGGCTTCTCAAGAATACAGTGGGCCCAGCCCAGCGTGGCCCATACCAGTCACCTCCCAGCTCCTGGCCCTAGCTCAGCTGGGGAGGTAGGGAGATGCCTAGAAGATCTCTCAGAGTAAGTCACCATTGCAGCAGCTGACAAATAGCTCAGAGCATGAACTTGGAGCTCCACAACTTCATATCATCTTTATGATCTTGAGCAAGTCACCTGTTCTCGGTCTTAGTTCTACTCCATATAAAACAGTAGTGCCTACCTCATGAGATTTCAATGCGCTTGTGTGTGTAAAGTTTACTGCCTGCCTGGAACATAGTAAATGCTATATAAATATTTGAGGTTTTATTATTTATTGGACATCTGTATGTGAGGACTGTTGGCATTGCTTCTGGAATTCCCCTTGAATTTCAAATAAGGAAATCAAAGCTCAGAGAGCTTGAGTAACTTGTCCAAGGCCACACAACCAAAACTTGGTCCAGTTGGGGATCCAAACACCAATCTCTGAACTGTAAAACTCATACACTTAACACGACTCTCCACTGCCTCCCATTTCTGGGGGGACTCAAGAAGCTAACTGTCCAGCAATGGTTCTTAACGTGGCCTGGAGTTGTCAGATTCAGGGAGGCTGAGGTGGGGTGGGGACAGCAGGGAAAGGCTGTGGAAGAGCACGGACAGGTCTGGAGCCTGAGTTGGGGGGGTGTCTCCTGCCCACCCTACCTCGCCTCGCTCCTGCACTCCTCTTCTCGCCTTTGTACTCACTTGTTCTCCCCCATGCCACAGTAGGCCCCAGTAGAGTTCCTGGGGTAGAGGACTTGCCGGGGGTCTCCATACAACCAGGCTGCAGACAGAGGCACAGATGAGTCATTGGAGGGCAGGGACTTAGTGGGGCAGTTATGGGAATGGTCCCTCCCTGGGTTCCTGTCCCTCACCCACTGCCCTGGCTCTGAGCAGCTGGAAACTCACCCACAATCCCCACCACGATGTAACCTAGAATGAAGAGCAGGAAGAGGACGCAGCAGATGACATCTGTGCAGCTTCTGAGAGAGAAACGAAACGGGAGGCTGAGCTAAGGAGACTTGGGGAGGTAGGGCTTATGGTCTGGAGGGGTTAAGGGTTAGAGAGTTGGGTGATGCTGCAGCATGGGCATCAGTAGGCTTTATTTTTATTTTTTTATTGCTTTTACTTTTTTATTTTGAGACAGGGTCTCACTCTGTCACACAGACTGGAGTGCAGTGGTGCAATCTTGGCTCACTGCAGCCTCTGCCTCCTGGGTTCAAGCAATTCTCCTGCCTTAGCCTCCCGAGTAGCTGGGATTACAGGCGCGTGCCACTACTGCCCGGCTAATTTTTTTTAAATATTTTATTTAGAAAACCTAGCCAGGCACAGTGGCTCACGACTGTAATACTAGCTACTTGGGAGGCTGAGGCAGGGCAATCCCTTGAGGCCAGGAGTTTGAGACCAGCCTGGGCAACATAGTGAGATCCCATCTCAAAGAAATTAGCCTGGTGTGATGGTGCATGCCTGTAGTCCCAGCTACTCGGAAGGCTAGGGCAGGAGGATCACTTGAGCACAGGAGTTCGAGCCTGCAGTGAACCCCCATCTCCAAAACACAAAAAGAAAGAAAACCTTTTTCTGGGTGGGTAAACTTTCTTCTGAAGTAAAAGACAGAAAAGCACACAACTCGCAAGGGCTCAGCTGGGTGAGTTCTCTCGCTTGTGAAGCCGGCACTTAAGTCAAGAAACAGAACATCCCCCCAGAACTGGGAAGCCCTCGATGCCTGCTCCAGACACAACAATCCCCCCAGGGCACCACCCATCTGGGGCAGGAGTTTCTCTTTTTCACAAGTTTCCTACTAATATTTTAGCAAATACAAAGCAAATACTGGATTCCACACTGCACCCACCACCCCCGCCAGCCCCCGGAGCAGTGCCCAGAGCTCACCTGTTCTTGATGGGGCCTCGAAAGGAGGGGTCGTATTTGACTGGCTTCCCTGAGGGACATGAGAAGAGGTGTGGAGGATGAGTCTCTCTCTGCATATCTTGTCCTGCTGAGTCCTCCTAGCCCCAGGATCCTACCCAGGCCTCAGGTGTTTGGAGGGAGATGGGCTAGGGCAGGACTGGCAGGAGGGGAAAACTGGGGAGCAGGAAAGGTAGGATCCAGGCCTGGTCAGCAGCTCAGCAGCTCCCTGGGAGCTCCACCCAGGCTGCCATGGGGAGGGGAAGGAAGGCCTTTATAGTTTCCGGCTCACATCTCAAGGCAGTCAGTCTGGGAAATGGCCTTGGTCCCCTGCCCTACCCTGGCACGGTTCTCCTGAGTCTCCCTTTAGCTGGGATGTGGGACTCCCAGTGGCTCTCACTCCCTCATTCTCATCCCTGCCTCCTCCCTAATCCCTCCCCAGGGACCACACAGACCCACAGCCCCTCAGGGAGGTCATGGCCTCTTCCCCTATCTGCCCCAGGCCCTACCTTACCCTCTGGTTCAAGGCTATGGGGAAAGAAACTGGAGACAAAGGTGTCAACCCCAGCAGGGCCTGGGGAGGGAAGCGGCCCTGTACATCCTCACTCTGGTGGGACCTCAGTCCCCTGGCCACAGTGTGCTCCGGGCTCTGGGCCAGCAGTCAGAGTGACACCTGAGCCCAGCCATAGAGATTGCAGGCACGTTGAGTTCCTGGTCCTCCCTGAGTACACACACAGGGAGGAGGAGGGCTGGGCAGTCAGGGTTCCTTGTGGGCACTGAGGAGGGAGAGCCGAGGGCTGGGCAGGAGTCTGGGAAGGAGCGGGTGGGGTCCACTTTCCCCAGGTGCGCTGGACTCTGTCCCTCCATGGCTCATGGACAATGATTGACCTGAAGCCGCTCCAGGAAGTCTACTCGGGAGTCCTCACTGCCTGCTCCCCTATGGCCCTAAGGGACTCAAGCCTCTCCTCGAGAAGGTCCCTCATAGGGGTTCCTTCCCCTTCAGACCAGAAGACCAGGGGGGCCTCCGCAGGTGAGTCCCCAGCCTTCACTGCTCGTGGGGATCTGGAGGCCAGTCCCCAGCTCCCTCTCTCCTCAGAACCCCAGCCCCTTTTCCTTGCAGATTCTGGAAACAG